>NW_018654717.1:5462785-5764366 GCF_000001405.40 Homo sapiens
TGGCTCACCGCAACCTCCGCCTCCCAGGTTCAAGGGATACTCCTGCCTCAACCTTCCCAAATAGCTGGAATTACAGATGTGCACACCTGAACCTGGCTAGTTTTTATATTTTTAGTAGAGACGGGGTTTCACCATGTTGGCCAGCTGGTCTCAAACTCCTGACCTCAGGTGATCCACCCTCCTTGGCCTCCCAAAGTGCTGGGATTACAGGCATCACCCACCGCGACCGGCCTAGAATGGATTTTTAAACCACCCATGCATGAGCCAATCTCCCACACAAGCTCAAAGTCTAAACCTTTTAGAGTTGGTCTGGGCTCTTCAGATCAAGGCAGTCAGGTTTGTCTTGCCACCTCTTGGAACACTTGATGCAAATAATCGTCACAGAAAGGTGAGGCTCTTGTCCTGCCACCCATCTCCGAAGGTGATTTATTATCACCAAATCCCACCCCCATGACAATCCTTGCTGGGCGATATGAGCAGGTCCATCCCACCGAAACTCCTCCAAGCCCCTATCCTTCCTCACATGAGGCAGAGACGGGCAGCATAGCTCTCCCAGGCTGATTATCAACCAACTGAAAATGGCTGTCTGTTAACCTACTGCAACAATAAAGGGATAAGATGGATTTTTAACAAAACAAAGAAGAAAACCTTTCAAAATCCTACTCTTGCAGTACCATAGGCTATGTGCTTTAACAATAACACTGCAATACCTCAGAATACTAAAATTCCTCTTTTGGAATTGCCTTCCACATACCCCTCTATGCACACAAATAATGTCATCTGTTCGGAATGAATTAAGAAATTCACCCAAAATTATAAAAGCAATTCACCCAGGGTCCTCGGCTTCCTCCCTCACTCTGCAGAGAAGCAAGGGTCCGCCACACTCAGAAGACCATAAATGGCATCTCTAAAATCCTGATGGTCCTCGGGATGGCAGGATGCCAGAGGTTCAAGCTGTTTCCAGGATTCCTCCCCATGGGATGCCACGGGTGTGTTAGATCACCTGCAGGTTGTTCTACAGGTGACTCCACTGGAAGCTTAGTCACAGGTCTCGCCTGCAGGGAAACATGTGCCTGTCCTGACTAAATCTGAGAATGCACACAAAGGAGTAGCCCACCCTATAGACAGGCTAGCAAGGGCTTCGTGGTCACTGTGGTTACCCAGAGGGAGGCCCCTGGGATGGGACACAAGCACCGGCACAGACAAGGCCCAGGCAGATGCAGAGCTCAGACCAGATCTGTCCAGCATACAGGTATAGAAGAACTCTGTTGCTAAACTCCCAGGGGCCCAAGCACCTCCTGCAGGTAGACCTAGCAACACCACCTCTCCCAGCTCGTTGGAGCTTACTGAATGCTTTCTCCACTCCAGCTTCTGTGCCGAGCACCGCCCATGCATTGATCCCAGGTCATCTATGGAGTGGCATGAATATGCCTACACTGTAGATGAGATACTTAAGACTCAGAAATGTGAACTCACTTACCCAGAGCCACACAGCCAGGAGCCAGCAGACTTTTACCATGTCTATTTTAAGGTTCAAGAGGCATGTCTGCATGAAGCAAGTTAATGGTGGAAACTGATGGGCCCCCAACCTGGTGCACTTTCCCTTATGCCACATGGTTCCTATGCCGTAGAATATAGGAGACATGCTGTTCACCCACAACGTCACTTCTAGCTCTCCCTCTCTTAATAAATAGTGCTTGTGACAATCACTGTGGTCATAACAAGGATAACAGAAGACCATGCATTAAGAATTGCTTTTTATGTTTTACACTTGATCTGCAATGAAGTGGTTATTATTACTTGGACATGAAGAAGTGGAAACTCACCCAAGTTAAGAAACTTGCCCAAGAGCACACAGCTGGTAAAGTGGAAGAAAGGGGCGGAGTCTCCTATTCTCACTGTGGTGGGAATGTGTGAAAGGAGTTGGGGTTTCTGCCAAATGCATGTGTTCCTGGATTTGGGCAGGGTGGAAAATGACTTGTGAGCTTTGCTCCATGCCGCTCTGGGAAGCCATCTCAAGGTATTTCACAGCTCACCTCAAGACTAAGAGATAAGGGACCCCTGCCCTGTCTCAGGAGAAGGAAGCAGACAGGAGCCTGGCAAGATGGTCCTGGAAGGAGGGAGATTTGTGTCTGTCCCAGCAGTGGGTATTGGGAGAAGCCGGTGGATGATTTTACACTCAAAAGTCTCCATCCCTTTGATCCATGTTAGCATAGCAGGCTTCTCCTCCTGTCATTTGAACTTCCAAGGAGAGGTTTGAATCCACTGTTCATATTTCCCACTCAAAAATATAAATGGAACTAGAGGCACAGTTCCATGCCTCTAGACACTGGCTTAAGCCTGTTGTCAGGCCTTGAATTGCCAGCTTCTCGTGTCCTGGGACTCCAATGCAGGGCTGCAGGGAGAGAGAAGGGTCAGGCTCAGACATGAGACCCATCACTACAGGAGGCTCCCCTGGTCCCCGAGTGGGTCTGCATGGTGCAGAAAAGCAAGAGAGAAGCATAAATTCAATGTAGCAGAGCGAACTGGCTTCCTTCCTATGGTAGGATCCTGGGTACAGCATGGAAACTGAAAATGACAAGTGGGAAAGACTCGATGAGCAAGCACAGGGAGGCCAGCAGAGAGCAAAGCCAGGTCCCAGGCCCTGGGCATGGATTCAGCCACCGGTTTTGGTCTAAAAGCAAGACGGAGACATCCAAACCAAAGCCAGGTGGCCCGTAAAGGGGCGATGGGCACCAGACAGGAAGGAGGTCAAGAGCCTCCCTGACGCTGAGCCTGGTGCTCCCAGGCCTCCCTAGGTACCAGGCTGACTGTCCTGAAGCCTAGTCTGACCCCCGCATTGACTGCCTAAACCCCATCACAAGCTGCTCACTGTCCTCCTGGTTAGCCCCAAACTTCCCAATAGGGTCCCCAAGACCCCTTGTACAGAAGCCCCCGCTAAACTCCCCAGCCAGAACTGCTGCCTTGTTCATCTCCAACCAGCCCAAAGTATTTTTTCTTGTTGTTGTTTTTTGAAACAGGGACTCACTCTGTTGCTCAGGCTGGAGTGCAGTGGCACTGTTACCGCTTATTGCAGCCTCTACCTCCTGGGCTCAAGTGCTCCTCCCACCTTAGCCTCCCAAATACCTGGGACCACCGGCATGCACAATTGCACACTGCTAGTTTTTTTAGGTGTTGAGCCACCACTTCCAGCCCCAAGGTATTTTAAATTCCTGAACTCACATGCTTTTTATTTTCCAGTTTTGTACCCTCTGGTTCCTACACCTGGGGCGTTGCTCACATTTTCCCCTGTTCACCCTTTAGCTTGCAGCTCTGACTACACTTTCTCCGGGAAGCTGACACTCAGGCCCGAATGTGGCTGGCTGCCGCTCCTGTGACTCCTCCACTGCTGGGCCCACCTGGAGCTGGAGTCTGTCACCATGCAACTGCCTCCTGTGTCTGCTGTCCTCTACAGACTCCTGTGCCACCCAGAGCCTGTGACCTGTGCACCATTTATTTTCCTGAATATTTAGCTCGATGCCTATGTTTGTGGAAAGAAGGAGGAAACGGAGGGAGGAATGAAAGTGGGAGGAAGGAAGGAAGAAATGAAGGAAGGAAGTTAAGAACTAGCCCAGTGGCTGGCACCCGGAAGAGTGACAGATCAGCCCCACCAGAATGTGGGGAGAGTCAAAGGGACTCTGTCCTCCCTTCCTGCCTCCCAGTTGACTCAGCGCCTAGATCCTGGGTGGGGGAGCCCATGGAGGGAAGCATCAGCTGCCAGGCCGGGTAGAGGGGCAGCAATGGGGGGACCAGGTGACAAAGAGACTCTCAGCCTCTCTGTAGGATTGACCAGGCATGTGGTAGTGCCTGGAAGTGGGGAAAGTTGCTACAGCTGAAGAAGTCTTGGAAGGCAGCATTTCGGCATCATTGTGCTTCTCCATCCTTCTTCCTCTAAAGGGGGGTGTCTTTCTATCCAATTCCTCCCACAAGACTCACGTGTCCTCCTCCAGGTGAGGAAAGCCTGGCAGACTCTAGCATGACTGGGAGTAAAGGTGGCTGGGCAATCTCAGCACCAGGAATGCACATTCACACCACGAGACAGGGCAAAGGCTAGGTCCCTTCCCGGCAGGGGGATGCGCCAGCCTCGGGCTTCCTGGAATTCTCATCTGCCTGACCAGCTGATGGCAGAGTCACGGTGACTCAGGACTGAATATTCAGCTGCGATGTTCGATGCTAGGTGTGGTGCACGTCACAGGTGAGCAAAACCAAAGGAACTGGAAAAGCTTCACATTTGAGTTTACCATTGTCACTGAGTTGTTTTACAGGGAGGAGCCTGAGGTGCAGACGGTATCAGCTACAGGCCAGGTTGTGTCTCTAAGCCAGATGAGTGTCCTCATCCTTAAGGAGTCATCTTCCTCTAATCCTCTGGTTCTCATCCCCATCTCAGCTGCTTTTGAAAATTAAATATTATGCCAAGGCACCTCCTGCAGTGATGTGACTTCCTTGTCTGGGGTGGATCTTTAGCTGTTATTATTAAGATACCTCATTGTGTTCATTCTGCATCCAGAGCTCAGAACCATTGCTTGAAGTACAGAGTTGTGGTTCTTCCTGAACAAAGTGTTTCTGGGTCCTCCTATGTGTTGTGAGCGTTGCCTGGAACCGAGGCCCTGCTGGGGGTCATGGTCTTCTGCTGTGGTCACCTCCATGTAAAAGATGATGCCCTCTCTCCAGGAGCACACAGGAGGGTTGCAGTGGACCACAGTCACCCTCCCCTGACCAAAAGTTCCCTCAAACTCCCTTACACTTTTGTACGAGACCTATGCAGTACAAACAGAACATTTTATCAAAGTTTCTGGAGATTTCATCAAAGAAGGGCAACAAATTAAAGTCTGGAAAATTAATGCTTTTCCCAGATTCCAAAAGGGAAGTTTCTTTGCTTAGGTCCTTTAAAAGGCCAGTGGGCTCTTACATGTTCCAGCCTCAGTCTCTTGACCCCAAGTTGTCCTCCTCCTTCATTCACCCTCCTTCTCTCCTTCACTGCTTGGGAGTGCAGTCTTGCTTCACTGCTCTCCTTCACTCCCTCCCTCCCACCTGCCAGCAGTGAGGACACCACTTGATTGTTCCAGCACCTCTTTCCCTTCGCTTAAACAGGCTGGAGCAGTCACTGAGAATAGCAGCAGGAATATCATGGGTATCTAGTGACACCCAAGCTCCAGAGAACATTAAGCCTGAGGGGCTGAGTTCTCTAAAATGCCTTGTCTACTGGGTACTGGTCGAACCCTCAGGCTGTCTCCATGCATGCCCACCAGGGTGAGTGCAAACAAACTTATTTCTTAGCTCATGAACCTGTTAGATAGAACATCTGTACAACTCCCCAGGACAAATGTTAGGTTCTGAGGACAGTACAGTCTCAACCCCAAGTGAAGAAAGAAATATTTCCCTGATTACTGAGATGCTTCTCACTTCCCCAAGAGGTAGGATCTCATTGTTCACCAAAGTAGCATTTGATTTCTTTCCTGCTCCACCTCATGCCTTCTTGGATCATTAAGGTACACTGTCACCCTCTTTTTGTATCTCAGGAGGTGTTGAACCTGGATTCTTCAAGTTAGGATCAAATTAAATATTTTTTTTCTTCCTGGAAAAAAGGAAAAAAAGGTAAGAAGAAGTTGGAACCTTGAAAAAAGAACAAATAGATTGCAGGGTAGGGAAAGAAACAGCTACCTCATTTATTTGGCTGAGTAGCCTTTATGGAAATAAAAATAGAGAAAAAGACTTCCTTTTCAAAGAAGCTGTCCCCAGGAAATGGAGAAATGCCAAAAACCACCTCTGTGCACATGCTTGTATCAGAGAGGAATAGAGAACAGGAGGGTACTGATTTCCACTCCTATAATCTTCCGTCTCCAAAAACTAGATAAAGAGATTTCAATGTGTTTTTGAGAAAAACTAAAACACATTTTTGGTTTGCCATTGCACAGAACAGCATGAGGAACTCATAGCATGACTTAAAGAAGATGCCCAGTTTTGAGATTGAATTAATGGGCAACTGCTCAAAGATGTGATATTCTTAAATATACTCTGAGATCTGAAGTTAACAAAGAGAAAAAAAATAGTGCATTGATTTTATAAGCAAAGGAACTACAAACACTAAAGAAAAACAATTAACAACATGACAATAGTAAGTCATTACCTATCACTTTGAATGTAAATGGATTAAATTTTCTAATCAAAACATGTAAAGTGGTTGAATGTATCAAAAAGCAAGGTCCAACTATATGCTGTCTACAAGAGACTCACTTTAGCTAGAAGGACTCACACAGGCTGAAAGTAAAGGGATGGGAAAAATATTCCATGGAAGTGGTAACCAAAAAGAGCAAGAGTGGCTGTTCCTACATCAGATAAAAGAGACTTTAAGTCAAAAGCTGTAACAAGAGACAAATAAAGTTATTATATAATGATAAAGTGGTCAATTCATCAAGAAAATAAAACAATTATAAATATATAAAGCAAAGATTTAGAGAACTGAAAGGAGTAACAGCAATTCAGTAATATCAGAGACTTCAACACCCCACTTTCAACATTGGATAGGTCATCTAGAAAGAAACACAACAAAGAAACAGTGGACTTGAACAACACTAAAGACCAAATGGACCTGACAGACATATACTGAACATTCTATTCAACAGAAGAATACACGTTCTTCTCAAGGGCACGTAGAATATTCTCCAGAGTAGATAACATGTGAGGCCACAAAACAAGTTAATAAATTTAAGAAGATTAACATCATATGAAGTATGTTTTACCAACCACAATGGTGTGAAACTAGAAATGTGTGTGTGTATGTAGAAGTGTGTGTCTTTTTCTGTAAAGAGGGAGGGATAAGATGTATTCTAGATGTGAGGAAGAGAGAGAAGAACATAAGAGCTCTAATGTTCTAATGTAAGAATATGTGGCTCTGATCTGGGATTTCCCTGAAGTTTGTGTGAGCGGGACTTGTGGATCTAGATGTTATGACATCACAGAACTTTGCAAAGGCCATATTGAAATAAAAATTGGCCAGTGTCCTGGACCCAAGATACAAGCAGATGGTAAAAGAACATAATTTCTCTGTTTTAGGGAAGATCTCAAAATAAGCATCATTCAAGTGGTTCTCCAAAGACCATCAGAGCCAGGCCAGTGACAGATAGTAAGGAATTGGGTACTGCAGTGCATTGGAGCACTCATATTCTATGTAAGGAAGCTGTCCCCAACCTTTTTGGCACCAGGGACTAGCTTTGTAGAAGACAATTTTTCCATGGACCAAGGTGGGGGAGATGGTTTTGGAATGATTCAAGTGCATTACATTTATTGTGCACTTTATTTCTATTATTACATTGTAACATACAGTGAAATAATTATACAACTTATCATAGTGTAGAATCAGTGGGAGCCCTGAGCTTGTTTTCCTGCAACTAAAGAGCTCTATCTGGGGGTGATAGGAGAGAGTGACAGATCATCAGGCATTAGATTCTTATAAGAAACATGCAACCTAGATCCCTGGCACGCACAGTTCACAATAGGGTTTGCAGTCCTATGAGAATCTAATGCTGCCACTTATCTTACAGGAGGTGGGGCTCAGGTGGTAATGCAAGTGATGAGGAGCAGCTTTAAATACAGATGAAGCTTCGCTCACTTGCCTGTCACCCACCTCATGCTGTGTGGCACGGTTCCTAACAGTCCAGGGACAGGTACTGGTCCATGGCCCAGAGGTTGGGGACCTGTGATGTAACGGGACAAGAGATTTTTGGATAAATCTCAGTGTTACATGTAGAAACGTGGGCCCTGGTGGTTTAATCATTGAATTTTTCTGAGGAAGTCAGAAAACTGAATTTTTATGCAAAATTTTTAGTGTTTTAAATGTTGACACCTAATATCAAAATACTTCGATAGACTATATTTTACTCATGGGCTTCCAATTCAAGACTCTGGTTTAGATGCAGGAATCAGCTTGACAATTCAATGAACCATGAAGACTTAGACCTGTAATGACCTCAGAAATCCATGATTCCTTTCCCTTTTGTAGGCAGAATAAAAAATGGAAGGGCTAGACTTGGTCAACAGTTAGTCTAAATTTACATAGCAAATTTGTAAAAAAACTGGGACTGAAACATAGGTCTCTAAATCTCTTCCATTCTTTGCACTATACCTCACTATATTAGTTATCCATTGCTGCATAACAAATTATCCCAAAACTTAGTGGATGAAGACGAGAAACATTGTTATCTCACACATTCTGTGGATTGTAGAAACTAGGCATGGCCCAGCTGGGTGCTTCTAGATCAAGCTCAGTCATGAAGTCGCAGTTAAGCTGTCAGCCAGGGCTGCATTTGTATCTGAAGCCTACACAGGGAAGGATCTACTTCCATAAACTCACTCATATGGTTATTGGAGGGAGTTAGTTCCCTGTGGACTGGTATATTAAGAGCCTTAGTGACTGACTAGCTGTTGGCCAGAGAAGCCCCTCAGTTCATTGCCTTGTAGGTCTCTCCATAGGGCGACTCAAAACATGGCAGCAGGCTTCCACAAGAGCAAGAAGAGTGAGAAGGCATCCAAAACTGAACCCACAGCCTTTTTATAGCTTACTCTCATGACTTCTGAGATTAGGTTATAATCTATTGCTTCATAGACTTATAATCTATTTATTAGAAATGAGTGAATGAGGCCAGCTCATAATCAAAAGGAGTGGCTTACACCAGAGCATGAATCACAGCATTTCACAAAGACAGGAATCCTTGGCAGCAATCGTAGAGGCTGCCTGCCACACTCAGTGTCTCATAAATTTATGCCAGGGGTCAGAAAACTATGGACTGCTGGCTAAATCCAGTTGCCACCCAGTTTTATAAATAAATTTTTATTGGAACAAAGCCATGGCCATTTGTTTATGTATTGTTTATGACTGCTTCTGTACTATAGCTGCAGAATTAAGTAGTTGCAACAGAAGCCACATGGCCAGCAATGCCTAGAAATATTTACTGTCTAGCCCTTTACAGAAAAGGTTTGCTGGCCCCTAATATATGCAATCATAAAACCTCTTGAAAAATATGGAAGAGGAGATTGAGTCAGAGATGTCAAATTCATCATTTTATTGAATTTTTCTTGGTGCTCTAGCACCATAAATACCATGCTATGTAATTTTATAAGGCAGTTAGCTGGAAATTCTCAAAACAGGAGTAGCCCTGTGGTCTGAGCCAAGTGGGTGAGGTGTGGCTTCCATTCCCCAAGCCCTCTCTCATTTATTCTCCACCATATATAATCATTTACCTTTCCACTGGGAAACCCCACACCAAAAACCTTTGACAGAAACATGGATATAAAATATAACTACAATAACCTGAATAATAAAGCAAGTAGTTAGCATAATCTGTGAGCCTGATGGTCCTGGGCTTCAAATTTTAGAAAGTTATTTCATTTGTCTTAGCCTTAGTTTCCTTAATCTTTTTTTTTTTTTTTTTTTTGGAAACAGAGTTTTGCTGTCACCCAGGCTGGAGTGCAATGGCGTGATCTGGGCTCACTGCAACCTCAACCTCCCAGGTTCAAGCAACTTTTCTGCCTCAGCCTCCCAAGTAGCTACGATTACAGGTGCCCGCCACCACTTCTAGATAATTTTTGTATTTTCAATAGACACTGGGTTTCACCATGTTGGCCAGGCTTGTCTCAAACTCTTGACCTCAGGAGATCCACCCACCTTGACCTCCCAAAGTGCTAGGATTACAGGTGTGAGCCACTGTGCCTCCTCCTTATCCTTAAGTAAAAATTCTGATACCTACTTTATGCCTTTTTTTGTCAGAGAAATGCATTAAAGCACCATTGCCATGCCAGGTACGTAATAACAGCTCCATAGATACTAGCCACCATGTGCAAATCATTTAATAGTCATCCATGGCCTATTACCACATCAGTCAATAGGCTCATTTCAATTACCAGTTCTGAAGAAAGGATAGTGGCAGACGACCTGTTTTAACAAAAAGTCCCCTGGGTCACACCTTTTGCCTTGGATGCATCACTTCCCCACCTCAGCTGCCAGCCCATTGATGAGTTGAGCTCATGATTGCTTTGTAAGAGCCACCTGTCCCCTAAAAGTCCTCCCTGAGGAAGCAGCCATCAGAACTGTGTAGGCTGGTGGCCAGAGGTAGTATAGGGTGTGTTTTTACTGGGACAGGGCCATGATTAAATAGAAAGAACCCGGTTGGAGTTACCCAGTGTAAACAGAAGGTGAGGTAGTATTATGCACTTCATTCTATTTGTGGTGAAAATATTGCTGCCAAATGGGTAGAAAAATGTCTTTAGGGTAGCTTTATATGAATTTCTCATACACTTATCCCCTCCTTGATTTTGCCTATAGGAATTAGGAGAGTCAGTCCCCATCTTGTCAGGCATGATTTTAGAAACTCTGGGAAAGGCATGCAACCCCACATCACTGCTAAGCCTGTAAATTCCTAAACTAGTTTGAGCCTGTTTTAAAAAGATGCCATATGTTAAGCCTGGCTCTCTCTCCATAGCATGTCTCCCTCAGTGCCTGCTGGCATCACCACTTTAATTCTAATTGATGGGACCGCCACCTACCCTGTCCCCTGAACAGTATCCCTAGGCTGCCTCCTCTCTTAATTGCTTCTCTCATGCTCAACCATTGTATTAACTCTTGATTGCTTCTTCTAGATGGCTCTGGCACTCAGGTCTGCCTCTTTCTCCCACTGGCATCCGAAACACAGCAGACCTGAGTTCAGCTCTTGGTCTTCTGGCCTTCAGTCTCATAAGCCTCTGCTCCACCCTCCATATCATATCTGCACCAAAGCACGATACCAGCATTCCCTAAAGGCAAGGGTTACTGGGGGCCATTGCAGTGGCTGCCTGCCACACTCAGTATCTCACGAATTTATTTATGTTTTGTTAAACCATAAGTGTGTTCAGATTGTTCTCATGTTGTAAATCATTTGTTGTCTTTGCATTAGCTGCTACTGTTCTCTCCCTATTTCCTTGCTCTTCTGGAAGTATTTCTTCTTTGTGATATTCATCCTGAGCATCCTAGGAGATACTCTAGGATTTGAAAATAATTCTTATTATCTAAAGGGTGAAAGCAACATAGGACTTGAGTATATACTTTCTCATTAATATAAGGACATAAATGAAAAGACACCATCTATTAAAGATAATAAGAAATGTTCACAAATAGTATATGGCATTCATTATGGAACTTGGTAGAAGCTCCAAGTGTCATGCAAAATGTGCTCTGCAGAACTGCAGAGGAGGGAGGGATCTCTTTCAACTGGGGTGATTGAGATCATGAGGAACTGGTATTTGAGTTGGTCCCTGAAAATTATGCAAACCACTTTGTAGAAAGAATTGGCTGATGGCTGTAAACCCAGCACTTTGGGAGCGCGAGGAGGGCAGGTCCCTGGAGATCAGGAGTTCAAGACCAGCCTGGCCAAAGTGGTGAAACCCTGTCTCTACTAAAAATACAAAAATTAGCTGGGCATGGTGGTGCAAACTTATAGTCTCAGCTATTTGGGAGGCTGAGGTGGGAAAATCGCTTGAACCCGGGAGGTGAAAGTTGCAGTGACCCAAGATTGTGCCACTTCACTCCAGCCTGGGAGACAGGGTGAGATTCTGTCCCCCCCTCCAAAAAAAGAAAGAAGAGTCAGAAAGAACCTAGTTTCCAGCATCTATCACCAAGCAATTTGGAGAGTGAAGTTGATATTTACAGAAAAAGTGATGTAAAGATTGGTTGAGAACATTGGGGAAATGGTCCAGACTAGAGATGAAGATGGAAGGTAGCTGCATGCAGGCATAGATAACCACATCCCAAAGATCATATGAAGCCAGCAGAGGCCCACGAGTAAGCATCTGGAATACAGTTAGGAGCATGGGAGCATCAACTGGCCTTTCCCCATTTGGGAAATGCAGATAAGTGTATCAACATTATTAAATTACTGCATGATTCAAATGAAATAAATGCAAGTAAATTGCTTAGCACAGTGTCTAGAACATAATATGTGCTCAATAGATCTGTTACAATGACGTGACAATGATGATAAGGAGGAGGATCATTATCATCATCATCATTATGATTGCCATGAAAATGTTAAATTCTTGAAGATGTTCCCTTTTGGGGACTTCAGGGACAGGAGAAGGAGGAAAACTTCCATGATGAATCAAAGGCAGTAATGGGAAGGATAGGAGGAGACAATGGAAAGCGGATGTCTGTTATATCGTGTTACTGTCAGCTTGTATCTTTTTCCATTAGACTAGGAAATAGTGAAAATTCAGAGCCTAGAGAGTAAATATTGTTTATCTTTCTTTCCTGCACAGCACCAGGTCCTAAGACCCTAATACAGAGCAGATGTCCATGAAGTTCTCTGGACGTTGAATTGAAATTGAGGGATAGGTTTCTGAAAGTGGCCTTACGAGGCAAATGTTGCAAAACGGGCAGGTTGGAAGATTACAGACAAAAAACTCATTGAGCTGGGGATGTAAAAGGCTTGGCTGGACTTAGGAAGAGTAGTTTGGACAGATTTCTTGAGATGCTAGGATGCAAAGAATTTAGGGACAATGGGGTGATGGAAAAGGGTACACACCTAAGTATAGACCACTACACATGAGTGTAGATCACCAATAGTCAAGGGATGACTCTGAGAGCAGGCAGAGAAATGACTGGACATGCTGGCTTCAGGTCACAATGCTGCAATTCACTACAGCATGTCATTCAACCTCTCTGAGCCTCAGTGTCTTCATCTATAAAATTGGAAAAATGTCTGCCTTTATTTGTATAACTTATATAATGGTGGTTGTGACAAGATTAATGGCTGCAAAGGAGAATGGCTGAGCCAACCTTCATCTTAGACTATGTCAAGATGAAGAGGAGTTGACACCCTGGATTCCCGTGCTGGGAGCCCATGCCAGAGTCTTGATATTGTTAACCGAGGGTCACGTGGGTGATACTTGGGTGATACATGGGTCACATGGTAATTTGCAATGTACAAGTCAATTTCACACCATTAACTCATAGGGCTTTCACTGTGACCTAAACAGGAAATGTACTGCTCTCTGTGCTTTGTTGCTGAGTTACAGATGCTCACAGAGCTTAGGTAATTTATTCAGGTAAACCCACGCCATACACGGTAGGGCTGAGTGATGGCCCAATGACGCCTCACTTCAGACCTGGTGTTTGTCTTCTACATAGCTCTGCCCTTCTGCCACAAACTTGGACCAATCACATCTCAGCTCCACATTTTAAGAACAGGATTTAAAAAATAATAATTAAAGGAAAGTCTGACATGAACAAAGGTGATAAATAACTAAAGTTTCTCTTCCTTGCTCAACCTAATCAAAATGTCAAATGCTGGCTGTGAGAGCTACAAGGAAACCAAGCACATGGGTACAAAAATTTGCAGGATCTGCAGTTCCAAGCGCTGTGACTCAGAGCCCAGGGGCAGGGAGTGACAAGACCCAGCTGTCGTTAGTGTTGTGTGGCTTCAGACACATGAATCTATTCACCCAACTATTAGACAGCACACGTGTACTTGTTATCATTTGAGAGGCTAAAAGTATTTATGACATAAAAAGGATTATAATAAGCCAAAAAGAGGACAATTCACAGTTGTCAGTGGCTCCCTGGAGTAGAGAAGTAAATTACACAGTCTCTCTCTTCTATTGTTTGAAATTTTACCATAAAAATGCATTACTTTTATAATTTTCTTAAAACAGGTAAGTCCCCCTCAAAACGGATTTTGTGTGTCTGGAGTATGTCCAAACTTGAAAAGGCTGATTGTCACAGCCCAATCTCCAATTCCCAGCTCCCAAACTAGTTGACAAGAAAAAGTGGCATTTTTCCTCACCAAGGAACTTTTATGAAATAGTGGTGTTGCCATAAAAATGCCTCCCAGTCTATGAAGGAACAGGTTAGACCAGGGGTTCACCTGTGGAAGTCTATTCTCCATGTGGAAAAGCAAGTCATCTCCAGCGTCTGACTGTCCTCACCCCAGGCTGAGAGCTGGTGCTAACCCTCTACAACGCCCAATGCCATCGTTATGTCTGACATAGTAAGACTGTGAAGTCAGCACCCATCCCACCCACACTCACCTCCTTCCCCCATTTATAAATATCTCCAATTGCTTTGTCTCAAATCATGAACTAAAGAGGAAAGTTAGATTTTAAAAAGTAGCATCTACCTATCTAAAGTCTTAAATCTGCTGATTGAGCTCCACTCTTGGCTCAAAGAGTTATCTTTGAGTTATGATGAGTTATCTTTCTTCTACGTTTCTGCAGCCCTGTGCTTGAAATCTTCCTATGACTCCCATTAGAATTCATCCTAAATTTATCATTTGACTGTCTGCCCATCTACCTGGCCCTACATGGAGCTTCTGGAGAGAAAGAACCAAGACTGGTCCCTCTTGGTATCTCATCCACTTCACCCTCACCTATGCTGAAGACATGATACTTGTCCCTTCCTATAGTATGTGTTCAGAGTTTTCTTACTGAATCTGACAGGTGTGGTGCACCCAAATTCTGAACACACACTCCCAGAACTAACACACCCTTGATCCTTAGTGGATCCGTTATAATTGCATTCACACGAAGCAGCAGCTAGGAGACATCACGGTGACTTCAGCTCCCAATTGAATTGTCATTGACTTACTTAGTTCCCAATTGATAGTCAACCAAATACAACCCATCCATTGGATTCCTGAACATTTAAGTTTAATAGCTGTTTTTTTTTTCTTTTTTAGCATTTTTCCCTCTAAACGTTGAATCTATATGCAGGGGAAATCATCTGGCCCCTGGACTGCCTTGAATGCTCCTGAGCCAAGAGTAACTTGAGGTCTTAAATGTCTATTCTGAAGCCCCTCTTTTGCACAGGGACAGTCATTGACTAGGAGGAGATGCCAGTCTATTAAATCTATCATCCCAGCATCCTCTTTCTCTGATGAAGTAAAATTAAACACCTTCTTTACTCATAAATTTGGTAGGTTTTAGACAATGATGAAGAATCGGACATGGGCCGCACACAGTGGCTCATACCAGTAATCCCAGCAATTTAGGAGGCTGAAGCAGGAGGATTGCTTGAGCCCAGGAGTTCACATCTGGGCTCGAAACCAGTCTGGGCAGCATAGTGAGACCCCATTTTATTTTCTACAGAAAATTTAAAATTTAGCCATGTGTGGAGGTATGCGTTTGTGGTCCCAGCTACTCAGGGGGCTGAAGTGGGAGGACCTCTTGAGCCTGACAGCTCAAGCTGTTGTGAGCTGTAATCATGCCACTGCACTCCAGCCTGCACAAAAAAGTGAGACTCTGTCTCTCAAAAAAAAAAAAAAAAAATGAAAGAATGAGACATGTTTCACTCAAATTATAGCACCCCATCATAGGCCAAGGGCCAGGTGGTCAGCTAACCTTGAATGTAGCCCATTTTCCTCCCTTACCTCACTACCAAAAAGCCAGTCCTATTGCCAGATATTGAATATGTCCAGGGATGGATTTATTTGGTCCCCAGGAGGGTCTTAGACTCTCCCAGCATTTTAGGAAGAGAAAAAAAGCTCCAAAGCAGCAAAGTACGGACAAGTCAGCCCCCAGCCACATGCCCTGAGACTATTCCCCAAAGGGGGCATACTTGCTCATGCCAGCCCTATCTGTACCCACAACCCAATCTGACCCACACCCAGACAAGCCCCTGGAGTCCAGAGAGCACCCGGACAGCCACAAATCCATAGGGAGCTCTGCCTTACCATTGGGTTCCTAATTAACTGAGTGAGTGGGTGTGTTCTGCATGGTGAGAGGCATTGGAATGATGCATCAGAAAACATGTCATAATGTCATCACTGTAATATGACAAGAATTGCAGCTGTGGCTGGAACCTTTATAAAGTGACCAAGCACACCTTTTCATCCAGTCTCAGCGTGGGGTGAAGCCTAGCAGCTATGAGGATCCATTATCTTCTGTTTGCTTTGCTCTTCCTGTTTTTGGTGCCTGTTCCAGGTAAGATGGGCTGGGAAATCTAAGGATTGATCTAATTGAGAATATATAATTCAGAGTCAGTATTTCTCCATCCTTCAGAGTGCTTTGGACCAAGCAGGTTTGTTGTATGGGAACTAGGCATCACCACTTTTTTTTCAGACAAGAATCATTAAGAGGCCAGGTGCGGTGGCTCATGCCTGTAATCTCAACACTTTGGGAGGCCGAGGTGGGCGGATCACGAGGTCAGGAGTTCAAGACCAGCCTGGCCAAGATGGTGAAACCCCATCTCTACTAAAAATACAAAAATTATCTGGGCACAGTGGCGGGCACCTGTAATCCCAGCTACTCGGGAGGCTGAGGCAGAGAATTGCTTAAACCTGGCAGGCGGAGGTTGCAGTAAGCCGAGATCACGCCACTGTCCTCCAGACTGGGTGACAGGGTGAGAGTACACCTCAAAAAAAAAAAAAAAAGAAAAGAATCATTAAGAAACTAAATAGCTCCCCAAAGCTATCTCTTTCCCCAACTCTTCAAGGGAAGATTATTATACCAGCTGATGAGACATGAATCAGACATAAAAGTTTAATGTAGCAGGAAAGATTGATTTACTCTGAGAATAGAAGCACAGGCTCCTGTTCTACTAAGTGCAATGGTTGGAGGTGGAGTGTTGGGGCTACCTCTGAGGACACCACAGCCTCAGCACCCCCACTGTTCCTGCGGCAGTCACAGGGTCACGCCACTTCCCCGGTGCCACTGTGGGTCCACAGCTGAGCTGCAGCCTTAGAAACATTGTCTATGGGTTGTGTAGTCATACCTTCATCTTCCTCCTGATTTTATAGAAAAAGGAAAAAGAAACAAAAGAATACAAGAAAAGCAAGGGATGAGTTATTTGAGGAATTCCACAAGCCTTGTACGTGTACCAAAAGCCTTCCTAAAACCTTTCCGTGTGTGCTGTTTTGTCATTGCAGGTCATGGAGGAATCATAAACACATTACAGAAATATTATTGCAGAGTCAGAGGCGGCCGGTGTGCTGTGCTCAGCTGCCTTCCAAAGGAGGAACAGATCGGCAAGTGCTCGACGCGTGGCCGAAAATGCTGCCGAAGAAAGAAATAAAAACCCTGAAACATGACGAGAGTGTTGTAAAGTGTGGAAATGCCTTCTTAAAGTTTATAAAAGTAAAATCAAATTACATTTTTTTTTCAAAAAAAATTAGGAGCTTGATTTTTTTTTTTAAATCTGATTATTTTGGTACTTGTTTCCAAACAGACAACTCAGAAAATCTTAAGGACTCACCTTTCGTTCAAAGAAAGTAGAATCTCTGGAGAAATCTATAAGGGAGCCCAACCTTATTATCCAAGGGTTATCAGGTTCTATTCCTACTTTGTGAACGTTATGCCCCAGTGAAGTTGGACTCTTCACTCTCTTGGAATATGCCCTTTGCTTTCATGTCATCCAAGCCTTGGGCCTTTTCAGTCCCTCTACCCCAAATGGCATCTGTCCACCAAATCTATCTCTAAGGTTTTCATGCATCCCTCAGGGGCTATCCCAATTCCTTCCAAAAACTTTGTCTTCAGAGAAATAAGGAAACTGGCTCTTCCTCAGATATTCACTTTGCTTTCTCTCACCCATGCCTCTGCTCTGGTTGACCTCATGTCTGCCTCACTCCTCCAACTTCATCTCTAAACTTTAACCTGTCCTTCAGGGACCGTCTCACATTTTATCTCCACCTTAAAAACACAGGTGATTTCCCAAATGCTTACAGTCTTTCCTCTGGTTCACCACAGGGTTCTGACTTGAGTCCTCCATCTACAACCCTTGCTTGGTTTTTACATTGCGTACAGTGACATATTGCCAATCTCCATATTAGACTTTGTGAGCCTTAAAAGCAAGGAGTTTGTCTTAATTCTTCCTGTACTGCTTGTAAAGTGCCCTGAGCATGAAGGCTGCTCAACAAGTATTTATGAATTGAAGTACATTCAAACGATTTATTGATTGAATTATCTTTAATCATTCAAATGATTTGGAGGTACTGCAGTTTAACTATCTAGTGCTCTCTCAACGTTGATGCAGTAGGATTCCAGCAAATGGAGTGTGTGGTTTTTCATACCTGACACCAGACCCCAGTCATGGCTCCACGTATGGAGAAAAGACAATACAACAAGGCTCTTAGGAAGAAAGGCTCAAGGGCTCAAAAAGATGAGACTGCTCCTCACTTTCCATCCAAAATGGACTCACTGCTATGGGAATCTCCCTCTGACAGCAGACAAAAGGGAACCTGTCAAGATGTGTGACAGCTGTGTTCAGACATTGGATAATAAGCAGTGCAACAGACCAATGAAGTGAGACTTTCGATTGCCCCCAGCTCACTACAGCAGCAGGGTCCAGACCACAGCACACAGAGGAAGACTCAAACGAAGTCCAGCAATCCTGAAGCATTGAAGAGACTGAAATCAAACTTCCCAAAGCACAAGACACCCCCACTTCCAGGGCAGAATAGCAGAGAGAGGGTGCCTAGAAGGAAGCAAGGCCCCGAAGTGTTGGTGGTGGGGGCAGGGACACATGGTAAATCTTCAGTCCTGGGCTGTGTTTTCATGTGAGCACGCTTGGGGTAAGACTTCACAAGGCTAGAGGCAAAGAAAAACACCCAAAAGGGATTGGATAACAATTTTAGGAGCACTAAAGGCTGGAAAAATTTTCATTCCCACTAGCAAAGTGGAGAGACTGCAGAGTCCTTGGGCAACTAACACATTAGTAGTAGTGCTATTTGGCTCTAGATTAAATTGTTCTGCAACCACTCTAACAAATTTTTTTCTAAACCATTCTTGAAAGGACCAGACTGATCTATGAGAAACTTAAATGTGGGACAGAATAAAGCCTAACGTTCTTCAAAGAAAAACAACTAAATCCATCACTCAACAGTTTGTGCTTTATAGCACACTGAATCTAATAAAAAATTAGCTGCTATGCAGGAAAATATGGTCATAATCAAGAGAAAAATCATTCAGTAAAAACAGATCCAGAAATGACAAGGATACTAGGATCAGCAAAAAAAGATTTAAATGAGCTATTATAAATGTTATAAATATGTCCGAGTTTGAAGAGAAAAACTGTTCATGATGAGTGAGAGATATAAAGAGACAAATGGAATTTCCAGAGATTAAAAATAAACATCTGAGTAAAAGATACTATGAGTTGGATTGTGGCATATATTCCAAAATAAAGATCAGTAAACCTGAGTTTATATTACTACAAATGAATGAAGAAATAGTACAAAGAGAGGAGAAAAGGGCTGGAAAATAATAAGCAGTGACCTGTGCAGAAACATCAAGCAATCTAGCAACTATGTGTGTTTAGACAGCCAGGCGTGGTGGCTCACACCTGTAATCCCAACACTTTGAGAGGCTGAGGAGGGTGGATCACAAGGTCAGGAGTTCAAGACCAGCCTGGCCAATATGGTGAAACCCCATCTCTACTAAAAATACAAAAATTAGCTGGGTGTGGTGGCGTGCACCTGTAATCCCAGCTACTCTGGAGGCTGAGGCAGGAGAATCGCTTAAACCTGGGAGGCAGAGGTTGCAAGTAAGCCGAGATCACGCCACTGCACTCCAGCCTGGGCGACAGAGCAAGACTCCATCTCGAATAAAAGAAGAAAAGTTTTGAGAGAGAGGATAGAGCTAAGGAAGGAATGGCCTATTGTTTTCCAAATTTGGTGAGACTATAAACACACAAATTTACCACATGAAGACATCCAAGTTGAAATATGAAACATGAAGAAAACCACATGAAACATATCATAATCAAATTATTTTAAATCAGTAATAAAAAGAAAATTTTAAAAGCAGCCTGAGGGCGGGCACAGCGGCTCATGCCTGTAATCCCAGCACTTTGGGAGGCCAAGGTGAGCGGATCACCTGAGGTCAGCAGTTTGAGACCAGCCTGGCCAACATGGTAAAACCCTGTCTCTACTAAAAAAAAAATACAAAAATTAACCAGGCATGGTGGCACGCACCTATAATCCTAGGTTACTCAAGAAGCTGAGGCAGGAGAATCTCTTGAACCCAGGAGGCGGAGATGGCAGTGAGCCGAGATCACCCTACTGCACTCCAGCCTGAGCAACAGAGAGAGACTGCGTCTCAAAAACAAAAATAAAACTAAAAAGCAGTCTGAAAGGAGACATATTACTTACAGAAGAACAAAACGTTAAGTGTTATCTTCAAATGCCGAAAGAAAAAAAATGTTCTCTTAGAAATCCACCCCAGCAAAAGTATATTTCTAAAAAAAGGGTAAACACATAATCAAATAATAAGTAAAGGCATTTTCCAGTAACAACAATAAAAGCTAAGAGAATTCCTCACCAGCCAGTCTGTACTATAAAATGCAAAGATAAGTTTTTTGGCAGAAAGGGAAGATGCTAGGTAGAAATTTGATTCCATATGATGAAAAGAGCATGCTGTGAACATTCTAGAAGCTCCTTAAAGAGAGAGATTGTCAGTTCAGTAAAAAGCAAGACCCAACTACATACTGTCTATAAAAACCCACTTTATATATAAACTTTAAGAACAAACTTAGAGTAAAAATAAAAGGATGGAAAGAGATATAATATGAAAACATTAGTATAAAGAAAATAGGATTGGCTATACTGGCTCATTGACATAAATTAGGGTAGATTTTAGAGCAAGGGGTATTATCAGTAATAGGGAGAGATATTTTTCCTAATGATAAAGTGGTTACATCACCAAGAACAGATATTAATATTAAATCAGTGTGTGCCCCTAATAACAGAATTTTGAAATTCTTAAAGAAAAATCAATAGACATTAAAGAAATAGACAAATTAGCAATTGCAATTAGACAATTCAACACTTCTCTTCCTGTAAGAGATTTTTTAAAGCAGACAAAATATTAGTAAAGGTAGAGAAGTCTTGAGCAACGCTACCGTCCAGCACAACCTATTTGAGATTTATAGAACACTCTACCAAATAACAGCAGAATGCATTAAAATATTACCCAATAGAGCTCATACTAACCTATGAAACGTCTCAAAAAATCAACATAGTTTAAAGTTATACAAAAGACAGTGTCTATCTACAGTGGAATTTACAAAACTATCAATACAGAGAGTCATCTGGAAAAATCTCCATATATTGGGACATCAATGAACATGTATCTAAATGGTCCAGAGGAGAAATCACAAGATACTTTAGAAAATATGTTCAACTGATAGAAAATGAAACCATAACATATCAAAATTTGTGGAAGTGCCACTAAAGTGGCTCTTGGAGACAAATTTATAATTAAATGCTATTATGATAGAAAGCAGAAAAGCTCACAAATAGACAATTTAAGTTTCCACTGTAAGAAACGGTAAGGGAAAAGGGAACAAACTAAACCCAAAGTAAATAAGAAAAAGAAAAAAAAAGAGAAAAAGAAAAAGTGAATAAAAAGAAACTGGACACAAAAAACATTAAAAATTAGTAAATAAAAGCTGATTCCTTGAGAGGATCCATACAATTGTGAGAACTCTCAATAGGTTCATTAAGGGGTAAAGAAATTACTGTAAGTCTCAGGTGCACACCCAGGCTTCAGGCAGGCAGGAAACAGATTACATCTGCGTTTTAGGGTCATATAGACGAGCCGCCACGAGGTGGCAGTAACTGCGCGCTCATTCCCTCACCTCCTGCAAGACCAGGCCAGCCCAGGCTCTGGACTCACCACTCAGCTCAGAAGATGGAAGAGGGTGACAGTAGCTCCATGGACTTTGGCTTTAGGCAGAGCGTTACTGTAGCTTTGGGGTTGTAGGAGGATGAAGAGGGGAGGTTATCAGGACACCATGATGATTGTGTGGCGCTGGTTAGGAACATGGGCTTTGAAGAGAGGGGGATTTTATTTCAAATTGCATCTTTGCCACTTAGTAGCCAGGTGACCTTGAACGTGTCCTCCAACATTTCCATGCCCCAGGACCTGCCTCTGTAAGCTTGCGTAATACCTACCTGGCAGGCTTGTTTCTGAGGATTTAATAAGATAACTAATATAAAAATGGCCATAGCAGGGCTAGCCGCAAAATTCCTAAGTTTCAGTGCGAAATGGAAATGCAGGGTACCATGGTTTAAAGAGCAGAAAAAGAAAGTGTAATGAAAGGCAGTAGGATATTAAGCTTTTTCAAACAAATATTTTTCATTGTTTGAAAAATGTAATAGTTATACAGGAGTAATGACAGAATCTTACAAATCTCCACCAGAAATTAATTTCATAGTTTTAATAGAATAAAAATACTACTCTATTAATTGGATTTAGATGAATCATACAATTTTTCTGGCCCACTTTTCTGTCAAATAATATATTAGGACAACAAACTTTATACCTTGAGCAACTTCATTTTATCTTTTGGGAAGAATCTGCTGAAGCAACTGTTTCTGGAATATATTCCAAGCTGTGACAACATGAGGATAAATTATTTTGAAACAGATTTTAGTATATCTGGAGCTGGTGATTCTTGTGAAACAATTTGACTCAAAAGATTTAACTCTTTAAACAAATCAGTTTCATGTAAATTTGAATCTAATTTTAAGTGTCAATTTCTCCAGCGGAATTTTGATGCATCTTCTGACATGTTCTGTAAGTTGCAGAGGCCCACAGCAGACCAATATGGCATCATGATTTGTAACTTATTCAAAACCCCTGTTTATGAATTCTATTGCTATGTATTTATTAACAAGAAAAACTTAATTTTTAAAATTGCCCTCCTTGTTCATAATTGATTAATCAGAAGGTTTTTGTTTGTTTGTTTTTTGTTTTTTGACAAGGTCTGTATTTTTCAGGCTGGAGTGCAGTGCTACGATCATTGCTCACTACAGCCTCAAACTCCTGGACTCATGTAATCCTCATACCTCAGCCTCCCAAGAAGCTAAGGCTACGATCATGTGACACTATGGCCAGCTAATCTTTATTATCTTTATTATCATTATTTGTAGAGATGGTGTCTAGTTATACTGCCCTAGCTAGTATCCAACACCTGGCCTCAAGGAATCCTCTGACCTGAACCTCACAACGTGCTGGGATAACAGGCGTGAACCACCATGCCTGGCCCATCAGAAGTTTTATACAAATATAGCATCCTTCTCTGTTGAATGTGACTACTATTACATGTTTAATTTCCATTTCTGAGCCTTGGATAATGCCTTAAAGAATTCTAAACTCTCTGAAGAATTCCAAGAACTTCCTGGTATACTTTATTGCAATGTCCATGGGCACACTTTTGTTTTGTGCTTCTCTCCTCCCAGTTTGCTATCTGAGCACCTATGGTTCCTGTCCTGGTGCTCAGGTCAGGGGGTAAATCTTTGTGCAGAAGCTCCAAGGATGACTCTGAGAATGCACAGGCACAGAGCTGTCAGTGCTGCCTCCACACAGAGACCCTCCATTCACCCCAGGGCTGAGGACACCTGCTGCTGCTGCTGCTGCTGCCACCTCCCATCCCAGTCCAGATGTGCCTGGGCTGCTCCAAGAATGCCTATGCTCAGGGCAGCAAAGCTCTAGAACGTCCCTGGGCCTGAGCCTGCCCACCTTGTCTCCCCTCATAGCCACTCTGCCCATGTGCCTGCTCCATTGTCCTCAGTAAGCTTCACTTAAAAAACACAAGTTCAAAGAAAAAACTAAGAAAGTCAGGGAGCTATCAGCAGAGCCTGACACCAGGTACCGGCCCTTCTCAGAGCAGATTCCTGTGTCACTGCCCTGCCTTCAAGCCCATGAAGCTGGCTCTGCCTCCAGAATTGAGAACCAGTAAAACTGCTTCTGTTACTTAACATTGAGGACATAATGCAGAGAAACTTTGTTTTCTAAATCATAGAGATGAGAGAGTTTGCTTTCTGGGAGCCTATCTATAAGAATGAGGCTTCCCACTCTTGCCTGGGGAACTGAACCATTTTGCCACAAAGAAACAGCCTGAAATTCTCTCCCCAGTTATAGAGAGAGGTTTGGGGACACAGCACAGGTCATGTTTCATTAAAAGACAGCATAGTGAGTCTATTTGTCAGTTAGACTTGATGGTTCCCATTTTACACACAACCTGGCTTTGCTTTTAGCTCATTAAGAAAAAGAAAAGTCATGTATATTTTACCAAATCTTGACATGTCCCCAAATCCTAGAATTGCTGCATCTCTGGTTTTAGTGAAGAGCCCCATGGTTCTGCCAGTGGATGGTCTTCCTTGCTGAAGCAAGATCATAACCCTACCTTTAAAGCAAAGATGCCCCTCTATTGGTCCTTATCAAACACACTTCATCACTAGGATGAACACAGCTGTGAAGGAGTCACACTGGGCTGTGCCAGGAGAAAAGAAGCAGCTGCAACCGTAGGAATCTTCATGGGAACAGTCAGCCCAGCTGTCCTTGAGCAACCAGGCACATATTCCCTAAGCCTTGGTGGCTTCTTCCCCAGGGACACAGGTGCTGCATTTCACAGTGACTTTCCTATTTCAGAGTAATTTCACCTCCTTCTCTAACAAGGCCTCACAAATGTACTGAGAGCTAGAGAGGACAACAAGTGAAAAACCACAGTGCTATCGGTGGTTCCTGGGATTGGAACAGGTGTGTAGGAAAAATTCACTCTCTTTTATGGGTGAGTTTTTAAATGTGAGTGTATTACTTTTATAATAATAATGTTAAGCATAGTAGTCATTAAGAATGTATCGATCAGGAATGAAGTCTCACATGAAAAAGATGGCAACCAGTCCCTTAATTCAAACTCTAAGCCCCAATAAGGTTCTTCTCATAGTACCATGACATTTCCTTAAGAATATTTACTCAACAAATTAAGAGACATGACAACCTGATTTGATGTGCAAATCTAGATTAAACATGTATCCAGAAACATCAACAGCCATGAAGCCATGGTTGGAACAATTGGAGAAATGTGAAATATTGACAAGATAATAAATAACATTGAGGAACTAGTTTTCTTAATGTGTGTAAATTGTATTGTGTTTGATGTGGGAATGTCCCCTCATATGTAAGAGATTCTGCTGAGATAATTACAGTGAAGTGTCATGATGTTTGCGTCTTTCTTTTTTAACTTTAAACAAATTTTTAGTACACAAAGGTTGTCACATAATTGGAAGTTTCTCTACTTTGTACACAATTATTCTCACTCTGCACAGAAAGGCTGCTTAACTTCTCATTTGGTGGTTGCAAGCACTAAAATCCTGATTTTAACAGAATAGACTACTATTCATTTTTACTAAAAAATGCCTCAGTGATTTAAGTTGAAAACAGTACATCAGTACATGGCTCTTGTACCCAGTGTCAGGAATGTACAAGATCTTTCTATTCAAAAATACAAACTAAATTATCTGTAGGCATGGATGACAGCTGTAAACCATTATATATTTTGTCAGTTGAAACCAGTAACTGATGGTTATAGTGGTTTCTTAAACATCAGCCAGCCTTTTCTTCATTTTCTCCAACTGACTTCTCTGAAGTTATTGGTGAGGAACACTGCCTTGGGCTTCCTATCACAATTCATTAATAAAGGTAAAGCACTATTCTAGGAATTAGAACAGGCCACCTCCCATTCCACACATTGCACCCATTCCAGGGCTGTTCCCTTCTTTAGGAATTTTTGTGACTACAACAGCTGCTGTAGTTAATAGAGAGGCCATGCCAGCAGCATCCAATAAAGCAGTTCTCACAACCTTTGTTGGGTCAATAATGTCTTTTTCCACCATATTCACGACATCTCCTAACATAGTATCATAACCAACTTCTGAGGAACTTTGCATAATTTTCTCAACTATCAAAAATCCATCAACACCTGCATTCTTAGCAATAGTCATTGCTGGAATTTTGAGTGTTCTTTTAATAATTTCTATGCCAATTATTTTATCTTCATTAGCTGGAGTGAATGAGTCCAAGGCTGGAATGCATCGAAGCAGGGCACAACCCCCTCCCTAAACAATGCCTTCTTCAACAGCAGCTCTTGTAGCATTAAGTGCACCTATAACTCTGTCTTTCTCTTCATTCACTTCAACATCACTTGTCCCACCAACCTTCAGCACAGCTACTCCATCTGAAAGTTTCTCCATTCAGTTTTTCCTTTTCGTATTCACTAGTTGTGACATCTGACTGGTCAATGATTTCTTGAACACATTTTTCAATTTGAGACTTGTTACCTTTTCCTTTTAAGAGCATGGCATCATCTTTGATCACAGTGACCTCTCCAACTTCTCCTACATCACGAGGCTGAACGTCTTCAAGATTTAGTGTCAGCCCTCTTCTCGAAACACTGTACCACCAGTAGCAATAACCGTATCTTTAAGCTGGTTCTTTCTATTGTCACCAAACCCTGGAGCTTTGACTGCCACAACCTGAAGACCAACCTTTAGCCTATTCAGGATGAGTGTAGTTAGAGCTTCTCCATCAATGTCTTCAGCAATTATGACCAAAGGCTTACAGTAAGCATTGGCAATTTCAAGAGCAGGTACAATGGACTGGACACTAGAAATTTTCTTTTCATGCAACAGAACATAGGCATCCTGGAATTCACATTTCTCACCTTTTGATGTATTAAGAAAGTATGGAGAAATATATCCTCGATCAAATTTTCATGCCTTCAATAATTTCTAATTCATCAGTCAGTGTTTTTCCATCCTTTACTGTGATGATGCCCTTTCTTCCAAACTTTTTCATTGCATCAGAGATGATGTTACCAATTTCTTTGTCTCCATTTGCAGAAATTGTAGCAACCTGTGCAATTTCTTCAGGTTTGGTCACAGGTTTAGACTGCTTTTTAAGTTCAGCAATTACAGCATCAACAGCTAACATCACACCTCTCTTGATTTCCACTGGATTAGCACCTTTGCTAACCTTCTGGAAGGCTTATTTGGAAATAGAGCATACCAGTACAGCAGCAGTGATAGTGCCATCCCCCAGTCTCTCCATTTGTGTTATTGGCAACATCTTGGACAAGTTTAGCTCCAATGCTTTTATATTTATCCTTTAAGTCAATTGACTTTGCATCAGTCACACCATCTTTTGTTACTTTGGGACTTCCCCAGCTATGTTCAATAATTACTGTTCTTCCCTTTGGCCCCATTGTAATGGCTACAGCATCGACAAAAAGTCTACACTTTGAAGCATTAAGGCTCAGACATCAGCACCAAATTTTACATCTTTACCATCACTTCAAGTGAGGTGAGGAGCCAGTAGCCTGGACACTGGTCTCATCTGGTGAAAGACTGTGGGTAATGGAAGCATTTCTGTGGGGTGGTGGCAGGACATGTGCATGGTGAGGCAGGTCATCAGCAGCAAGTGAGAGCTGCCTCTTACTTTCTAAAGGTGACATAGCAAGTATACAAAAAAAAATAAAATATTAATTTAGGCAGAGCACATAAAGGCTTTATTTCATATTCCATTTCTCTGTATGCTTTCTTCACCAGGAAGAAATAGTTTTAGTGTCAGGAATGAATGAGTCTGCCCCTCAATTCCAGCCTGCTCAGCACACAAGGAAACAAAGCCCTGACAATCAGAGTGACTCCCTGGTGACTAAGCTCCAGTCCTGGATGCATATTTGTTTAGCAGTTCTGACAGCATCTGACCCAGCCCTCTCTTTGCATACCCCACCAGAACCTTCTTTTTTTTTTTTTTTCTTTGAGACTGAGTCTTGCTCTGTCGGAAGCGATTCCCGTGCCTCAGCCTCCCAAATACCTGGAATTATAGGCGTAAGCCATCATGCCTGGCTAATTTTTGTATTTTTCATGGAGATGGGGTTTTGCCATGTTGGTCAAATTGGTCTCACACTCCTGACCTCATGTGATCCACCTGCCTCAGCCTCCCAAAGTGCTGGGATGACAGGTGTAAGCCACCATGCTAGGCTCAGAAATTTCCTTTTATAAAAATGTCATTAAGGATCTTGGCTGCACAATATCGTTACCAGCTTCCTTTAAATCCACCTCTGGCCTGCCAGGAATCAGGGTTCTTCAGAACCTGACATTTTAAATGAAGAGGTCAGGCAGGTCATGAGGAAAGCCTCATTGTCCCCATGTCTCTGTCACTGCTGCACCCCTGAGACATCACAGACATGGACACTGGGGCCTGCTTGTTTCTCAAACTGCCCTTAGATCGAAAGAGGGAGGAACCAGGATGAATGCCACTCATTTTCCCAAGAAAGGCCCTCTCCTGAGTGCCCGGGATGGGGCTCTGTCCATTGCCTGGGGCCGCCAATTGCTACTCTGGGTTACGGAAGAAGGACAGGGTCCTGAGAGACACCAGAGACCTCACACAGCCCTGAAAACATGGGGCTCCTTCATAAGTGTTTCCCATCACCAACAGGGAGACCACGTGGAGGCCTTGCAGCCCTACTCGGTGCTTCTCCACCAAATCCCAAGGGCAGTGACGCTGACGTCTGTGGAAAGCAGAGAAAGCCCTGGCTCCCAAAGCCCTGAAGTCCTGTGGAGCTGACATTCCCTGAGTGACGGTGTGAATGGAAGGAACTCAAGTGCGGGTGGTAGGCCACCTCCTGGCCCAGGCCTGGGTGAACTCTGAGGGGACACATGTAGTCACAATCCCATCCTCCCATTCTCCTTCTCAGAGGAAGGAAGTGGGCATCCATCTGCCTCATCTCTCTCCCGTGGGGAAGATGGGGAGTTTCAGGGGAACTTTCACATAAATTTCACCAGCTCAGATCTCCTGTGAGGATGGGGCCCACCATGCTCCCGGTGCTGCCAGAGGCCCTGAGCCCCTCCAGGGTCCCTGGGTTTGAGCCAGCCCTGTATCATCCCCAGGAGCTGAATGTCCGAGCAATGGATAGAATTAGATGGAAAGAGCTCTCAATTTGGCCTGAGACTGTCCCCAGATACTCAGGAAAAACAGGACGTCGCACAGAGTGGGCAGCAGGTGAGTGGCAGGTTATAGGTCCTGAGTTTGAGTTTGTTCTCACGTGAGACAGACCCAGCCCCTCACTCCATTCACACACTGGGTTTTAAATGGTGCAAGATAGGAGGAATTTTCTGGTCCCAAGAGCAGGAGGAAGGGATTTTCTGGGGTTTCCTGAGTCCAGATTTGCATAAGATCTCCTGAGTGTGCATTGTTCTTTGAGGACCATTCTCTGACTCACCAGGTAAGTGGCTGAATTCTAACCTCTGTAATGAGCATTGCACCCAATACCAGTTCTGAACTCTACCTGGTGACCAGGGACCAGGACCTTTATAAGGTGGAAGGCTTGATGTCCTCCCCAGACTCAGCTCCTGGTGAAGCTCCCAGCCATCAGCCATGAGGGTCTTGTATCTCCTCTTCTCGTTCCTCTTCATATTCCTGATGCCTCTTCCAGGTGAGATGGGCCAGGGAAATAGGAGGGTTGGCCAAATGGAAGAATGGCGTAGAAGTTCTCTGTCTCCTCTCATTCCCCTCCACCTATCTCTCCCTCATCCCTCTCTCTCCTTCCTCTCTCTGTGTGTCCCCTCCATCCTTTTCTCCTGCTTCTCTCTCTTCTTCCCTCTCTCTCTTTTTTTCTGTCTTTCTTTTTCCTCTCTCCCTAGAGCATGTCTTTCTTTCTTTCTCTTTCCTTTCTTCTACCCACACTTTTAGACTGAGTAGACTGAATGCCCTATTTAATTGAACCAAGCATTGCTTCCTTCAATAGAAAAGGAGTTTGAGAACCCAATGGACAACTCACTCGTTCTTCTAAGCCAATATGAAGGAGCCCAGTAGTTTGTAAATATCATCTCTTCACTGCTTTCCATGCTACAACTGCTGAGACTATGGTTGAAACCTGTTAGGTGACTTTTTAAATAAAAGGCAGAAATTTTGATTTTATCTAAAGAAAGTAGTATAGAATGTCATTTTCTAAATTTTTATATTTAAAGAGTAGATACTGCAACCTAGAGAATTCCAGATAATCTTAAGGCCCAGCCTATACTGTGAGAACTACTGCAGCAGACACTCTGCCCCCAGGACTTTTCTGATCAGAGGCCCTGAGAACAGTCCCTGCCACTAGGCCACTGCAGGTTCACAGGACAGGGACAGCCCATTGAAACCAACTTTTAAACCTGGATGCCTAACCTTCATTTTCTCCTTGATATTATGAAAATAAAATAAAAACCATGAAAGGATAAAAGAGGGAGAGTGGAAGGGAAGGATGGAGAAAGGGAAAAAGAAAATTTGAGAGTAAATCCTAAAACAATTAATCTAATAGATATCATCTTGTGAAATCCTCATTTTACCAATCTTATTTATGAGTCCTGGGTTTTGTGAGAACAATGGGGTTCTGAGAGGCACCAGAGACCTCATATTTTCCAAAACCTAGAACAGTATAATGAAGGAAGGCGGGGAGGCAGGGAGGCAGGGAGGCAGGCTGGTGGGAGGGGGAGGGAGGGAGGGAAGGAGGGAAGGAGGGAGGGAGGGAGGGAAGGAGGGAAGGAGGGAGGGAGGGAGGGAAACAAAAAGAAGAATGAGGTTGAAACCAGGACTTAGATATTAGAAACAAGCCATTACAAAATTTATTTCTATGGTTAATTGTGGTTTTCAACTGTAAGTTACTTGGTGTTAATTTCCTATTAAACAATTTCAGTAAGTTGCATCTTTTTTATCCCATCTCAGATCAAATACTTAACAGACTAAATGATTTGAAAAAGCAAAAGTTTACTGGCTTGTGTGTGTTAAAATGGAGGTATGGTGGCTTTGATATTATCTTCTTGTGGTGGAGCTGAATTCACAAGAGATCATTGCTGAGCTCCTGCCAGACCCCACCTGGAGGCCCCAGTCACTCAGGAGAGATCAGGGTCTTTCACAATCAGGTTCTACAAAAATAAACATCCCCCAAACCACAGCAGTGCCAGTTTCCATGTCAGAAACTTAGATCCAAATGACTGACTCGCGTCTCATTATCATGATGGAAAAGCCCAGGCTTGAGAAAGAAGCCCGCTGCGGATTTACTCAAGGCGATACTGACACAGGGTTTGTGTTTTTCCAACATGAGTTTTGAGTTCTTACACGCTGTTTGCTCTTTTTGTGTGTTTTTTCCCTGTTAGGTGTTTTTGGTGGTATAGGCGATCCTGTTACCTGCCTTAAGAGTGGAGCCATATGTCATCCAGTCTTTTGCCCTAGAAGGTATAAACAAATTGGCACCTGTGGTCTCCCTGGAACAAAATGCTGCAAAAAGCCATGAGGAGGCCAAGAAGCTGCTGTGGCTGATGGGGATTCAGAAAGGGCTCCCTCATCAGAGACGTGCGACATGTAAACCAAATTAAACTATGGTGTCCAAAGATACGCAATCTTTATCCTAGTAATTGTGGTCATTGGGTGATGTTGGTTTGGGCAGGCCATCTCTAATATCCTTGAAACACCTTTTTCTGCTCTCCAGGAAGGGGTCAGGGCTGCCACAGCGGGGCTTGGAGTGCTTTCCAGGGTCACAGGCATCTGTATTCTTTGGATTCCTTGACCTTCCCCATTTATTCCCGGCATTTTCCTAAAACGTGTGCTTTGCTCCTCCTGCATACTCCCCTTGCATGCCCTCACCTATCCCACATCTTCCCTAAAAAAAGCAAGCCCAACTCAAAGACCAGTTCCCTCATGGAATCATAGTGGATCTGCCAAGGGAGGGGATGCCCAGTCCTCTGTTCTTCACAAGGACTCCCTTCTTCTGGCTAAGGTTTCTTATGCAATTATGCCTCCTACAGAGGTGCGTGAATTTTTAATTCTCCATTTAGCTATGAGATTTCTACTAGTGTGGACTTTGTCTTATTCATTTATGTGCTGGCCATTCATAAACTATTTCATTAATTGGATGGCAAAATGCAGTTGTACAAGGGTTTCCTTACATACAAACATAATAGGATCCAAGTAAATGCTGTTAAAAACAAGTCTCTTTGAGGGCACAATTAAATGAGGACAATATGGCATGGGACACAAGCAGAGGGGAGCAAACCTCAAGAAGAAAGACTCATCGACTCTAAGGGGGAGCATCAAGATAGCTCCCTGGCCCTGCTCTCTCTCCTTGGGAGGGTTTGGTCCTTAAATCATGAACTCTGTGGGTGTATCCTAGACGCATAAGAAGCTCTCTATTTCTTCACATTAGCTCTGCACTGAATGTGCATATCATCTACGTCTGGGAAAATGCACCTTAGTTCCAAAATAATCCATTGTCTTTCCTAATCTCAAGATTGAAAAAAGTAACCAGACCTTGTTAGAGTAAAAGCATTTTTATCTGGATATAGATTTTATCCAGACGTGATGACAGAGCCAGGACTAGGGCGAAGCGAGGGAGGCTCTGGCCTCAGGTATAAAATGTAAGCACTAAGATATCCTGTACTTAAGATAGATGATCTTATAATGCGATAGATTTTTAAAAAATAATATTCATGAAAAAATCACCATAATTAACAAACTCTCCAAAATTTAAACCAAGACAGGGTCTAATCCTGTGATTGTCCAACTCAGTCGCACTCACCTACCTTGATGCCAGGATAGTCAGACCCTGCCTTTATTTAGTCATTTAATATTCATCGTATATACGTTGTTATTTTGAATAAATTAGTGGATTTCTTGATTCCTGGAAGCATATATCATTTGACTGTATAAAAGAAGTGAAGCTTCATACACACAAAAAAAGTAAAAGTCACCATGACAATGACATTCATTCCTATGTTCTAGGGGAAACAGTACAACTCTCTTAGGAAGAAACTCTCCTTTTATTTAAGAAGGCCCTTTAATGGCTGTTTAGGTCTTGGAAGATAGGACACCTGACTGCATCTGTGAAATAGAGATACAATCCATAAGCGCTAAATCATTCTACAATTCTAAAAATAAAATGTTAAAGGTTTCTTGGCCCTCAGAGATTAACAATGAAAGGAGTTCTGGGTTCCAAAAGGAGCAGGTATACCTGTAACATCAGGGCACAAAGTAGCCTGTAGAGGTTATTGCCAAGAGTGGCTGAACTCTTTAGCTAGAATGCACTCTGATTTCTATTCTTATTTTTAACAGTTCTGTGCATTAACCACCCGTCATTATCCTTATGTTTTTGCAAAACTGTGTCTCAATCAATTGCTGTGTATTTGAAAATTCTTGGAAAAGGGGGAAAGCCTCAGTAATTCTTAATGCAAAGCTACAAAGAAAATGGGTAGTTGGTTGCAGGAGTGAGGTGGAGGTGGCCAGAGAATGTCACACAGAAGACAGAAATAAGAATTTGCACAAGATATTAGGAGCATAAGCACCTGTAGGGAGTTCTGAGAAACATTTGGCTGTCTACACTAATGAGGAATGGGAGCTGGAGCTGTTTAATTTGGATGGTCAAAAATAGGATAACTCCGGGAGTTTACAGAATTCACAGAATCCATTCCAACCAAGTGAGCTTGCAAGTCATACTCTAAGTCTCTGAACCTGTGAACTCATGACATAACAGAATAAAATTGTTCCCATTTCATCGTGCCTGAAGACTCATAAGAAAAAAAAAAAGGTATTAATTTTAAACACTGAAGCTCATTCATCATTTTATTGAATTCACCTGGCTACAAAATTAGCAACTGATCTTGTTCCAACTATATTTAAAGCAGATGAAGAAACTCTCCAAAGAACAGGTTTTGTCTGAGACTAGTCTAGGTAGAGTTTACTTTTGACACATCCTCTTGGTGTTTTCAGAGCTTTTTGAATATGTGGAATAATATCATTGCTTTGAGCAGATTTTCAGCCATTAGTTCTTCAGTTATTGCTGCTGTCCCTCGCTCATTTCTCTTCCTGGAAATAGAATTGTCTAGATAGATAGAGAATTGGTCCAAAAGTAATTGTGGTTTTTGCCTTTAAAGGTAATGGCAAAAACTGCAATTACTTTTGCACCAACCATACGTATGTACACAAACACATATGCAATATGTGTGTATTGCATATATACTCAATGCAAACACACAGACACACATATACAAAGCATCCTTTTACTGTGTCTTCACATATATATTTATGCAGTTTTTTGTATTTTTCATTATTTTATATCTCTGCACTTCAACCTGAAAATTTTCCACTGACTTGTATTCTTACTTTTTTTTTTTTTTTTTGAAACAGAGCCTTGCTCTGTCACCCAGGCTGGAGTACAGTGGTGTGATCTCGACTCAACTGCAACCTCTGCTTCCCAGGTTCAAGCAATTCTCCTGCCTCAGCCTTCTGAGTAGCTGAGATTACAGGTGCCCTCTACCACATTCAGTTAAATTTTTTTTTTTTTTTTTTTTGTATTTTTGGTAGAGATAGAATATCACCATGTTGGCCAGCCTGGTCTTGAACTCCTGGTCTCAAGTGATTCGCCTGCCTTGGCCTCTCAAAGTGTTGGGATTACAGGCATGAGCCACCGTGCCCAGCCCACTGACCTGTGTTTTAATTCTTGGATCCTCTACTCTGCTCTGGTCACTTTGCTATTAATCCCATCTATTGTGATATTGACTTCACATATTGTATCAAGTACTAGAATTCAATTATTTAATATTTTTACATAAGACAGGAGAGTCTATTCAAAAATGAAAAGGGTCAGACATGTTTCAGATGCCCCAGCCTTCTTGGGATATGGGCTTTTTCATGCTAACATCTGTCTCTTAATGAATCCAAAATGAAGGAGTGTTTGCTTTTAAAAGAATACATTTCAGTGAAGGTCTTGATCAAAGAGAGATAATTAAAAAAACACTAAAGAAACATCAAAAAGATCTAATTGTAGGGTATCTGGGGGATGATAACACATCCAGGAAACTTTTTCTCAGAGACCTGTGATAGAACCTTAAATGTACTTTTCTTTGTTTTGCTCTCATATGTGAGCAACTTAGAAGAAACATGTATTTGTTTGTATTAATCCTACATGACTAGGGTTGACAGATTTAGCAAATAAAAGTATAGGACACTCAGTTAAATGTGAGTTTTAGATAAACAACATCCAGTTTATTGTGGCATTATCTATCTCATACTATTTGGGATTAAATACACTAAAAAGTTCTTCATGGTTTTTCTGAAAGCCAAATTGAACTTGGCCTCCTATATTCATCTAATAACACTATGAATCACTGAAAACATTTTTTCTTTAAAGATATTTTTCTTGGTGAAAGTATTTATTACGTCACTGAATTTTATTTTACTAGGTGTAGTAGGTGTAATAACGGCATCCCAAAGATGTCCATGTCCTTATCCCTAGAACCTGGGATTATGTTACACTTTACGGCAAATAAGAACTAAGACAGCAGATAGAATAGTTGGCTAATATGCTGACTTTAAAACCGGGAGATTAACTTAGATCATGTGAATGAGACCAACGTAATCCAAGAATCCTTAAATGTGGAAAAGAAAGGCAGAACAGTCAGTGTCTGGGTGATGCGATGTGGGAACGACTCAACAGCCATTGCTGGATTTGAAGATGAAGGAAGGATCCACAAACCAAGGAACATGGGCAGCCTCTCAGATTTGAAAAGGCAAAGAAGAAAAAAAAAAAAAAAAGGAAAGCAAACTCAGCTTCTTAGAACCTCTGGAAAGGAAAAAGGTCCTAAGGACACTTTGATTTTTCATGTTTGATCCCCAAAACAGCAAGATAATTTGTGTTGGTTTAGGTCACTAAGCTTATGACAATTTGCTTAGAAACAGAACACAAATACAATTGCTCCTCAGTATCCATGGGGGATTGGTTCCAGGACCCCCTGTGTATACCAAATGCCTCAGATGCTCAAGTCCCTGATATAAAAGAGTAGTAATTTCATATAATCTTCACACTCCTTGCATATACTTTAAATCATTCCTAGATTTCTTGTAACACTGAACACAATGTAAATGCTAAGTAAGTAGGAGTTATGCTGTATTTCCTAGAAAATAATGGCAAGAGAAAAAGGCCTGTGCATGCTCAATTCAGACACAATGTTTTTGTAGAACGTTTCCTGATGTGGAACACACGAATAGGAAGGGCCTACTGGTTTCAAATTATAAACTGAGCATAAAATTAGTAACACAAAAAAGCTAAGGCTACATTTCTGTAATGGAGAACAAAGATGAAAACCTACCAACATTTTACGGAATTTTATGTATATCTTTCTCAAATTCTGAAGGCTTATATGAAAAGACAATGAGGCTCTCAGGAAGAAGGGACAAAAACTGAAAAAGTTGAGCCTGTTCCTCAGTTTCCATCCAAACGGACTCACTGCTATGGGAATTGCCCTCCTACAGTAGACAAGATGGAACTAGTCAGCAGGTGTGAGACAGCTGTGTTCATATATTGGATAATAAGCAGTGCAACAAACAAATAAACTAGGATGTCCTTTTGCCCCTAGCTCTCTATAGGGCCAGGTTACAGGCCACAGCACAGGGAGGAAGACTTACATGAAGACCAGCACCCTGTAGCATTGAGGAGACCAAGGTCAAAGCTCACACAGCACGATACGCCCTGTGTCAGTCTGTGTGTGTTGCTCTAAAGGAATACCTGAGGTGGGATAATACTTCAGGAAAGGAAGTTATTTGGCTCACTATTTTTGGCTGTGTGAGAAGCATGGTGCCTGCATCCGCTCCTTGTTAGGACTCCATAAGCCTTCAGTCATAGTGGAAAGTCAAGTGGGAGCAGGAATATCACGTGGTAAGAGTGGAGCGAGAGGGTGCAAGGAGGTCCCAGACTCTTTTAAACAACTACATGTTGTATGAACTCGGAGCAAGAACTCACTCATTTTTGTGATGAAAGCAGTTAGTCATTCATTAGGGATTCACCCCCACAACCCAAACACTTCCCACCAGATTCCACTTCCAACACTGAGGATTAGATTTCAGCAGGAGGTTTCGAGGGGACAAACATCTGAAAAATATTATTCTTCCTCTGGCCCCTCAAATCTCATGTCCTTCTCACATTGCAAAATGCAATCATCCCTTCCCAATCACTCCCCAAAGTTTTAACTACTTCCAGCATTAACTTAATCAAAAGTCCAAAGTTCAAAATCTCATCCCCTGAGACTCAAATTCCTTCCGCCTTTTAGCCTGTACTATCAAAAACAAGTTATGTACTTTCATGTTACAATGATGGCACAGGCATTGGCTAGACACTACCATTCTAAAAGGCAGAAATTGGCCAATAAAAGGGATTACAGGCCCCACACATGTCAGAAACTCAGCAGGGCAGCTATTAAACCTCAAAGTTTGAAAATAATTCTTGATTCCATGTCCTTTATTCTGCTGTGAGGGTGGGCTCTGAAGACCTTGGGCTGCTCTGCCCCTGTGGCTTTACAGGGTGCAGCCCACATGGCTCCTGTCACAGGTCAGAATCTGATGCCCGTGGCTCTTCCATGCTGAGGGTACAAGCTGTCAACAGTGTTACTATTCTCAGGTCTGGAGGGCAGTGTTCCCCTTCCCTCAGCTCCACTAGGCAATGCCCCACTGGGGACACTGTGTGGGGAATCCAACCCCACGTTTCCCCTTAGCACTGCCCTGGTAGAGTTTTTCTCTTGGTACTCTCCCTCGGCAGCAGTTTTCTGCCTGGAGAACCAGACTTTGCCACACATCCTCTGAAATCTCGGTGGAAGCTGCCAAGCCTCCTTCCTTTTTGCACTCTGCAGACTTGCAGGCTTAGCACCACATGAACGCTGCCAAGACGTTCTGGCTTTCACCCACTGAAGCAGTGGCCAATCTGTACATTAGGCCCTTTGAGCTGAGGCTGGAGGCTGGGCAGCCAGGATGTGTCTTGAGGCTGAGCAGGGCAGCTGTGCCTGGGTCTGGCCACTGAAACCATTCTTTCCTCCTAGGCCTGTGGGCTGTGGTGGGAGGGAATGCCTCAAAGTTTTCAAAAATGCCTTGTAAGCTTTTTCCCCATTGTCTTGGCTATTAGCACTTGGCTCCTTCTCAGTCATGCACATCTCTCTAGCAAGTGGTTTCTCCACAGCCCCTTACAGTCCTCTTCTGAAAATGCTTTTTCTTTCTCTACTAAATTTCTAGGCTGCAAATTTTCCAAATTTTTATGCTTTGCTTCTTTCATGTGCGTCCGTGTGAAGAGACCACCAAACAGGCTTTGTGTGAGCAACATGGCTGTTTATTTCACCTGGGTGCAGGCGGGCTGAGTCTGAAAAGAGAGTCAGCAAAGGGAGATAAGGATGGGGCCGTTTTATAGGATTTGGGTAGGTAAAGGAAAATTACAGTCAAAGGGGTTTTGTTCTCTGGGGGGCAGGAGTGGGGGTCGCAAGGTGCTCAGTGGGGTTGCTTTTTGAGCCAGGATGAGCCAGGAAAAGGACTTTCACAAGGTAATGTCATCACTTAAGGCAAAGACCGGCCATTCACACTTCTTTTGTGGTGGAATGTCATCTGTTAAATTGGGGCAGGGCATATTCACTTCTTTTGTGATTCTTCAGTTACTTCAGGCCATCTGGGCGTATATACGTGGAAGTCACAGGGGATGCGATGGCTTGGCTTGGGCTAAGAGGCCTGATATTCCTGCCTTCTTATATTAATAAGAAAAATAAAACAAAATAGTGTTGAAGTGTTGGGGTGGTGAAAATTTTTGGGGGGTGGTATGGAGAGAGAATGGGCGATGTTTCTCAGGGCTGCTTCAAGCGGGATTAGGGGTGGCGTGGGAATCTAGAGTGGGAGAGATTAAGCTGAAGGGAAGTCTTGTGGTAAGGGGTGATATTGTGGGGATGTTAGAAGAAACATTTGTCATATAGAATGATTGGTGATGGCCTGGATACGCTTTTGGATGAATTGAGAAACTAAATGGAATAACAGAAGGAGAAAAACAGGTATAAAAGGTCTAAGAATTGGGACGACTCAGGATATCTGATTAGAGAGTGCCTAAGGAGACTCATCATAGTCCTGCCAGCAAAGATTATTTATGTACTTCAAGAGTTAAGAGCGGCAGTTTGGGGATAGCACCAGGAGATATCAGCTGTGATGGCTTGGAAAAACTGTGTAAAACGGCCGTGTAAACAAGAGCAGGGCATGTATGAGTAGTTGAGAACAGTGAATAGGAGTATGACTAGACAGAAGATAGTAGGGATGACAAGTTTTTTGGGGCACAGTTTAAGTTGGTCTGGTGTCTGGAATGAGACTGGGGCCTAATAAAAAGGAGCGTCTATACAGGAGCTTAAATGGGCTGTACCCTGTAGCATTCCGAGGACAGGCCTGAATTCTGAGATGGGAGAGTGCTAAAAGTATTGTCCAGTCCTTTTTGGTGGCTGAGCTTGGTGAGGTGTGTTTTTAAAAGACCTTTAGTCCATTCTCCTTTTCTTGAAGATGGAGGACTGTAAGGAATATAAAGGTTTCACTGAATACTAAGAGCCTGAAAAACTGCTTGGCTGATTTGACTAATAAAGGCTCATGTGTTATCAGACTGTATGGAGGTGGGAAGGCTAAACTGAGAAATTATGTCTGACAGAACCAAAGAAATGACTGCGGTGGCCTTCTCAGACCCTGTAGGAAAGGCCTCTACCTATCCAGTGAAAGTATCTACCTAGACTAAGAGGTATTTTAGTTATCTGACTCAGGGCATGTTGAGTAAAGCTAACTTGCCAGTCCTGGGTGGGGCAAATCCTTGACTTGATGTGTAGGGAAGGGAGGGGGCCTGAATAATCCCTGAGGAGTAGTAGAATAGCAGATGGAACACTGAGAAGTTATTTCCTTCCTTGAGGATAGATTTCCACGATGGAAAGGAAATAAGAGGTTCTAAGAGGCGGGCTAGTGGCTTGTACTATAGTATAACCTGCTTTTGCTGGTGTGTGGCAATTAGGCCTGGTGGAACTGCCATCAATAAATCAAGCGTGATCAGGGTGAGGAACAGGAAAGAAGCAAATATGGGGAAATGGGGTGAATATCAGGTGGATCAGAGAGATACAGTCATGGGGGTCAGGTGTGGTATCAGGAATAATGTGGGAGGCCAGATTGAAGTCCGGGCCAGGAACAATGGTAATTGTGGGACTTAAAGAGTGAGTACAGCTGAAGGAGCCGGGGAGCAGAAAGTATATAAGTCAAGTATGAGGAAGAAAATAGATTTTGGAAGTTATGAGAACTGTAGAGAGGGAGTTGAGCATAGTTTGTGATTTTGAGGGCCTCTAAAAGTATTAAAGCAGCGGCAGCCACTGCACGCAGACATGAGGGCTAGGCTAAAACAGTAAGGTCAAGTTGTTTGCACAGAAAGGCTACAGGGTGCTGTCCTGGCTCTTGTGTAAGAATTCTGACTGCACTAACTATGCCTAGGAAGGAAAGGAGTTGTTTTGTAAGGGATTGTGGTTTGGGAGATTAATCGGACATGATCAGCAGGGAAAGCACATATGTTTTCATGAGAACTATGCTGAGATAGGTAACAGATGAGGATGACATTTGGGCTTGACTGAAGTAATAGGGGCTGTCTATGAAGCCTTGCGGCAGTACAGCCTAGGTAATTTGCTGAGCCTGATGGGTGTCAGGGTCAGTCTAAGTGGAAGCAAAGAGAGGCTGGGACAAGGGGTGCAGGGGAATAGTGAAAAAGCATCTTTAAGATCAAGCACAGAATAGTGAGTTGTGGAGGAAGGTATTGAGGACAAAAGAGTGTACGGGTTGGACACCACAGGGGGGATAGGCAAAACAATTTGGTTGATAAGGTGCAGATCCTGAACTAACTTGTAAGGCTTGTCTGGTTTTAGGACAGGTAAAATGGGGGAATTGTAAGGAGAGTTTATAGGATTTAAAAGGCCATGCTGTAGCAGGCGAGTGATAACAGGCTTTAATCTTTTTAAAGCATGCTGTGGGATGGGATATTGGTGTTGAGTGGGGTAAGGGTGATTAGGTTTTAATGAGATGGTAAGGGGTGCATGATCGGTCACCAAGGAGGGAGTAGAGGTATCTTATACTTATGGGTTAAGGTCGGGGGATACAAGAGGACGCAAAGGAGACTTTGGATTGGGAAGAAGGGTGGCAATGAGATATAGCTGTAGTCCAGGAATAGTCAGGGAAGCAGATAATTTAGTTAAATTGTCTCGGCCTAATAAGGGAACTGGGCAGGTGGGGATAACTAAAAAGGAGTGCTTAAAAGAGTATTGTCTAAGTTGGCACCAGAGTTGGGGAGTTTTAAGAGGTTTAGAAGCCTGGCCATCAATACCCACAACAGTTATGGAATCAAGGGAAACAGGCCCTTGAAAAGAAGGTAATGTGGAGTGGGTAGCCACCGTAATGATTAAGAAGGGGATGGAATTACCCGCCACTGTGAGAGTTACTCGAAGTTCAGCGTCCGTGATGGTCTAGGGGGCTTCTGAGGCGATCGGGCAGTGTCAGTCTTCAGCCACTAAGCGGAGAAGATCTCTGAAGGAGTCAGTCAGAGAGCCTTGGGCCAGAGTTCCAGGGGCTGTGGGAATGGCTGCCAGGTGAGTTGAACAGTCCGGTTTTCAGTGGGGTCCCACACAGATGGGACGCGGCTTAGGAGGAATCCCAGGCTGTGGGCATTCCTTGGCCCAGTGGCCAGATTTTGCATATGTAGCAAGCTCCTGGGGGAGGAGGTTCTGGAGGACTGCCTGGCTGCTGTGGTTCAGGCATTTGGAAGTTCTTGTGTGCTGGAGATGTGGCTGGGGTTTGTCTCACAGTGGAGGCAAAGAATTGCAACTTTTTTCTGTTATTGTACGCCTTGAAGGTGAGGTTAATTAAGTCCTGTTGTGGGGTTTGAGGGCCAGATTCCAATTTTTGGAGTTTTATTTAATGTTGGGAGCAGATTGGGTAATAAAATGTATATTGAGAATAAGACGGCCTTTTGACCTTTTAGGGTCTAGGGCTGTAAAGTGTCTCAGGGTTGCTGCCAAATGAGCCATGAACTGGGCTGGGTTTTTATATTTGATGAAAAAGAGCCTAAACACTTCTGATTTGGGATAAAGAAAAAGGAGCATTAACCTTGACTATATCTTTGGCTCCAGCCACCTTTTTAAGAGTAAATTGCTGGGCAGGTGGAGGAGGGCTAGTCACGGAAGGAAACTGTAAGCCGGACCAGGTGTGAGGAGGGGAGGTGATAAAAAGATTATAGGGTAGAGGAGCAGAGGCTGAGGAAGAATTGGGACGTAGCTTGGCCTGGTGAGGAGCAGCCTGGGGAGGAAGGGAGATGTCAGATTGGTCTGTAGAAAAGGAAGATTAGAAAGACTCAGCGACACTTGGGGTTGGTACTGAGGGGACAGGCGGGAGGGAAAGAAGGAAGATTTGGGATGAGTTGCACTGGGCACAGAGACTAGGAAGGGACTGATGTGTAAAAGAATGCCTGGACGTCAGGCACCTGAGACCATTTGCCTGTTTTACAACAACAATTATTTAGATCTTGTAGGATGGAAAAATTCAAAGTGTCATTTTCTGGCTATTTGGAACTACTGTTGAGTTTGTATTGGGGTCAAGTGGCATTGCAGAAGAACATAAGGCATTTAGGTTTTAGGTCAGGTGTGGCTTGAAGAGGTTTTAAGTTTTTGAGAACACAGGCCAAGGGAGTAGAAGGAAGAATGGAGCATGGAAGGTTGCCCATAGTGAAGGAAGCAAGCCTAGAGAAAAGAGAGAGTAGAGAAATGGAAGGAAGGGGTTTGGGGGTTCTTACCTTCCAGAAAAGTGGGAAAAGGGGTTGGGGCACAGAGATAAGAGGTCAGGGCATGGAAATAAGGGATTGGGGTGCAGAGATATGAGGTTGAGGCGCTGAAATAAGGGATTGGGGCACAGAGATAAGAGGTCGGAGTGCAGAAATAAGGGATTGGGGTGTAGAGATAAGAGGTTGGGGCATGGAAATAAGGGATTGGGGTGTAGAGATAAGAGGTTGGGGCATGGAAATAAGGGATTGGGGTGCAGAGATAAGAGGCTGGGGCGTGGAAATAAGGGATTGGGTGTTCTTGCCCCATAGAAAAGCGGGACTTGCCACTAAGGGTGAAGGAGAAGGGGTTGAAGGGTACTTGCCCCTCTCCCAGAAAAGCAGAGAAGGGGTAGAGACAAGGCGAGAAGGAGTTGAGGTACTTGCCCCTTCCCCAGAAAAGCGGGAATTGCCGCTAAGGGTGAATGACCAAGGCAGGTGTTCCTGCATGGTCAGACACCCTTGAAACGTGGGTGTATAATCAGAGAGGCATCCCTGCAATGATTAAACACCAAGGGAAGGCTGCCTTCCCAGTCCGTGACCAGTGCCGGAGTTTTGGGTCCATGGAAAAAAAGTGTCTCCTTTGTCTCTTCCAGAAAATGAAAGGAATTGAAATTAAGAGAAGGGAGAGATTGAAGAGTGGAAAGGAGAAAGTGGTTGAGGGACAGTGAGAGAGGTTGCAGAAGAGAGTAAGAAGAGGCCGCTTACCTGATTTAAAATTGGTGAGATGTTCCTTGGGCTGGTCGGTCTGATGACCTGAGGTCATAGGTGGATCTTCTCACGGAGCAAAAAACAGGAGTACAGGGGATTGATCTCCCAAGGGAGGTCCCCCGATCCAAGTCACGGCACCAAATTTCATGTGCGTCCGTGTGAAGAGACCACCAAACAGGCTTTGTGTGAGCAACATGGCTGTTTATTTCACCTGAGTGCAGGTGGGCTGAATCCAAAAAGGGAGTCAGTGAAGGGAGAAAAGTGTGGGGCTGTTTTATAGGATTTGGGTAGGTAAAGGAAAAATACAGTCAAAAGGGGTTTGTTCTCTGGCGGGCAGGAGTAGGGGTTGCAAGGTGCTCAGTGGGGGTGCTTTTTGAGACAGGATGAGCCAGGAAAAGGACTTTCACAAGGTAATGTCGTCACTTAAGGCAAGGACCAGCCATTTACACTTCTTTTGTGGTGGAATGTCATCTGTTAAGGTGGGGCAGGGCATATTCACTTCTTTTGTGATTCTTCAGTTACTTCAGGCCATCTGGGCGTATACATGCAAGTCACAGGGGATGCGATGGCTTGGCTTGGGCTGAGACGCCTGACAGCTTCTCCTTTAAGTTCCAAATTTAAAGCATTTCTTTGCTCCTGTATCTGATTGCAAGCTTGTAGAAGCAGCTACATATCTTGAATACTTTGCTCCTTGGAAATTACTTAGACCAGATGCTCTAGCTAATCACTCTAAAGTTCAACTTTCCACAAATCCCTAGGACGTGAACACAATGCAGCCAAGCTCTTGACTGGGGTGTAACAATGGGGACCCTTGCTCTAATTCCCAGTAACTTCCACTTTTCCATCTAACAACTTGATAGTGTGGACTCCACTGTCCATATCTCTGTGAGCATTTTGGTCACGTACATTTAACAAGTTTCTAAAGAGTTCCAAACTTTCCCTCATCTTCCTATCTTTTGCTGGGCCCTACAAACTCTTTCAACCTCTGCCAGTACCCAGTGACAAAGCCACTTCCATATTTTCAGCTGTCTTTACAGCAATGTCCCCTGCACAGTATCAATTTTCTGTGTCAGTTTGTTTTTACTCCTATAAAGGAATACCTAATGCTGGGTAATTCATAAGGAAAAGAAGTTTATTTTGGCTCCCTATTCTGTAGGCTGTATGAGTAGCATGGTGACATCATCTGCTCCTTTTGAGGCCTCAGAAGGCTTCCTTTTGTGTAGGAAGGGGAAGGGGGAGCAGGAGTATCACAAGCCAGGAGAAGGAGCCAGAGTTGGGGAGGTGCCACACTGTGTGAAACAACCAGATCTCCCATGACTCAAAGAAGGAGCTCACAGATTATCTCCAGGACAGCACCAAGCCATTCATGAGGGATCCACCCCAATGACCCCAACACCTCCTGCCAGGTCCCACCTCCAAGACTGGGAATTACATTTCAACATAGTATTTGGAGAGTACAAACATCCAACCTGTATCAGACCCCAATTTCCAGTGCACATATCAGAGAGTGGGCTACTGAAAGGAAGCATTGATCTTGAGTGTTGGAGAAGAGAAGAATGCCTTCACTCTTAGGCTATGTTATGATGTGTGCACACTTGGGCTAAGACTTCCCCAGGCCAGAAAAAAGTAAAAACTCCATAAGGGAGTGAACGACATTTTCAGGAGGACAGACAAGTCTTGAAAACTTTGTATCCCCACAGCAAAGTGGAGAGAACTCAGAACCTCAGAAAGCCATCAGCAAGTAGTGGTGCTAGTTAGCTCTAGATTAAACTGCTCTGCAACTGCTTCAAGAAATTTTCAAGCCATTCTTGAAAAAACCAAATGAATGTATAGAACCCCCAAAATGAACCAGATGATGTCTAGCATTCTTTGGGGAAAAAAACAACCAAAACTGTTACTCAACAATTCAAGCTGTCCAGGCGTGGCGGTTCATGACTGTAATCTCAGCACTTTCGGAAGCCAAGACAGGTGAATCACTTGAGGGCATGAGCTCGAGACCAGCCAGGCCAACCTATGCCTACTAAAAATAGAAAAATTATCTGGGCGTGGTGGCACAGGCCTGTAGTCCCAGGTACTCAGGAGGCTGAGGCAAGAGAATTGCTTAAACCAGGGAGGCAGAGGTTGCAGTGATCTGAGATTGCACCACTGCATTCCAGCCTGGGCAACAGAGCAAGACCCTGTTTCCAAATTAAAAAAAAAAAAGGCTTTATAATATACTGAATCCAATAAAAAATTTCCAAGCATGAAAAGAAGTAGGAAAATATAGCCCATAACTAGGAGAAAAGTCATTCAGTAAAAACAGACCCAATAATGACAAAGGTACTAGGATCAGAAAAGGGAATGTAAAGGAGCTATTATAAAAGTTATAAATATGTCAAAGGCTGAAGAGAAAACCTTTTTGATGAGGAGGAACACATAAAAAGAACCAAATGGGCCTTCCAGCAGTAAAACAAAATGATCATGAGAACAAAAAAATTTCTGAATTGGATTAATGACACATGACAGTATAGAAGAAAGGATCAGTAAGCCTGAATCTACATTAACACAAACAAATGAGAAAATGAAGCAAAGGGAGAAAAAAACTCTGGATGAAAAATAAACAGTGCACTTCATAGAAATATCAAGCAATCTAGCACCTATGTGTGTTTGAAGGCAGAAAGAAATTCCAGGAGAAAGCATAAAGTTAGTGAAATAATAGCCTATTTTTATAAATTTGGTGAGACTGGAAACATACAAATTTGGTATTGAAAGACATCTAAGAAGAATAATTATTTAAAAAAAAAAGAACAAGAATATCATAATTATACAAGTTCATTTTCACACTGCTATAAAGAACTACCTGAGACTGGATAATTATAAATAAAAGAGGTTTCTTTGACTCCCAGTTATGCTGGATTAACAGAAAGCATGGCTAGGAGGCCTCAGGAATCTCACAATCGTGATGGAAGGTGAAGCAGAAGCAAGCACGTCTTCCATGGTGTCAGACGAAAGAGAGAGGGAGAGAGAGAGAGGAAGAGAGACAGAGCACAAGAGTAAGCACAGAAGGAAACTGCCATTTATAAAACCATCACATCTCTTGAGAATTCACTCACTATCATGAGAACAGCAAGGCAGAATTCACCTCCCCATGATCCAATCACCTCCCACCAGGTCCTGCCCCCCAACACTGGGGATTATGGGATTATAATTCCAGATGAGATTTGAGTAGGGACACAGAGCCAAACCATATCAATAATCAAATTGTTTTGAATCAAAAATAATGAGAAAATCTTAAAAGCATGCTGAGAGAAGACACTGCTTACAGAAGTAGAAAAAATAAAGTGACATATTTAAGTACCAAAAGAAGAAAAATAAGTCAACATAGGACCCTGACAAGCAAAAATACATTTCTAGATTAATGCTAAACACATATTCCAGTAATAAGTAAAGGCATTTTCTTTTCCTTTTTTTTTTTTTTTTTGAGACGGAGTCTCGCTGTCACGCAGACTGGAGTGCGATGGTGCGATCTCGGCTCACTGCAAGCTCCGCCTCCCGGGTTCACGCCATTCTCCTGCCTCAGCCTCCCCAGTAGCTGGGACTACAGGCGCCCGCCACCATGCCCGGTTAATTTTTTTGTATTTGTAGTAGAGATAGGATTTCACCGTATTAGCCAGGATGGTCTGGATCTCCTGACCTCGAGATCCGCCCACCTCGGCCTCCCAAAGTGCTGGGATTACAGGCGTGACCCACCGCGTAAAGGCATTTTCTAATGACAATAACAAAAACTAAGAGAATTCCTCACTAGCAAACTTGTAGTATAAAACAAGACCCAAATACACGCTGTCTATAAAAACCCAATGTCTTTATCAAATATAAGGACAAAGATAGGTTGATAGTAAAGGGACAGAAAGAGTTATAGTATGGAAACATTAATCTAATGAAAACAGAATTAGCTGTATCGGCTAACTGACTATAAATCAAAGTAGATTTTACAGCAAGGTGTATTATTACTGATAAAGAGCCTATGTTTTCCGGTGATAAAGTTGTTAAATCACCAAGAACACGTATCATTATTATTAAATTAGTATGCACCTAATAAGAGAGTCTCAAAAATTTTAAAAAGAAATTGATAGAACTAAGAGAAGAAATTGAAAAATTAAGAATTACCATTGAATATTTCAACACTTTTTTCTCTGAAATAGTTTTTTTTAGCAGCAAAGTATAAATAAAGATAGAGAGAACTTGAACAACAGTATCATCCATTATGACCTATATAAGCTTTACAGGACACTCCTCCCAATAACAGTAAAATGCATTAAAATATTATCTAAGAGAGCTCATATTGGACTAAGAAACAAAAAAATCAAAACAATTTAAAATCATGTGAAGCATAATGTCTATCCACAGTGGAATGTATGAAGCTGTGACTAAAGGAAAATAGCTGGAAAATTCCTCACATATTTGGACATTACTCAACATATTTCTAATGAGTCAAAGGAGAAATTTAAAAATATTTTCACATGACAGCAAATGGAAGCATAACATACCAAAATTTGTGGCAATACAACTAAAGCAGTGCTTGGAGGGAAATTGATAACATTAACTGCTATTATAATGGGAAGTCGAAAGCTCAGAAATAGACAATCTAATATTCCATTGTAAAAAACCTGGGGAAAAAAGAACTAATTAAGCTGAAAGTAAATAGGAAAACGAGTGAATAAAAAAGAATGTGGACACAAAAGAGAACATTAAAAATAAATAAATGAAAGCTACTTGCTTGAGAGAATGCATAAAATTGTGAGAACTCTCGATAGGTTCCTTAAGGGGAAAAAGGAAATTACTAGAAGTCTCAGGTGCACACCCAGGCTTCAGGCAGGCAGGAAACAGATTAGGTCTGCGTTTCAGGGTCATGTAGTCAAGCCGCCACGAGGTGGCAGTAACTGCGCGCTCATTCCCTCACCTCCTGCAAGGCCGGGCCAGGCTGTGGACTCACTGCTCAGCTCAGGAGATGGGAGAGGGTGACAGTAGCCGCGTGGACTCTGGCCTTAGGCAGAGCGTTACTGTAGCTTTGGGGATGTAGGAGGATGAAGAGGGGAGGTTATCAGGACACCATGGTGATTGTGTGGTGCTGGTTAGGAACATGGGCTTTGAAGAGAGAGGGATTTTATTTCAAATTCCATCTCTGCCACTTAGTAGTCAGATGACCTTGAACATGTCCTCTAACCTTTCTAGGCCCCAGGACCTGCCTCTGTAAACTTGGGTAATAACCCCCTGGCATGTTTGCTTCTGAGGATTAAATGAGATAACTTGTATAAAAATGGCCACGGCAGGGCCGGCTGCAAAATTCCCAAGGCTCAGTGCAAAGTGGAAATGCAGGGCGCCTTGTTCAAAGAGCAGCAGAAGAAAGTGTCGTGAAAGGCAGGAGGGTATTCAGCTTTCTCAAGCCAGTATGTTTCATCATTTGAAAAGTGTAATAGGGATAATACTTCTAGAAGAGTAAGAACAGAATCATATAAATCCCCACCAGAAACCAGTGTCACAGTTTTAATAGAATAAATAATAATACTTTATTAATTGGATCTAGATGAATGAAACAATTTTTCTGGCCAACTTTTCTGCAATTAATTTATTAGGTCATCAAACTTTATACCTTGAGCAACTTCATTTTTTCTTCTGAAAAGAATCTGCTGAAGCAACTGTTTCTGGAATATTATCTAAACTCTGACAATATTGGGATAAACTATTTTGACACAAATTTTAGTATATCTGTAGCTGGTGGTTCTTGTGGAGCTATTTTTTTCAAAGGATTTAACTGTTTAAGCAAATCAGTTTTATGGAAGTTTGAATTTAATTTTAAGTGTAAATTTCTCCAATGGAATTTTGATGCATCTTCTGACATGTTCTGTAAGTTGCAGAGGCCCACAGCAGACCAAATGTGGCGTCATGATTTGTAACTTACTCAAAACTCCTGTTTTTGAATTCTATTGTTGTATCTTTAACAAGAAGAACTGAATTTTTAAAATTGCTCTACTTGTTAATAATTGATTGATCAGAAATGTTCTTTTCTTTTCTTTTCTTTTCTTTTGAGGTAGGGTCTCCATCTGTTGACATGATCATGGCTCACTGCAGCCTCAGACTCCTGAACTCGTATGATCCTCCTACCTCAGCCTCCCAAGTAGCTAAGACTACGGGCATGTGCCACTGTGCTCAGCTAATCTTTTTTTTTTTTTTAATGTTGGGGTCTAACTATACTGCCCACTATACTGCCTATGGTGGTCTCCAACAACTGGCTTCAAACAGTCCTCTAACCAGAGCTTCACAATGTGCTGGGATAACAGGTGTGACCCACCATGCCTGTCCCATCAGAAGTTTTGTGACTATCATTATATATTTAATTTATATTTCTGAGCCTTGGATAACTCCTTGAAGAACTCTAAACTCTCTGAGGAATTCCAAGAACTCCCTGGCATACTATTTCACAGTGTCCATGGGCACACTTTTGTTTTGTGCTTCTCTCCTCCCAATTTGCTATCTGAGCCCTATGATTCCTGTCCCGGTGCTCAGGTCAGGGGGTAAATATTCGTGCAGAAGCTCCAAGGATGACTCTGAGAATGCACAGGCACAGAGGTGTCAGTGCTGCGTCCACACAGAGACCCTCCTTTCACCCCAGGGCTGAGGACACCTGCTGCTGCTGCTGCCACCTCCCATCCTGGTCCGTTGCCATCTTCCTTCCCAGTCGAGATGTGCCTGGGCCGCTCCAAGGCACCCGTGCTCAGGGCAGCAAGCTCCAGCATGTGGCCTTCATGTCCCTGGGCCTGAGCCTGCCCACCTTGTCCCCCCTCATAGCCACTCTGCTCATGTGCCTGCTCCATTGTCTCAGTGGGCTTCACTTACAAAATGAAGTTCAAAGAAAAAAAACTAAGGTCAAGAGGGTGTCGGCAGAGCCTGCTACCAGGCACTGGCCCTTCTGAGGGCAGGTCCCTTTGTCACTGCCCAGCCCTCAAGCCCATGAAGCTGGTCCTGGCTCCAGAATTGAGAGCCAGTAAAACTGCTTCTGTTATTTATCATTGAGGACACAGTGCAGAGAAACTTTGCTTTCTAAAATTATAGATATGAGAGACTTTGCTTTCTGGGAGCCTATCTAAAGGAATGCCCACTCTTGCCTGGGGAACTGAGCCACTTTGCCACAGAAAACAGCCTGTGGTTTGGGAAAAAACCCATATCTGTTCTGGTGGATAGTCTTCCTTGCTGAAGCAAGATAATAACCCTACCTTTAAGACAAAAGTGCTCCTCCCTTGATCTTTATCAAACACACTGTATCACCAGGATGAACACTGCTCTGAAGGAGTCACATCGGGCTGTGCCAGGAAAAAAGAATAGCTGCAACCATAGGAATCTTCATGGGAACAGTCAGCCCAGCTGTCCTTGAGCAACCAGGCCCATGTTCCCTAAGCCTTGGTGGCTTCTTCCCCAGGGACACAGGTGCTGCATTTCACAGTGACTTTCCTATTTCAGAGCAATTTCACCTCCTTCTCTAACAAGGCCTCACAAATGTACTGAGAGCTAGAGAGGACAACAAGTGTAAAACCACAGTGCTGTCAGTGGTTCCTGGGATTGCAACGGGATTATAGGAGAAATTCACACTCTTCTATGGGTGAGTTTTTAAATGCAAGTGTATTACTTTTATAATAATCATGTTAAGTACAGCAGTCATTAAGGACGTATCAATCAGGAGTGATGCCACACATGAAAAAGATGGGAACCACTCTCTTAACTCAAACTCTTATTTACATATAAGAGTTACGTAATAACTCCAGTAAGGCCCCTTGCCACATACCATGGCATTTCCTTAAGAATGTTTACTCAACAAGGAAAGAGGCGTGACAACCTAATTCGATGTGTGAATCTGGATTGAACATGTACCCAGAAAACTCAACAGCCACGAAGCTATTCTTGGAACAATTTCAATGTCTATGCACTGACTTCTGTTTTGCAATAATTTACTGACACTTTGCTTCCTGAGCACCTACAGCTGCTGTCCCAGTGTTCAGGCCAGGGAAATTTTCTTGTTAATGTGCATAAATGGTAGTGTGATTGATGCGGGAATTTTTTTCTTATTTATAAGAGATACATGCTGAGATAATTAGGGTGAAGTGTCATGACATTTTCCTGCTACTTTCAAAAGGTGACAGCGACATAGAAAGTATATTTTTTAAATTATTTATTAATTTAGACAGAGCACATATGTGCTTTTTTTTTTTTTTCATTCAGTTTTTCTATTTGGCTTCCTTGGCCAGGAATAGTTTTAGTGTCAGGAAATGAATGAGTCTGCCCCTCAATTCCAGCCTGCTCAGCACAGAGGAAAACAAAGTTCTGACAAAGGGAGTGACTCCCTGCTGAGTCAGCTGTAGCCCTGGATTCAGATTCCTTTAGCAGTTGTGAGGGCACCCAACCCAGCCCTCTCTTTGCCTACCCCATCGGAAACTTCCTTTCATGATAAGAAAGACATTAAAGATCTTGTTCATAGAATCCATTGCAGCTTTCTTTAAAAACACCCCTGGCCTGCCTCAAACTGTGAATTCTTAAAGTGTGACATTTAAAATGTAGACCATGGCTCAAGGCTCATTGTCCCCATGGCTGTCACCGCTACACCTTGGTGTCATCGCTACACCTGACACTGGGGCCTGCTTGTCTCTCAAGCTTCCCTTGGATCCAAAGAGGGAGGAACCAGGATGAATGCCACTTATTTTCCCTTGAAAAGCCCCACCCCTGAGCATCTGACACCAGGGGCTCTGTCCATTGCCTGTGGCCACCGATTGCTACTCTGGGTTATGGAGGAAGGACAGGGTCCTGAGGGTCCCCAGAGACCTTGCACAGCTCTGAAAACACAGGGCTTCTGCAGAAGTGGGTCCCATCACCAATAGGGAGACTGTCAGACCTCTGAGCCCAAGCTAAGCCATCATATCCCCTGTGACCTGCACGTATACATCCAGATGGCCTGAAGTAACTGAAGAATCACAAAAGAAGTGAAAATGGACTGTTCATGCCTTAACTGATGACATTACCTTGTGAAATTCCTTGGCCTGGCTCATCCTGGCTCAAAAGCTCCCTCACTGAGCAACTTGTGACCTCCACCCCTGCCAGCCAGAGAACAACCCCCTTTGACTGTAATTTTCCATTACCTACTCAAATCCTGTAAAACGGCCCCACCCCTATCTCCCTACGCTGACTCAGCCCACCTGCACCCAGGTGATTAAAAAGCTTTATTGCTCACATAAAGCCTGTTTGGTGGTCTCTTCACACGGATGCACGTGAAAGACACCACGTGGAGGCCTTGCACCCCCACTCCGTGCTTCTCTACCAAATCCCAACGGTATTGAGCTCACTTAGCACTGACGTCTGTGGAAAGCAGGGAAAGCCCTGGCTCCCAAAGCCCTGAAGTCCTGTGGAGCTGACATTCCCTGAGTGTCGGTGCGAATGGAGGGAACTCAAGTGTGGGTGGTAGGCCACCTCCTGGCCTGGGCCTGGGTGGACTCTGAGGGGACACATGTAGTCACAATCCCACCCTCCCATTCTCCTTCTCAGAGGAAGGAAGTGGGCACCCATCTGCCTCATCTCTGTCCCATGGTGATGACGGAGAATTTCAGGGCACCTTTCACATGAATTTCACCAGCTCAGATCTGTGAGGACGGGGCCCACCATGCTCCTGGAGCTGCCAGAAGCCGTGAGCCCCTCCCAGGTCCCTGGGTTTGAGCCAGCCCTGTATCATCCCCAGGAGCTGAATGTCCCAGCAATGGATAGAACTAGATGGAACCGGCTCCCAGTTTGGCCTGAGACTGTCCCTAGACATTCAGGAAAAACAGGACATCCCACAGAGCAGGCAGGTGATCTCCAGTTCACAGACCCTGAGTCTGTTCCCCTGTAAGAAAGACCTTGCCCCTCACTCCATTCACATCCCAGGTCCCAAATGATACAAGACAGAAAGAAGCCCTGGTCATATGAGCAGAACGAGGGGATGTTCTGGGGTTTCTTGTGTCCAAATTTGCATAAGAGCTCCTGGGTATACTTTTCTCTCAGAGGGCCATTTGTCTGATGCCCCCAGTAAGGTGGTCAGTTTCAATCACTGTAATTACTGATGTGGTAGGCAATACCTGTTCCAAATTCTGCCCAGTGACCAGGGGCCAAGACCTGTTTAGATGGAAGGCTCGGTGTCCTCCCCAGCCTCAGCTCATGGTGAAGCTCCCAGCCATCACCCATAAGGGTCCTTATCTTCTCTTCTTATTCCGCTTCATATTCCTGATGCCTCTTCCACATGAGATGAGTCAGGGAAATAGGAGGCTTGGAAAAGTGGAAAAATGGGGTAGAGGCTCTCTCTTGCCTCTCTCTCACCTCTTTCTCTCTCATCCAAGTACTAGTTAGGCCCACTCCTGCTTAGCTTACAAGATCAGAGGAGATCAAACATGTTCAAGGTGCTATGGCCGTAGACACTCTCTCTCTTTTTCTCTGTCTCTCATGTCTATATCTCTCCTTTGTCTCCTTTCTCTGCCTCTTGTATTTCTCTCAGTGTCAGGGCACTCCCTCTCTCCCTGTCTCCCCTACAGCTTGACTCCCTTTGTCCCTTTCTCTCTTTCTTCTACTATCACTTCTAGACTGAGTAGATTGCATGCCTTGCTTTGTTGAACCAAACTCCATTTCCTTCAATATGAAAGGAGTTTAAGAGCTTCATGGCCGCCTCACTCCCTCTTCTAAGCCAGAGGGGCCCAGTAGCCTGTAAATCTCATCTCCTCCCTGATCTTCACTCTATGACTGCTAAGACTATGGTTGAAAACTGTCAGGTGACTTTTATTTTTCAATAAAAGTGAGAAATTTTGATTTTATCCAAAGAAGTAAGTACAGAATGTCATTTTCTAAATTTTTATATTTAAAGTGTAGATTTGAGTGACCTAGAGAATTTCAGGTAGTGATAAGGCGCAGCCTGTACTTTGGGAAGTTGTGTTTGGGACACTGGCCCTTCGTCTTTTCAGATGGAAGGCCCTGGAGAACACTTGCCCTCTGTGGCTGCTCTAGGTTCACAGAACAAAAATGCCTATTGAAAGCCACTTTTAAAATGGAATGCCTAATTTTATTTTCTCCTTGATGTTATAAGAATAAAATAAAAGGGTGAAGGAAGAAAAGGAGAGTGGAAGGGAGGAAGGGAGAGAGAAAGATAATTTGAGACTAAGACCTGAGATGTCTAATCTGATAGAAATTACATAGAAAAAGCCTCATTTTATCCATATTGTTTATGGATTTTGGGTTACAGAGGAGCAGCAGGGCTCCTGGAGGCACAGACATTGGGCGATATTCCACCACTTAGGAGAGTATGAAGGAAGAGACAAAAGGGAGGAAAGGAGGAAAGGAAGGAGGGAGGACAAATGGAAGGGTGAGATTGAGAAGAGAATTTAGAGATTAGAAACAATTCATTACAAAGGTTTACTTCTACTGTTAATTATTGTTTTTAATTGTAATCTACTTTCTTTTATTTGTCTTTTTTCATTCCCAGCTCCCCTCCCCCTGCCCCTCCTTGCCCCTCCTTCTTTTTTTTTTTTTTCTTTTTTTTTCTGAGACAGAGGCTTGCTCTGTCACCCAGGCTGGAGTGCAATGGCATGATCTCGGCTCACTGCAACCTCCGCCTCTTGGGTTCAAGTGATTCTCCTGCCTCAGCCTCCTGCGTAGCTGGGATTACAGGTACCCACCACCATGCCCAGTTAATTTTTGTATTTTTAGTAGAGACAGGGTTTCACCAGGTTGGCCAGGCTGGTCTCAAACTCCTGACCTCAGGTGATCCACCCACCTAGGCCTCCCAAAGTACTGGGATTAGAGGCGTGAGCCCCTGGGCCCGGCCCTAAGTTACTTTCATATTAAATTCACATTAAACAATTTCTGCCATTTGAGCCACATCTTTTTCTTGCATCTCATTTTAAAAACTTAACGGACTTCATGATTTGGAAAGCAGAGGTTACTGGCCTGTGTGTGTAAATGGAGGTAGGGTAGCTTTGAGGTTATTTTTGTGTGGTGGAGCTGAATTCTCAAGAAATCCTTGTTGAGCTGCTACCTGAGCCCATCTGGAGGCCCCAGTCACTTAGCAGAGATCGGTCTTTCACATTCTGGTTCCAGGAACTAAACATTCCCAAACCACGTCAGGGCCAGCCTCCTTTTAAGAAACTTAGGTTCACGTCATCATTCACTCATGTCTCATGATCATGATGAAAATCCCAGGCTTGGAAAAGAAACTCACCAGAGATTTATTCAAGTCAACACCGACACAGGCTTTGTGCTTTTCTGACATGGGGTTTTGAATTCTAACACCCTATCACTCCTATTGTCCTTTGATTTGCTTATTGTTTATTGCTTCTGGGTTTTTTTTCTTTTTTTTCTTTTCCTTTCTTTAGGTTTTTCTAAAGATATAAGAAATCCTGCTAGCTGACACAGGAATAAAGGTGTGTGTGTGTTCTGAATGTTTGCTCTACAAGCTTGAAACAGATTGGCACCTATGGCCATGACAGAATAAAATGCTGCAAAAAGTAACGAGGAGTCCAAGAAGCTTCTGTGACTAATGTGGATTCAGAAAGGGCTCACTCAGCAGAGACGTGCCGCATTTAAACCAAATTAAGCTACGGTGTTCGAAGACATGGAATCTTTATCCTAGTAATTGCAATTGTGATTGTGTAATGTTGGTTTCGGACAAGCGAATCTCTGACATCCTTGGAATGTCCTTCCCAGCTCTCCAGACCAGGGGTCAGGGATGGCACAGGAGGAGTTTTTTGGGTTGCTCCTCCAGCAACCCAAAACCAACAGGAGCAACGGGATGTTAGAATTCAAAACCCCATGTCAGAAAGACACAAAGTCTGTGTCAGTATCATCTTGAATAAATCCACGGTGAGTTTCTTTTCCAAACCTGAGCTTTTCCATCATGATCATGAGATGTGAGTGAATAATTATGAGTCATAAGTTTCTGACAAGGAGACTGGCACTGCTGTGATTTGGGGGAGGCTTAGTGACATCTGTTCCCTTTAGGTCCCTTGACCTTCCCCAATTATTCCCATTGTTTTCCTATAACTGTGCTTTGCTCCTCCTACTTCCTCTCTTTGCGTGCCCTCACCTACCCCACATCTTCCTGGAAGACTGTGCCTCATTAATGTCCCAACTCAAAGGCCTCTTTCCTCCTGGAATCAGGGTGATCCACTAAGGAGGGAACGCCCTATCCTCCTGTTCTTCACAAGCACTCCCTCCTTCTGGTTTAGCCTACTTATGCAATTGTGCTTCCTGCTCATGTGGTTAATTTTTTACTTCTCCAATAGTCTATGAGCTCTCTACAGGTATGGACTTTCTCTTATTCATGTATGTAGTGGTCATTGAGGAAGAGTTGTTACTTCATAAATTATTATACATTTAATGGCAAAGTTGAGTTGCACAAAGCATTTCCTCACATCTAGACATAATTTTGATTCATGTAAAAGCTCTTAAAAACAGGTCCTTTTTGAAGGTACAGTTAAATGAGGGCAATATAGCGCAGAACACAATGAGAGGAGAGCAAACCTCAAGAAGAAAGACAGTATAGACTCTGAGGGGAAGCATCAAGATGCCTGCCTAGCCCTGCCCTCTCTCGTTGGGCAGTTTAACTCGTTTGATAGTTAAATCGTGAACTCTGCAGGTATACCCTACATGTCTATGAAGCTCTCTGTTTCTTGATATTAACTTTTCTCTTAATGTGCCTACCATCAACCTCTAGCTAAATGCATTTTTGTCTAAAATAATCCATTGGATTTCCTAGAGTATCAAGATTGGAAAAAAAAAATCAGACCTAGAGATTTTTTGTAGATCCTTTAACCAGGCCAAGAGGTGAGGGAGGCACTGGATGCAGGTGCAGAATTTGGGGATCAAAAAATTCTGCACTCAAGATAAGTGATCTTATAATGTATGTGTTTTTTTTTTTTTTTTTTGTAAAAAAAAAAATTGATTCAAAAGTAACACATGATCTACAAAATATTCAAGTTTTAAATAAGGACAGAATCTAATCCTGCTATTGTCCAACTCAAACTTACCCACCTCACCTTGGTCCCAGGCCTGTCCAATAGTCTTATTTATTTAATCATTTAATTTTTATAATATGTGACATTTTTAGTTTGAATGAATTTGTTGCTCTCCTGGTGCCTGGAAGTTTAGGTAGAGTTTACATTATATATCCCATGATATTTGCAATGTCCATATACTAAAAAGTTATTCACAGACATTTTTCTCCTTAAAGACAATTTTTGTGGCCAAAGTATTTATTTGCTACACCGAGTTTTATTTTACTAGGTGTAGTAGGCATAATAATGGCCTCCCAAAGATGTCCATGTCCCAATTCCTAGAACCTATGATTATGCTTCTTTACATAGCAGATAAGAATTAATGTCAGCAGACAGAATTAAAGTTGCTAATCAGCTGACTTTCAAATAGGGAGATTATCTTAGATTAGGTGAACGAGACCAATGTAATCAAAAGGATCATTAAATTTGGAAAGAGACAGAACAGTCAGTGTCTTCATGATGTGATGTTAGAATGACTTGACAGGCATTGCTGGCTTTGAGATGAAGAAGCCACAGGCCAAGGAAGTTGGGCAGCTTCTAAAGCTTGAAAATGCAAAACAAAACAAAAAAGCAAACAAAGATTCTCACTTAGAGACTCTAGGAAGGAACACAGTCTTGCTGACACCTTGATTTTGGATATTTTATTCCCCCAAACTGTAAGATAATTAATTAGCATTGTTTAAAGTCACTAAGGTTAATGACAATTTACTACTTCAGCAGTAATTAACAAATATAGTTGCTGCTTGGTATCCGGGGGGGATTGGTTTCAGGTCCTCTGTGGATATAAAATTCCTCAGATGCTGAAGTCCTTGATGTAAAATGGCATGGGTATTGTCATATAACCTTTGCATTTCCTCCTATGTACTTTACATCATCTCTAGATTACCTGTAAATCCTAAATCGATGTAAATGCTAAGTAAATGGGTGTTAACTTATATCGTTTAGGGAATAATGACCAAAAAAAGCCTGTATATGTTCAGACCAGACACATTTCTTTTTTCCTGAGTATTTTCAGATCAACACAGAGGGTCGACTATATCCTAGTTTCAAATCATGAATTGAGCATAAAATTAGTAACACAAAAGACCTAAGCCTACATTTGTTTAATGGAGAAAAAATGATGAAAAACTCGCAACAAGTTACTGAACTTTCTATGTTTTTTTCCTAGAAATGAGCAAGGCTCATATGATAACTCTTCCTCCCTCAGAAGGCACTCTGAGCTCAGTATTACATGAATAGCCCATTTATTTCAGATCTGTAGCTTGGAATTTATTGTGAACAGATTCAGTCTTAGGTGAGGGTGGAAGACATATGTATCCATTCCATGATTTCATATCTCCAGGATATTCCTACACCAAAAGCACTTCCTCCATAGAATTTGCAGAGAGTAAATATGTACTGTCAGAGATTTATTCTTCTGGTTCAAGGTCTAATTCTTTATTAATCAATCACACACCTCCAAAGTGCTATTCTTAAAAAAAAAAAAACCAAAAAAAAAAAAAAAAACCCCAAAAAACAGCAAATTGCTGCCTTGCAAAACATCAGGCTGCCTTTAATGCCTTCAACCCTCATCTGAGTTCCAGAAGTGAAAGATCATAATCCATAAAAACCTGAGGTCAAAAATGTACGTTCTTAGAATCTGCATTTGTGTAGAAAGTGTCAGACTCTTAAGAAGGTAGCAATCTTGGCTTGTCACTTGGCTGGTCAGCCACCAGCTATGAATGTCGGTTACCTGCTCTTCACTTTGCCATTTTTGTCCTTGTTGCCTGCTCCAGATAAGAGGGAGCTGAGAAACAAGAGGGTTGACATAAATTGAGGTTAGATTGTAGTTTATTACTAATTCTTTCTCTAGACCAGATAGACTATTTGAACAGTTTGTGAAAACTAAGCACCTTCCCTTTAACATTGAAGGTACATATAGCTTTAGAGGAGGTTTCAGAGTTTTATGTTTTCATGGCCCAACCTAACAGACTGAAATTACCTGTGATGATCCCATCGCTTTTTCTTGGCAAGACTGGGGTGCCTATATTTAAGGGATAAGTGCCATTTTAAATGGAAGTAAAATGATTAATTTTATTTCAAGGATAGAAATTCTGGCTATCTCTTTACGAGTATATCCTTTTATAATTAAATGGAAGAGTTTTGGGGCACCTAGAGAAGCTCATAATATATGCCTGGCGCACTTTATACGGTGAACCCTTGCCATAAGTGCCCCATGTGGTCTCTTCACTGTTCTCCATCACAACTTTGGCTTTCAGATGACTTTAGCTTTGCTATTCCTTTATTTTGTCCTGGCATGTATTGAAAGAGAAGTTAAAAAAAAAAAAAGACAGGGCACTGAAAGAGAGAGAGAGAGAGAAAGAATGGTAAGAAAAGACAGAAGGGATGGAAAAAGGAAGAAGGAAAGGGAGGGGGAAAGGAGAGGGAGGAAAGCAGGGAGGGAGGAATAAAGAAAAGGGAGGGAAGGAAGGAGAGAGGAAAGGAGGGAACAAAGGTGGGAAGGGTAAAGAGGGAAGAAGAGAGAAAGGGTCGTAGATCGCATTTCCTTGCTTACTCATAGACAGGACTCGTATTAGCCCATTTCACACCGCTATAAAGAACTGAGTAATTTATTAAAAAAAAAAAAAAGATAGGTTTAATTGACTCACAGTTCCGCAGGGTTGGGGAGGCCTGAGGAAACTTACAATCATGGCAGAAGGCAAAGAGGAAGTAGGCACATCTTACATGGCAGCAGGAGAGAGAGAGAAGAGGGAAGCACCATTTTTAAACCATCAGATTTCATGAGAACTCACTCACTATTACAAGAACAGCATGGGAGAAACTGCCTCCTCGATCTAATCACCTCCCACCAGATCCCTCCCTTGACATGTGGGGATTACAATTAGAGATGAGATTTGGGTGGAGACACAGAGCCAAATCGCATCAGGACTCCAGCAATTCTTTCTCTCACCTAATCTATCTCTTATTCCCCTCTATTGCATCTATACCAACTAAAAGAAAAACACTTATTGGACACACAAGAGCTCTCATCTTTTGCATTTGCCCAGCTTTTCAGGGAAACCCTATGAAAGGGGTGCTACACAGTCCCCACATCCTACCACCCTTCTTTCCCTCACTGCCACTCAAACCTGACTTCTGTCAATAGGGTCACAATGCCTTCTGCATGACCTCACTAAGCTCTGCCTCTGCCCATTGATATGACCCCTAATTATGTGGTCACTGGAGCTGCTTTCAGGTGTCCTTGTCCCAAGGGACATACAGCACACAGCCTGTGGAGGGTGGAGGAACCAACTGCAAGGTGGGTTTCCAGTAGGGCCAACTGGTTTTAAATAAGGGGTGGGAGGCAATAAAGAGGCTTGCTTTCAGGGTGTAAGTGTAGGAGACAGGAATGTAGACAACAGATTTCAGCCTCCACTTTACTTTCTAGTGGTATTATTATTATTATTATTATCAGTAGTATTATCACCATCATTATTTGCTGTGGTATGAGTGTTTGTGTCTCTCCCCCAAAATTCATGCTGAAATCTAATCCCCAATGCAATAGTATTAAGAAGCGGAACATTTGGGAAGTGATTAAGGAGCACTGACCTTTACCCACTTGGCCCACCATGACCCACCTGATGCAGACTTTCCCCCTTTGTTAGGGAAGTGCAATTCAGACAACCTTTTATGCACGACCCTGTTCATTCTCTGAACCTCAAGCTCTATTGCTGTCAAACACACAGAACTAGTTTATCTCACTAGAGATGTGTTCCTTTATTCAAAAAATATTATCTTTCTTTTTTAGCAAGAAAGACTGTAAAATAAGCAAAAGTTTTGATTGTGGATAGTTCAAATCCCAGCTCAATCACTAGTTGTATAACCTGCATTGACTTGCTCAGAGAAAATATCTATCTCATATAAAAGTTATGTCAACTAAGATACCACTTTCAAGACTCATGGTACGTGATAGGTGTTCAAGAATGTTCATTCTTACTGGAGTGACAGAGGAGTTTCTATATTATTTTATTAAATTATGTAAACTTAAGTTATGCTAACATTTAATAAGTGAAATTCAGTGTGTTCCTACAATTTTAGGCCTTATCTACGACCATCTTTCTCCCACACCCAAAATGGCCAAAGTTTCCCTACCAGCCTCTAATTCCATGGGCCCTAAAAGGCAAAGTTGTCCTTATTAAGTTTTAAATTTTAGGGATTTTTTTGAGACATTCCAGGCTTTATGGAGGAAAGTAGTATCTTGTGTGATTTCAGGTATCCAGAAGTTGACTTAAAAGTTCCTCTTACAGGTTAGGTTCATTTGCATTTCTCTAATGACCAGTGATGATGAGCTTTTTTTCATGTTTGTTGGCTGCATAAATGTCTTTTTTTGAGAAATGTCTGTTCACATCCTTTGCCCACTTTTTGATGGGGTTGAAACTCTTGTGGTGATCCTAGTTAAAACACAACTCTGTGTGGATAGGTATTGGGTAGCAATTGACTCCTCCTAAGATTTTTTTTTTTCCTGAGACAAACAGTAGGAGGTTGACACTATAGCCATCACCAAATAAACAGGAGACACTGGAGCTTTGAAAGGTTGAATTATTTGCACAAGATCACTCAGTTGATGAATGGCAGAGCAAAAGTTTTGAAACCAGGGTTATCTGACTTTAGAGCTCTTTTATTCTTAGGTACAAAAAAAAATTGTCTCTATTTTTGCAAAGACCACAGCTTACATCAGAGCTTGGCTGATTTCTCTGATGTCTACATCTCATCAACAATCTACCTTTTGGCTTCTCAACACATACTGATTATTAATGTAGGGTGACCACTGTTAGAGAGGTCGAAAGGTATGCATCCCTGAGTTTCCTCCCTGCCTTCCTTCCTTCTTTTCTTCCTTCCTTCCTGCCTTAGTCCATTTGGGATGCTATTAAAAAGTAATATAAACAGGGTGGCTTATAAAGAGCAGAAGTTTACTTCTCACAGTTCTCGAGGTTGGAAGTCCAAGATCAAGACACCGGCATAGGTGTCTGGAGAGAGCTCGCTTCCTTCTCTGTGTTGTTATGTGGTGAAAGGTACAAACGAGCTCCTTCAGGCCTCTTTTATAAGGGCAGCAATCCCATCACAAGGGCTTCAGCTCCACGACTTAATCACCTCCTCAAAGCCCGCACCTTGTAATATCATCACCACTTTGGGGGTTGGCATTTCAACAGATGAATGGGGAGACACAAATATTCAAACATTCAGGCCACAGCACTTCCTTACCTCCTTCCTCCCTCTGTCAATTTATTCATTCATGTATTGATTCTTTCATTCAAGTTTCATTTGTTTAAACAAATACGTGAGTACCTCGTCTCTGCTAGGTACTTCTCAGGGGCTGAGGAAGTAAGGTAATCAGACAGTGCCTGTTACTTTAGAAGCTCACAGTGTAGAGAAGAAGAGAGATGTAGAAACAATATAAAGCAACACAGATGTGGAGGGGAAAGAGAGAAGGAGGAATTTCAGTGTTTTACCGTGTATACTTTCTGCTGTTTAATTCCTTTACCATAAAAATGCATTGCACTACATGATTAAGAAACTCTTTGGCCCCTAATGTGTCACCTAGTTGTAATCTATGCAGAAGTTTGACATGGTAAGAGCCTGCCTAGAATTATCGCTTTTAACCAGGTAGCAAAAAAAAAAAAAAAAAAAAAATCAAACATTGAACTCAACCAAGGAAAAAATGTAATTTCCATTTACAGAATTTCTTCTCCTTTTTTAGCTTCTAAAATGGGTGGTTTTCCAAAAAACCAAGTGCTCTCATTTATAAGTGGGAGCTAGGGTATGAGTACAAAAAGGCATACAGAGTGATATGATGGATTTTAGAGACTCAGAAGGCCGCAGGGCTAGGAATACAAAACTACCTATTAGGTACAATGTACTCTACTCAGGTGACAGGTGTACTAAAATCTCAGAATTCACCACTATGTAATTCATCCATGTAACAAAAAACTATCTGTACCCCAAAAACTACTGAAATTTGAAAAGAAGAGAGAGAATTTAACCTCTCCTTAATGATTCATGTAGCACTTTCAGATCTTGAAATAAGGTAATGTCAGTGGTATTAAATATTGGTTAATTTAATCCATAGATGTGTGGAAAGAGGCAGTTGACAGAAAGTAATCTTGCATGAATTCAAAATGCAATTTTAATCAAAACGCAATTTTAAAATAGCTGCCCTTACATGGTCTGGCATTAAAAATAAACTTTTTTATAGAATGGAAGAAATAAAAAATGTTTAAAGGGTGGTTTTCTTTATATTTCCAAAAGGAAAGTTGATAGATGCAGAGACATGAAATGAATGAGGATAAATGAATAAATGGATGAATCCTCAATATCACTATTTTATAATAATTTATTCTGGGGAAAAAAGGCACCAAACCTCAGAGCCATAAGCAGAAATGAAAATCCACCAGAAAATGCAAAATGATTGTGAAGACTTTCTATTTGAATAGGAGGAGACTTGGATCTGTAATCATGAGTCCATAGATGGAACATTCTCAGGTTACACCCATGCCATAATTTGAACATTTGAATCAGGAATGCAAGCTTTTTCTCTCTAGATGAATTGTTGTCGTTGTTGTTGTTCTTCTTCTTTTTAAATTTTGCAGTGATTTACTTTGAGTGGAGTCATTTGCTCTTGAGAAGAAGCATCACCACTAAAGGATGCTTTATTTTATTTCTGAAAGGCATTTGCAGGTAGCTCAGCAGATCTGTTTTGCCACTTTTGTATCACGCCCTTGTGTGCTTAGCCACATACATGTAGAAATTGGCTAAAATGAAACAAAAGTGCAATAAACTGCTGCTTCTGGATTTAAGTATTAGTTACCCAAAATTATTTCAAAAAAGATCCATTTACTCTATGTATGTTCATTTTTTTAAAATTTCAACTTATTTTAGATACAGTAGGTACATGCGCAGATTTGTTACATGGGAATATGGTATTATGTGGTGGTTTGGAGTATGGATCTCATTACCCTGGTACTGAACATAGTACCAGATAGGTAGTTTTTTAACCCAACTCCTCCCTCCACCCTCTAGTAGTTCACAGTGTCTATAATTCCCATATTTATGTCCATGTCTGCTCAATGCTTAGCTCTTATTTATAAGTGAGAATGTGCAATATTTGGTTTTCTATTCCTGTGTTAGTTTCCCAGCTGAATTCAAACTCATTCCCAGATCACTTGTCCTCCTCAATTGATGTACACTGAAGAAAGAGCCACCTTCAGGCTGTAAGGTCATCGTATAATCCTGACCACTCATTTCCCATCATGACACTGCTGTTCCTTCTCTTTCTCCTTCTTGGATGTCTGATACAAACAGCCTCAGGTAAGCTACAAGTCCACCTGGAGGATGATGAAGTGGATGCCCTTGGAGCTGACGTAGGCCAAACTGATTGATCAGCCAAGGAAGCACTGAAATATGGAATAACTGAACAGCTGCATAGCTGAGAAAAACACAGCATGTACAACAAATTTCATTTTACAAATCAGGAGAGAGAAGCTTAAAGAAATTTAAAATTTTTTCCCAAGATTACATTCATCTAGTTGTTGCAATAGATACCAGACATAACTAACAATTGTGATAGATAACATTAATAGTAGGCATCACAGCTTACAAACCATTTCCATGTGAATCAAAGCAATGGCAACGACAACACTAATACTAATAACAAATAATGCTGACCACTTTCTGTTTACCAGACATCACGGCAAAGATGTGTTGTGTTTTTTTTTTTTTTTTTTTTTTTTGTTGTTGTTGTTTTGAGACAGAGTCTAGCTCTGTAGGCCAGGCTGCAGTGCAGTGGCACAATTTCAACTCACTGCAACTCTGCCTCCTGGGCTCAAGCAATTCTCCTGCCTCAGCCTCCAGAGTAGCTGGGATTACAGGCATGCGCCTCCATGCCCAGCTAATTTTGTCTTTAGTAGAGATGGAGTTTCTCCATGTTGGTCAGGCTGGTCTTGAACTCCCGACCTCGGGTGATCTGCCCCCCTCAGCCTTCCAAAGTGCTAGGATTACAGGCGTGAGTCAGGTGGCTTTCTCAAGTGCCAGCAGTGACAGTGGTGAGCTCGGTAGATAGGCATGTCCTCAAGACCCTGGGAGGCATGTGTAGCATCAGCAATTGCAGTAGTCATAGCAGGTCAACTCTCGTGACCCCAGATGGCATGTGCAGACACCAACAGTCATGGCAACATGATGGACAGAGTAGTCCTCAGGCTTTCACCTGGTGCAAATATGTGGGCACTGGTGACAGCTGTGATGGCAGGCTGGGAAGTCCTATCCTTAAGCTCTCAGGAGACACACAGGTACTTGATGGTGATAGGCATGGTGGATTAATCCCCAGGCTCCCAGACAATGTGCACAGGCACCACCAGGCTGGGTGGGCTCATACTCAGTTCACAAGAAGGCATGCACAGGTGCCAATGACAGACAGCAGTGTGGGTTGATCCCCAGCCTCCTGGACAACGACCTTGGGTAGTGGTAGTGACAGCAATGGGTGGGATGGGCCTGTGCTCTGGCCCTGGAATAGTGCTCAGGCAGGTGAGTCCCCAGGTCCCCTGAGGATGCCTGCAGGTGTGCAGTGGCCCTGCTCCTGGGGGTCAGGATTGCTGTCAGTGTCAGTGGTCCTGGGAAGGTGACTCTCCACTTGAGAAGAGTGCCTGCTTCAGCTCCCTTTGTTCTGGGGGCAGCCTCCCTAGTGAATGGCACAGCCAGTTCCCTGGAGTGTAGGACACTGTGTAGGCTAGAGTGATGGGGACCAAGCTACACTGGTGAGTTCAGCTGGTATTGTGACTCTGCAGGCCTCTGGATGGACATGAGGGAATGTCACTGAGGGTCCAGAGATGTGGAGATGCAGGGGCTGTTGGGCCCCAGGGCAGGATGTAGTCTTTTGGGGGCTGGGCTCTCAAATTGGCATTGTGCCACAGCTGCCTGTGTCTGGGGGCAGGTGCAGACGATCCAGTGCCAACTCCTTCTCTGGGACAATGACCATCACCTAGACTCCAGGCAGCTCCCTATAGCAGTCTCAGGGCCTGCGAGGGCTGAGAGACTGTCCCTTGGCTAGGATTGCAGTGTCCACAGTGGGAATATGGACCACTGGGGCTCTCTTTTTTACCTTTTCACCACACTGGAGAGCCTGTCCTGGCTTTAAGCTGATTCTGGCTGGGCAGCTGCTTCATTTTCCTTCCTTCCATACCTCAGAGATTCCTCATCACTTTGCTGCTGAATTCTAGTGCCCTCTTTCATGCCCTCTTCAAGGTATGATTATCTACTTGCTGTCTTGGTCTTTCTTTGGGAGGACACAGTGCCTGGTACCTCTAGTCAGCCATCTTGAAGACCGCCTCCTAGCAATGAGAGGATAATATTCTATGTGACAGCTTTAATATACGTGTCCAAACTGCTTCTTTTCTAAGAAATAAATGTTATATAGTGCAAAAATATATTAAAGGGACAGTTGGTGATGCAGTTTCAAGAGTGCACTGAGGAAAACTTGGCACTTCCATAGGGTTGAGTTGGTTGGAATATATCTCAATCTCCGAGATTTTGAACCCAATGTTTTGAACTTTTTGAGATTTCGAGTAGTCCATGTGACATAACTTAACATTGTTTCTTGGCCAAATCAGGCATAGTGAAAAATAAAATCCAGCTAACATACTTTTAAATATCTTGATTCTATACTCTTTCAATGACCAAGGGGAGGCCCCCCACTACTTTACACAAAAAAGAAAACTCTATGAATGAGAATCTCTTCACACAAAGCCACTAAAGTTGTGTCTAAATGGAGGAAAATTGTGACAGGTGGTAAAAGCACTCAGTGGCTGTTGTAGGCAGAATAATGTCCCCTCTGTCTCCCGCCAAAGCTATCCACATCCTAACTCCTGGGTCCTGTGAATGTGCCACCGTGTAAGCAAAGGGGAATTGAGGTTTCCTGTGAAATTAAGGCTGTTAATCACCTGACCTTAAAATAGGGAGATTATCTTAGATTATCCAGGTGGGCCCAATGTAATCATGAGTCCTAAAAAATGGAAGAGTGGGGAGAAGATGAATTCAGAATGATGGAATGTGAGGACTCAACGCTCCGTTGCTGGCTTTGAAAATGTATGAAGGAAGCTATGGTGCCCAGGAGTAACCTGCCATTGCTGGGATAAAGGTGCAGGAAGAAAACTGCAGAGCTTCCAGAAGAAAGCTCAGCCCTGCTGACACCTTGATGTTGGCCCACTGAGATCCATCTGAAACCTGCAGCCTATAGAACTGTCAGATAATGCATTTGTGTTGCTTTAAGCCACTAAGTTTGTTGTAATTTGTTATAGGAGCCGTAGGAAGCCAATACAGTATTTTAAAAGATGGAAGAAAATGCTGAATGATTATGCCCAGTGAAAGCTGGGAAGCAAAGGAATTCCCTGAATCTTGGCCAGGCATACATGTACAGACCCAGGGAATTGCCTCCGAAAAGGGTGCTGAAAAAATTGCCTTTAATCTGAGTGCAACTCTTTTTATAATTTAGATTTCTGGTGAAGTCTGGTTGACGTGATTGTGCAATTTTCCCATGTGCTGCACCTTTATCAGGGAGAGACAGACCCCCGCAAGGCTGCATGGAATAGGATGGCGCATTTTCCTAGTAAAAAAGGGGAGTGGTCTTCCCACATGCAGGGTGAAGGGTTACAGTGCTAGACAAAAGCAATGGGTATGATTGAAAGTTCCCCCACCCTGCTGTATGTCATTTTCAACTAAGAGCTCATCTAGATGGGATAGAAGGATACTGGAAACCAAACAGTAATCAAGTCATAACATGTAATATAAACTTTTTTTTTTTTTTTTTTTTTTTTTGAGACAGTGTCTTACTCTGTCACCCAGGCTGGAGTGCAGTGTCGGGATCTCGGCTCACTGCAGCCTCCACCTCATGGGTTCAAACGATTCTCCTGCTTCAGCCTCCTGCGTAGCTGGGATTACAGGTGCCCGCCACCATGCCTGGCTAAATTTTTGTATTTTTAAAAGAGACAGGGTTTCACCATGTTGGCCAGAATGGTCTTGATCTCCTGACCTCATGATGCACCCACCTTGGCCTCCCAAAGTGCTAGGATTACAGGCATGAGTCACCGCACCCAGCCAGTAATATAAACTTTTAAAAGAGGTTTTGTGCTGGTTGGTTTTGGTTTATTCTTTTTTGAGGATTCAATAAAAATCCCTGTGAGAAAAATGGAGAGAGGGAAAGGGAGACAGGGAGACAGGGAGAGGGAGAGAGAAAAAAGAGAACCTAAAACCTCCAGAAAACAACAGGCTTCAGTCCTTTTTGTGTGTAGTGCTCTCAATTCTTGGTTGATGCCCCAGAGGCAGGCAGCAGGGTCGGCTATTTAAACATCTCCCTACATGGATTTCTGTTTCGAGGCAAAAGTCCCGACAGGAGCTATTTGGACGTTCACAGATCTCCTTGAATTTGCCCTTGGCTACATGCAGAAGGGGTTATTGTAACCATTCATCAGTCTTTCTTTACTTTGTATTGAATTACATGGACGTAGGGGGCAGTGCCTGAAAATAATCTTGTGTGGATTTGTGTGTGTGTCTGTGTGTGTGTGTGTGTGTGTGTGTGTGTTATTTGATTTCTTAAACACTTAAAAATCTGCTGCCACACAAAAATTTGGATTTTTTGGTGTTCTTGAAAAATCTGAGAATATTGGGTGCACCTACATGACAAAAGGCTGGAGGTGAGTAGCCTGCTTCCCTTTACAAGTTCTAGAGCATACAAGTTTCAGTTTATTTCTTCCTTATTGTCTTCTAACACTGATGGGAGATGTCAGCCTTTTAAGAAAATATAATGTCCTGTACTATGGATTTTCCTGGAGTGAAAGAGAAGAAAATCTCTTTTGGATCAGCTGTTTTTATTCCTACACACACACACACACACTCTCTCTATATGATAGATTATAATAGATGTATCTTTCAAAAGTAGAACTGAAATATAGACCTAAAAGATAATATACTTCAATTGTTAGAGAGGATATTTTTCCTGTGGAAGGGAACAATATTCCTATGTGTTTAATACATAAATATATCTGTGCCATTACTTGTTACACCCTGAGACTTCACTCACTACTCATATCTCTGGCACTGGTCTTTGAGGTTGCAATTTTTCTCTAGAAACCATTGCATATATTAAGAGTGAAACATTCAAGGTCTTCTTAAAGGCTCAAAAACTATACTTGTTGAAAATATTGAATAGTATTTCATTTATGTCCTAAGATATCACTGCTCTGGGGATAGGCCACACACTCTGAGGTACTGAGTTTGAAAAGTGTTTTATTTCTGAGCAGTCTTTGTATGTAACACAGAGCACCTTTTCCATGACAACTTCTTGGCAATAAGAGAAGTATAAAAACCAGCACCTTTTTTTTTTTCTATTCTGGAACACAAAAGCCAATTCTAGAATAGCTTTCAATCAGTACAGCAATTTTAATAAACATTCAATAAATGCCTATTTAATTGAACTGAAATCCAAATGTATTAGATTCCATTTAACTTTTCAATGGTCACAAAGCAGTTAGTGGATTGATGTGAAGACCAAATATATGCAACATCATATTTATATCTATAAGGCAAATTGGGAAATAAAGGTCATGCCTTTCTGAAGACAATGGTAATTCTAAATGTTGACCACTTGGTAGAAACAAGCTGAAATCTGAGTTTTTTGATCCCTGAGCTTTCCATCTCTTCCTTTTATCTGTAAGTAGTCAGCTACTAAGTATAGTAGTACCCAAGCCCACTGGCCTTGTGCTAAAATTGGCCCTTTGCAGCTGGAAGAGTCATAAGAGATTAGTATAGTGTAGAGGATGAACCACTGACCTGTCTTGTGATATGTGATAAATCACCCTTGAACATCCCTCTGTGGTAGTACTTCTTGCATTCTACTATGGGTGGCGTTTTCCCATCTGACCTCAATTCTTGATAATGAATTTCTTGAGGGCAGGAATCATATCTTATTCTCCTCTGTATGTATATTCCAGAATCTGATTAAAGTCTTGTCTTATAATAGCTATTCAGTAAATGATTGTGGAATAATTGATTATAATACAGCTATTTTCTAACTTGCAATATGTTTGTGTGGAAATTTGTTGTTACTCTCGGTTCACAGGTCTTTGAATCATGTGTACTATTTTACTATACCTGATTCTATTGAGCATTATATTTTCAAACCACTTTTCAAGAAACTTAATACAGAACTACCATTTGACCCACTAATCTCACTACTGGGTGTATATCCAAAGGAAAGTAAATCAGTCTTGTAAAAAGACCTAAATTTGTATGTTCATCACAGTGGTATTCACAGTAGTGAAGGTATGGAATCAAACTAGGTGTTCATCAACAGTGGATTGAATAAAGAAAATGTAGTACATATATGTCACGGAATACTATGCATCCATAAAAAGGACCAAATTGTGTCCTTTTCAGCAACATGGATGCAGCTGGAGGACTTTATTCTAAGCAAATTAGCTCAGGAACAGGAAGCCAAATGCCACATATTCTCAGTTATAAGTGGGAGCCGAGCAATGAGTGCACATGGACATAAAAATGGGAACAAGAGAGATTGGGTCTTACCAGGAGGGGAGGGAGAGGGAGTAAAGTCTGAAAAGCTACCCTTTGGGTACACCCTACCTGCGTGACAGAGTTATTCATACCCCAAACCTCAATATCACACAATATACCCATGTAACAAATCACACATGCACTCCCTGAATCTAAAATAAAGGTTGAAATTATTTTTAAAAATTGAAATTACAAAAGGCTTTTTAAAATTATTATGTACCATAGTTCATTTGCAAGAATTCAAATAACATTAGGGATTTTAAAAATCTTTCGTTTTCATTTGTTCTTTGCTTGTGAACCTTGTGTATTGCATATTGTGGACACTATGTCTTTTCCAGCCATTTGCTTTAGGAACAAAAGATAGAGTTACAATGAACATAGGCTGTCTTGTCTAGTCACTTACCTTAAAGATGAGGAAATAAGCTGATGGAAAGGAAGAAACTTGCCCAAGATTACCCAGTGATCGAGTGAGGCAGATGATAGGGAGAGCACTAAGGCTTGGTATTCTGAGCCTCATTCTGTTTTCCACTCTTGCCCTCTCTCTGTGTCCTCCTCTCCTCTCTAGCCTTCTACAAAAAGTTGGCAGTTCTGCTTCAATGTCTACTTAAGGACATCCAGAGGAGATGCCACCTTTCATTAGGCTGCATTCTTTAGCACCATCCTGTGTTTTCTTCTCCAGTCTTGTTGCATCCCATTTTTGACTGTGAGTCGTGCTTCCGCCTGTGCTGGTCTATCCAATTAGTTGCTTCTATTTTTATTGAGTGACAGTGAAAACAAACAAACCAAAAAATTTGTTTATCCAAATTTGGAATTTTTAAACCTTGATTAAAAGAATTGATTTTCTGGGGTTATATATGTAAGACACATATTTTAAAATATTTTTAACTAATTAAAAAAAATCAAACCCATGTATTTAGCCAGGGTGACTATTTAACAAGTACTAGTGAGACAGGAATTCAGTAATGCCACAGGGATAATAATCTTATGTCAGTCCCGGATGTTGTGTGCTACCGAGTTAATATGATTGGATATGGTATCACCTTTTTTCAGGCTTTAGAAAGTCAAACAAAGGAACAGCACAACAGAACTCTAGGGTGGGATGTATAGGGAAAGCCAGGATATTAAAACAAAGTGTTGACTCTGACATTTACCCCACTGTTGGGAAAAGCACTTCAGTTTCCAGGGCCTTATTTTTTTTCTCTATAAAACAGCAAAAATAGAGGCAATAAGTTGCTTATTCATCCTTGAATACACATGTTCAGGAGTTCCAGAAAATTTTCGAATCTACTTTGGGTGTCTGGTAACCACCTTGGGCAAATCCAAGAAGTCCTATACACACTTCTCCAAAGCATGTCTGTGCAAGGGGCCTTATACCTGTGATTAATGTTCGCATGCTGAATGCAGTAGGCTATGCTCTGGTGTGGGATCATCCCTGGTTCCTGTGTTTAAATTCTACATTACAAGACTAGATGCTGAGAAGGAAGAGGGACAGCCAGGGATGGAGATGGAGCCTTAAGGGGAAAAGTCAAGCTCCAGGGACCAACAGTATCGGGGAGCAATAGGTTAAAGATTTCTTAGATTATAGTAATATTTTCAAAGAGACTTCTTCCACCAATCCCTTCTGTCTGAGCCTACCACAGCTTTGGCATAGCTCTTATGCCAGTTCTTAGGATAACTGACTTTTGCCGAAAGAGGAGCTTTGGAGACAAAAATTTAGTAGAATAATGCCTGATTTTTAATTTTTGAGGTCTAGTAACTGCTAGTAAACTTGCCTAATTTGGAGATGGAATAAGAGGGTTTCAAAGACTTGAAACACCATTGACTTCATTTAACTGGGTTGCTATGGAGAATTAACGAATTAGATGGCTGCAGGCCTCTCAGCCAATGAGTCTTCCAGGTTTCCTATGAGACCCCCTTTTCTGGTCATAGGTGATGGTGATTTCTCTTTGAGTATTGAATCCCTGTAAGGTGTTAGGCACTCTACTCTTACCAAGTTTATTTTGTTACCTGGTAGAACTTGGCTCATAAAGAAGAAAATGGTGAAGAAGAGGACAGCAATCCTCATGGCTGAAGAAAGAAAAAAGTTTGGCTTCATTTCCAGGAGGCAGAGAAAACTTCCGTCTGTGGCTCTCTAGCAGCAGTGGAATGTCTCTGTTTGGATAATAAGAGTCTTTCTGTACCTCCTTAGGGATATTCATAGATAGAGGTGTTCTATGCACGCAAAATTGCTTTTATGGGAAGACTGAGAATCCTTTTTTTTTATTGGACAGCCAGTTCATTAGAATGATGTGGGTGCACAGTTTTGGCCAGAAAACCTTGTTAAATGGGGACATAAGCTACATTTTGGCAAAAGATGAAAGTTTATGAACAAACAACCATTTATATTGTTACAATAAATTAGACTGTGTTGAGAAACCAGTTGGTTTCATTAATGACCAGACATTTTGTTAGTGAACACTTCCCAGACTTTACTAGCCCTGCTAAGAATTAATCACCCCACTTGCTCCTGGTCTGAAACTCCAAAGTGCTTTGTTTATGTTACAGTACTTACTGCCTTGTATGTTAGATTAGTGAATGTATATTTGCCTCATCCACTTCTGTATGAACTTCTTGCTTGCTAGGACAAGGCTATATTCCTCAGAACTGAGGAGGGAGTTGAATCATGTGGCTATTTATTCTCAAATCCTCTTCACCAAGTGGAACAAAACAACAGCGAAAGACCACCGCATGTGGAGGCAGGAGGTTTGGATTTGGGTTCTAGATCTCTAGATCTATTACTAACTGGAGGTATGGATATAGTCAGGAAAATTGTCTTCCTTAGGTGCTTCCTCGATAGCACCTATAAAGGTCGAGATCTATTGGATCTAGATCAGGGGATTCTCAATCATTACTATGCAGAAAATCAACTGGGAGAGTTACTTTGCAATACAGATGCTTAGTTCCATCTCATGATATTTTTATTTTTTTTTTAATTGGTCAAGTATTTTTCATTAAATAATGTAAACTTTCTTAGTCTACATCTAACAAAACTGCCACCAGCATACAAATACATTGAATGATATTAGCAGCAGAATCTTTAAATAAAGTAACCATACACAACTATGAGGCCACCTTATTTTCATTGCTTATTATTTCATGCTATTTGTCACCATTGTCATCATAATCAGCCTCATCCTACATTGTTGAACACCCATCATGGACCATATGGCATAAACATTTTTCCTACTCATAAAGGAGCATATGTTCTCTATATGTATATAAAATTAATGTCTGAACAAAGTAGCTTAAACAAGGCAGAAGTTTGTTTCTCCCTCACTTAAATCTATAGTTCTACCTACCATGGCTAGTACAGATACCTGCCAAATTCATTAGGGATGCAGGCCCCTTCCAGCACTCTGTTCTGCTATAGTGTAAAAGAGGCTCTAGTTTGGCTGCTAAATCCCCACCTATCATTTTTGAATTCCAGGCAGCAGGTAGGAAAAAAGCCAAGAGAAAAAAACAAGGGAACATCTACCCCTCCTTTTAAGTTTTTTAACCAACCCCCTCTTGTTTTATTTTAACCGACTTTGTTGAGCGATGATTACATTTAAAAAGCTGTACATATTTAAGGTGTACATCTCAGTGAGCTTGGGGATAAGTATACACCATGAACACATCACTACCATCAAGATTATAACCTTATCCTTCACCTCCCTAAGTCCCCTCCCCTTTATTATTATTATTTTTTTTGGTAAGAAATATTGGTAAGAATACAAAATCTACCCTTTTAGCAAATTTTAAGTATGTAATACAGTATTCTTAGCTGTAAGCACTATGCTGTAAACGAGACCTCCAGAACTTACTTACGTGGTATATCTGAAACTTTGTGCTCTAACCACATCTACCCATTTCCCCAGCACCACGGCACCTGGCAACCACCATTCTACTCTCTGCTTTTGTGAGTTTGTCTATTTTAGATTTCAAACACAAGTGAAATAATATAGTAATTGTCATTCTGTGGTTGGCCTATTTCATATAACCTAATGCCCTCCAAGTCCATCCATGTTGTCACAAATGACAGGGTTTCGTTATTATGTAACACTGAACAATATTCCATTGCATATATGTATTAGCCATTTATCCTGATACTCTCCCTCCACCTGCCTCCCAACAGGCCCCAGTGTGTGTTGTTCCCCTCCTAATATCCATGTGTTCTCACCGTTCTGCTCCCACTTGTAAGTTAGAACGTGCAGTGCTTGGTTTTCTGTTCGTGGGTTAGTTTGCTGAGAATAATGGCTTCCAGCTCCATTCATGTTCCTGCAAAGAACATGATCTCATTCCTTTTTATGGCTGCATAGTATTCCATGGTGTATACATACCACATTTTCTTTATCCAGTCTGTCACTGATGGACATTTGGGTTGATTCCATGTCTTTGCTGTTGTGAATAGTGCTGCAATGAACATATGTGTGCATGTATCTTTATAATAGAATGATTTATATTCCTTTGGGTATATACCCAGTAATGGGATTGCTGGGTCAAGCGGTATTTCTGGTTGTAGGTCTTTGAGGAATCACCATACTGTCTTCCACAATAGTTGAACTAATTTACATTCCCACCAACAGTGTAAAAGTGTTCTTATATCTCAGCAGCCTCATCAGCAGGTAGTTTTATTTAAAAAATTTTTGAGAAACCTTCATACTGTTATCTGAAATGGACATAGTAATTTGTATTTCCACCACAAGTATACAAGGGTTATCTTTTCTCCACAACCTCACTAATACTTGTTATACATCTTTTTGATAATAGCTATTCTATCAGGTGATATTTCATGGTGGTTTTTATTTACATCCCCCTGATGATTAGAGATGGTAAGAATTTTTTTCATATATTTGTTGGCCATTTGTATCTGTTCTTCTGGGAAATGTCTACTCAGATCTTTGCATATTTTTTTTTTTTGAGATGGAGTCTCGGTGTGTCACACAGGCTGGAGTGCAGTGGCGTGATCTCGGCTTGCTGCAAGCTCCGCCTCCTAGGTTCACGTCATTCTCCTGCCTCAGCCTCCCAAGTAGCTGGGACTACAGGCACCCGGCACCATGCCCAGCTAATTTTTTGTATGTTTTTTTTTCCAGTGGAGACAGGGTTTCACGGTGTTAGCCAGATCTTTGCCCATTTTAAAAAAAAAATTCAACTTTTATTTTAGATTCAGGAGATGTATGTGCAGGTTTTTACACTGGCACATTGTGTGATGCTGAGGAGTATGAATGATCTTGTAACCCAGATAGAAAACATAATACCCAATAGATAGTTTTTCAGGCCTTTGTCCCCACCTTCCCTTCCCCCTCTAGTAGTCTCCAGTATCTGTTGTTCTGATCTTTACGTCCATGTGTAACCAATGCTTTGTTCTCACTTATAACTAAGAACATATGGTATTTGGTTTTCTCTTCCTGCATTATTTTAGAATAATGGCCTCCAGCTGCATCTATGTTGGTGCAAAGGACATAAATTTTTTATGGTTGTGTAGTATTCCATGGTGTACATATACTGTATTTTCTCTATCCACTGTAACATTGATGGGCATCTAGGTTGATTCCATGTCTTTGCTATTGCAAATAATGCTATAATAAATATATGAGTGCACACATCTTTATGGTAGAACAATTTATTTTCTTTTGGATACAAGGGTCAGTCCCCATGGCTGCTGTCAAGGGCCAGTGTTGAGTGCCTGCAGCTTTTCCAGGCTCAGGGTGCAAGCTGACAGTGGATCTACCATTCTCGGGTCTGGAGGATGGTGGCTGTCTTCTCAGAGCTCCACTAGGCAGTGCCCCAGTGTGGACTCTGTGGGGGTTCCAACGCCACATTTTCCCTCTGCACTGCTGTAGTAGACATTTGCCATGAAGTCTCCACCCCAGCAGACTTCTACTGGACATACAGGCTTTCTCATACATCTTTAGAAATCCAGGCAAAGGCTTCTGATATGGTTTGGCTCTGTGTCCCCGCCCAAATCTCACCTCAAATTTTACTCCCATAATTCCCACATGTTGTGGGGGGACCCAGTGGCGATAACTGAATCATGGGGGCAGTTTCTCCCATGCTGTTCTCGTGGTAGTGAATAAGTCTCACGAGTTGTGATGGTTTGATAAGGGGAAACCAGTTTTGCTTGGCTGTCATTCTCTCACTTGCCTGCTGTGATGTAAGACATGCCTTTTGCCTTCTGCCTCCCCCCAGCCATGTGGAACTGTAAGTCCAATTAAACCTCTTTCTTTTGTAAATTGCCCAGTCTCAGGTATACCTTTATCAGCAGTGTACTCCTGTACCTTGTGCACCTGCAGGTTTAATACCTCATGGAAATTGCCAAGGCTTGTGGCTTGCACCCTCTAAAGCGGTGGCCCAAACAATGTCTGGGGCCCTTTTAGCCATGGCTGGAGCTGGAGTGGCTGAGACCTAGATTGCTGTGAGCACTGTCCTGTGCTTGCACTGGGCCCAGCTCACAAAATGATTCTTCCCTCCTAGGCCTCCAGGCCTTTGAGGAGAGGGGCTGCCACCAGCCAAGGTCTCTAAAATGTCTTTGAGGCCCTTTCTTCATTTTCTTCTATTAGCATCTGCTTTCCTTTTAGTTACCCAAATTTCTGCAGCCTGCTTGAATTTCAGACAATACCAGTGGTCTTACAAGTACTACATGACCCCTATAACACTTCCTGACTTCATTTCTGCAATATATTTTATTTTTTTACATCATCATGAACATTGAAACTTTTTATATCTATTCGCCTTCCATTTGTTTTCAAGTCCAGTTTACCTCCAAAGAATTTTAGAATATAGAGTCTCCAGAAGACTCTAGTTTGTCTGGTTTCTTGTTGTATCCCTTGACTGCGAATGCTTTCTAGTACATATAATACACTCAAAAGTACTTATGATTAAAAAAAGGAATTAATGTTCATATTTTTCCTTCAAAATAGCCTTAACTCTTTGGTTTCCAACTTTATGTGAGGGTTTTTAGTAGTAGTCTCAAAAATCCAATCAGATTGAACAGGGAGTGTCTCCAGAATGAAGTTTTTGATTAGATTCAGTGTCTGTGCAATCAGGGCATGTCTCTTGGAATGTAGTGGTGATTCGGTTTATTAATTTTTTTTTCATATATAAGGGGAAGCCAATCAGAGGATGCATTTTCCCAGAGAAGGAGCATCTGAAGACTTTAAGACCTTGGGGAAAGAGTCTTGCTGCTTGCTTGTGGGACTTGCCTTGGAAGGTAGATAAGTTCACTGCATCCTCCAACTTTTTATTTTTGGTGAGTTCTCCAAGCACTGAGATGTGAACTGGCCTCATTCCCTTACAATGATACTGTTACCAGTAGAAGAGATTCCAGTTACTGGCAGCATAGCTGCATGGGTCCATAAGCAACTTCAGTCCTTGCCTCCTAGAAGAAAGAATTCGACCGAAGGACATACAGTGGAAAAAGAGACTGAGCAGTAAGTTTCAGAGCAGGAGTGGAAGTTTATTTAAAAAGGCTTTAGAACAGGAAGGAGAGGAAAATTCTCTTGGAAGAGACCCGAGCAGATGCCTGAAGGTCCAAGAAAGAAAAGAGAAGAGCCTTTAACCTTGATCCTGCGTTGGGTTTTCCTCTTTCCCGTGATTCTTCCTTTAGGGAGAGTTTCCAGCATGCACAGTGCTTTCCTTACCCTTTGAAATTGAGCATGCACGTTGTGTTTAGGGAGTTATATGCATGTCCATCTGAAGCTTTCTTTCCTTTTCCGGTGGAGCGTGCCCCCGGAAGATTATGCTTTGCCATTTTTGTCTCTTAACATGCACGCCCAAGAAGTTGCTTCTTCCTGGGGTCTGCATTTAACTCACATTTTTGATGTTAACAGGTGTAGACCATCAGGAAACGGCCTCTCTCTGGTGCTGCCTAATTATCATTTTTAGAGAGGAAATGTGATAATTGACAGGCCATCACCTGACATTTCTAGTGGGTAAGGGAAGAGCCCTCTCCTGCCCTGCTCATGCTCTTCTACCTGTAACAAGACAAGCCTTGTATATCATTAGACATTTGTCCCATCAAGGCAGCATCTCATTATTACATTTTATTGTGTGAATTGTTACTTCGCATTCTCATATTCTGTGTTCACTATTTGTGTGCCTTTTCCATTTTTGTTTTGACCATATCTCATTATTTTAACTGCCTCCTCCAAGATTCTAGATCTGTATTGGCCAAAATAGTAACTACTAGTCACATGTGACTATAAACTGTAAATAAATTATAATTAAATAACTAAATGGCATATCCTTAGTAGTAATAGCCAAAGTCGTGGCCAATCTAGAAATTCTGTAACTACATATGTGTGGTAGTTACTGCATTGGACAATGCAGATATAGAGAATTTCTTTCACCACAGAAAATCATGTTGGGCATGTTGGCTACCACTTATTTTTAAATTCTATTTGTGTGGTTTATAGTTAAATTATATTCTGCTTCTCTATATTCATTTCCTTTCTCAGATTTTCTCAAGCAATGTTTAAATTTCATTCATTTACCTTATTGAGGTAAGTACTTAGATTATTTTTTAAAAATAACGTACAGCAAATAATTTGTCCATGGATATTGTTTTAGCTTTATTGTATTGGTACTTTTACATACTATACTCAGGTATTATTATTTTTCATCATGTACTTTAAAAATTGCACCAAGTTTCTTTAAAATAGATTTCTCCCTTGATTTTCAGATGTTAGATTCTGTCTTCTATTGCTGTATTTTAATTTAATTTTATTTTATTGTATCTAAATATGTTGCATATTCCTTTTTTTAAAATGTGAGATTTTTCCTCTCTCCTGTTACACAAACTTTGTATGCAGTGTTCATTATGCACTTTAAAAATAAATGTTTTGTTTCAGGGCATGGTGCTTTCACACATAAAACCTTAGAATAATTTTAAATTCCATTCCACTTTCACCATTCCTGAACTGCTTTGAATATATTGGATGTTGGAAGCCATGAGAGGCTTGCAATCCCGTCAAGATAATAGGATTTTCCATTTATAGTGTAATCTGATATATATTCGTTTTGGTTTCATACTTTAAAAAAATCTATTCTCTTTTACTCTGTGGTGATCTTTGCTTTTCTATTTGTTCATTGCTAGAATGTGAGCTGCTGTTTCCCTAGCACCTGAGATGTCATTCAACATTGTATAGCACTGGTGTTGAGAAGTGAGAGAATCTACTAAATAATAGCACTTTTCGAGACTGCAGTTCTGAATTAAAGGAAGGGAAAGGACAGGCAAAACAATATAGACATCAGTTATTTTTACTGAAGATCTGTTGGAGAACATGGTTTTGTTGTCCAGGAACTTAAGACCTAATAATGCATTCCTAATACTTCACTAAGTTGTGTCTAAATAGCCATGAAAGGGCTAGGAAGTCACAAGTCGGCCTCTTAATTTTTACGGGTGTCCTTAAAATATTAAGGTAATATTGAGGATGCAGATTGGTTCCTTCCTCTTGACTTTTTAAGAGATCTGGGCCGGGCACGGTGGCTCACGCCTGTAATCCCAACACTTTGAGAGGCGGAGGCTGGCGGATCACCTGAGGTCAGGAGTTTTAGACCAGCGCGACCAAAATGGAGAAACCACGTCTAGTACAAAATTAGCCGAGCACGATGGCGCAAGCCTGTCATCCCAGCTACTCAGGAGGCTGAGGCTGGAGAATTGCTTGAACCCGGGAGGTGGAGGTTGCGGTGAGCCGAGATCGCGCCACTGCACTCCAGCCTGGGCAACAAGAGTGATACTCCGCCAAAAAAAAAAAAAAAAAAAAAAATAGAGAGAGACATCTGGAGGGAGATACTAAGCTGTGCAGGCTGTCATCTTGAAGTCACCAAATACATAAGTTGTTATTTCTGCTCTGGTGAAAAGTTTGTCAATACATTTTTTTCCATGAATTAATGAAAATTTTAGACCCATAACATAAGTTTTTAAGTTTCTCCTAAAGATTGCTTGTGTATGTATGTGTTTTAAAATATATTTAATCTCTACATCTTGAAATAGTTTTTATAGATTCCACACAAGAGTCCTTTATGAAATAAGTATGCTTTAACTTTCTTATAATATTTGTCCTTTTTTTGTCCCTGGCACAGTCTGTATATGACCAGTTAAATGACTTTTCGTTCATGTTTGGGTTATAATTACACACAAATATTCTCTAAAGCCCAAATCTTATTTTGATATTCGAGGAAGAGTTTACTTGGTAATAATATTAAGGGTTACAGCTGGTTTCACTGAAGCTTTGTCGGCATTCTCTAATATCTTATTTTTTTGAAGGAATAGCTGTTCTGCTTGAATTATAGACTACATAATACATGTACTGTCAGGTACATTCATGGAAGGGACAGGCAGATGGAGTCATATGTTACTGGAATCTTGATGAACAGATGTAGAAAATAGTCCAAGGAATAAGAAAAAAGTTGATAATGAAAAGTGCTTGTTGAAGTCTGTAAATGTGCATTAAATGTGGCAGTAAAAATAGACACAATGATGTTTGGGACCTGGGGTCTAAATACTGGAGTCCCCAGAATCATAGAGAACGTTGGTTAGGGGAGTAATTTTGTCAAAAAGCAAGAAGAGGCAGCGACAGGCAGAATATAATTAAAAGTATTGCTGGGTCATTTTCTAATTTTGTAATTTTGTCATATTTTTCAAACTCTGTTGATCATTTATTAAATTGGTAAATAAACTGTAATCAGCAGGGTTATTATGAGGGTTAAATAAGGAAATATATGTACATCTGTAAGCACAATGTCACAATTAATACAAAGTTACTCTTTTTATTTTTCCTGGACTTCATGTACAAATGGGTCAGTAAATTTTTTGTTTATGACACATAATTATCATTTGTACATAAAATATATTTAATTATTTTTATATTTTTAGCAGGGAAATAATACATGCATGTTTCCCCCTGTCTCAAACACATACATTCATATAAACATATGCACCTATATATCTACATATCTATGTACGAATGTATACATGGACATCGGTATTTCTCAGCAAATATGTATCATGATAATCAGAGATATTGCAACTAACAAAGACTAATATAAACCATGATTGCAAGAATTTTAGATACCACGTTAGTAAAATATCAGATTGAGCTGCTAAATTTCTCCCTCTCCTAAGTCATTTTGTATTTTCTGAGCATCCTAGAGGATTGTGACTGTATACACAGGAGAGAAACACCATGACTCGGGGTACTCCTGCTAATTTCTGATGCAGGAGATTTTAAGGGCTATATTAGCAGGATGGGAGTGTTGACCCTCTAAGTGAAATAAATCCCTCAATTGATTATCCCCATCCTAAAACAGATTTTTTTTTTTGAGACAGAGTCTCGCTCTGTCACCCTCGCTGGAGTGCAGTGGTGGGATCTCGGCTCACTGTAATCTCTGCCTCCTGGGTTCAAGAGATTCTCCTGTTTCAGCCTCCTGAGTAGCTGGGATTACAGGCAAGCACCACCATACCCAGTTAATTTTTGTATTTTTACTACAGACGGGGTTTCACCATGTTGGCCAGGCTAGTCTCAAACCCTTGACCTCAGGTGATCCACGTGCCTTGGCCTCCCAAAGTGCTGGGATTACAGGCGTGAGCCACCACACTCCACCCTAAAACAGATTCTTACTTGATTATTTCCACGTTCCAAGGGGAAATACAAAAGTCAGAGTTGAGTGAAAATAAAAGTGGAGTAAGGCTTCAGAAGGCTGTGGTGGGTGTTGGAGAAATGTTGCTAGGGCATAAAGCTAGGATAATAAAATCTGAGAAATCCCAATGTTTATCTATAGGTGGAAATCATATTCCACATGTGGATGGAGTCAGGGATCCCTGTGTTTTAAAATCAGTGAGGGAATTGAATATCTGGACTTGTGCCAATTAACATACAAAACTCCGTGCTTTTGATGTTCTCATTCACAAGATATCTGTGTTCCTTGTTTATTAGCAACCATAGTCATAGGCTTCTTAATTTTGACCACGGGAAAAGAGGAGAGGCCTCTGCATGTTTGTGTCTGTTGGTTAGGCTGTGGTGCAGCTGGTGTCACACTTCAGTGAAAGTCTGGCTTTTCATCACAGATTGATCTGAAAATTGTGCACAAGACTGGTGTCTCACATGTTCTTTCTCCAACCTCAGCTTTTCTTAGTGCCTAAAGTGTCTGCAAGTGGAAATCCAGAGGAAGACAGAGAGAAACTGAGTTCCTGACAATGCATTCACTAGTGAGTAGGGGATGCCTCTTTCTACTGAAATTATACCCATATTGCTGGCAAATGGGCAGTTTTCTCCAATTTGCATGGGTGTTTCATTTTTATTCTTTTTTTGTTTGTTTGTTTTTATGATGTAAAATCCACCCTGCCTGGGTGTTCCAAATGCAATCAGGAGGCTTTCAGGTATCTGGCCCCCCATTAAGTTTTCTCAGGACTCTAGGTTGGGTATCGTGTGTCAAAGACTCCGAAATTATCAATATAATTTCTAATATTACACTACTTTATTCCAGCCCCTATTAAGGCTATTTACAAAAAAAGATATGAGAGGTTTCATTTATATATTTCTTTTTCTTCTATCCATCCTATAATCTCATAGGGAAATAATTGACCCATTAACTATACTGTTGCCTGAAATAGACTTAGGATTGTGATTAATGCAGGCGATAGAGATGAGTGAAGAGCAGAACATCACAGCCCAACAATGAGTCTGATGTTCTAGCAGCTGAGTTCAATAAATCCAGTGTGATAGGACTTGGACAAGAGCTGTGCAGTGTTGAGGGAAAAGAAGAGTTTGATAAAATGTATTTGAGCTTTTAAAAACTTTGTGAAAGGACAACTAAAGAAGTCATTATTATTCTTATCCCCATTCACTTTACCTTTTGGTAATTAACCTTTTTGCCTTCTGGTAAGTAAAAGTAACATATAAGAAATATAATTATTTAATTATGGTTGCACACTCAGAAGAAGGAATATAGTAGATAGAGTACAATTTAGGGTTCTGTGGAAATGCTTTATAAGGGCTGGTTAGAAAAAAAACAATGAAGAGGCTTTTTAAATCTTTGAACAAGTGTAGTGAGAAGGTAAATTTAAAAGAGAAACGATGATAACTGATGTTTGGATTGCCGAGAGAAAGTTGAGAACAGAAGGCTTCATATCACAGGAATCATCGGACTAAGATTTCCTCAGTATAGCAGCCTCAGCGGTCTTGTCTTGTGCTGCTAGACTGTCTTTAAGCCTTGTCATGAATACCTGAATTATATAACATTAGAGAGACTATATATATGAATTGAATCCTATATTCTGCATAAAGCTTGTTCAGTTCTGAAGAATGCTGGAGTCTGGGTCATTACTTTCTAACTTTTAATGAATAAGGGACCAATGACTTATATTTAATAAATATTTGCTAGATAGGAAACACGTTTTCTATTAGTTCATTAGATTATTCAAAACACATCATAGGTCTTTTAACCATTTGATTGGTGAGAAACCTGTGGTTCATCTGGAGAAATAATTTATTTCATCAGAGTCATGCTTAAGAAGTAGTAAATCATGGTTATTTGCCTTGTGACAAATCTGTAATTTACTTGAAATTCATGGTAAATTTCATTTTATTTATGAATGTTCAAGTGAAAATTTTATAATCAGTTATGTAGAGGTGATTAACACATTACTGAAAAATATCTGGGTTATATTATGCCACACCTCATGTGATATTTCTTTATAGTAAACTTTAATGGATTCAGAGTGGGTATATCTCTGTGAGTGAATCTGAAAGGCAGATACCAGCTTAGTACTGAGAATGAACTGGCTGGAACCCAAAACACTGAGTATTCTGCATACCCAGCTGCTAGCTATGTCATCTCAGCCTTCCTCTTCCGGACATTGAAAGGAATTTCTCTGTCTAAACTAAAATGTCTGTGATGTTTTAGAAGAAAGTGACTTTTGAAGATGTAGCTATTGACTTCACCCAGGAAGAGTGGGCCATGATGGACACATCCAAGAGAAAGCTGTACAGAGATGTGATGCTGGAAAATATCAGTCACCTGGTGTCCCTCAGTGAGTCCCTCAACATTCATGTACATATGTAGAGACACATTCACTCATTCATTCAATAAGTGTTAAAACAGCTTCCCCATATCTCACTCTAATCTCTTCTCTGATTCTCTCACAGATCTCATCTGAAAAAGGTTTGAACTCTCTAAATCTATCTGAAATAAATATCTTTCTTTTTATTTTATTTTATTTAGTTTGTCACTCAATTAGAATGTAGTCTTGACAAGGATTTCATGGTTTCTTTGGTACTCAGTCTCTAATACTCACAACAGACCTGGGAACTTAATGAATATTTTCAGTGTATTAAATTAAATATTTTCTAAATAACTCTTCTGCTTTAGTCTATGCTTAGGCTGAGACCAATTAGGGAAAACAATAGCAATATCTTTTCCATATAGAACACCAATTATTTTTGTAAATCGAATGTTTTTTTTTGTTGTGCGTGAGAATAATAGTAAACACACTGTGCAGAGATATAATTACTCTCTTTCTGAAAAGATTGTGTATTATGCATTGCGTCTTGGAACTTAGGCATGGACTCAGCATTCATAGGTCCTGACTGTTTTGAATTTCCTTTTCCTGATGGACCTTTGGTTTGGATTTATTTTGTAGTCTCATATTGGGTCAGAAAAATCCTGGGGAGTTTTCTGTGTTCTAGGTCTTGTGGCCTGAGCTGACCTTCACTGTTTTTATTCTTCCTTGATAGCCTGCATTACACTTGGTGATAATGCACATTTATTGACAGTGAACTCAAAACACATGTATTCTTTCCACTAACAGGGTACCAGATAAGCAAAGCCTATATAATTTTGCAGCTGGAGCAAGGAAAAGAGCTGTGGCGGGAAGGAAGAGTATTTCTTCAAGACCAGAATCCAAGTAAGCAACAGGGTCCTGTGCTCTAATAGGAGGAGGTGCTTTGTCAATGAATAATATCAGTTGAATATTAATTAGTGGTTTTATTAAATGAGTGATAATTTCTAAAATGTAGGTTAGGCTACTGGAGCAGAATTCCTTAGATGTTATTATCATTTTGTTCATGTGTCAGATGCTACTCTTGTGTCCTCTTTTTTTTCTTTTCTTTCACTTTTGGGAAAAGGATAATTCATGTACTTGGCTGGGGTTAAACTTTCATATGCTGACTCTTTTCCTGATACCCCTGTGAAGACTATCCCTCTTTTTACCTGCCTGATATCTCATCTCCATTTTAACTCTTTTCACATTTTAATTTTAAAAATATTTTCTAATTGCTGACACTGTACAATCTATTTCTTCTATTCAAGTAGTTTCTTCATTTGACACACTTGCCACATCTACGTGTCAATTTTTGAAAAAAGTACGTGGGCCTTGGGGCTTTTCAAACAATTTTATTACCATAATACCAATGTAACAATTTATTTTTCAATTATTTCAGACAGGGAAAGTGCCCTTAAGAAAACACACATGATATCCATGCATCCTATCATCAGAAAAGACGCATCCACCAGTATGACAATGGTAAGTTTTATAGCTGTGTACACCAGTCATCTAAGTTAAAGACATGTTAATGGGTTAAGTTAGTAATGAAGCACAATCACCTGAGTGTAATTAAGCTGGCATTAAGTGTTTTCTAAGCAAAAAAAAAAATTGGATACTTTGAATTTAGTGAATACATTGACCTGTGTTCTAAACCATAACATGAGATCTCTAAAATAGAACAAGTGCATATACATTGCTCATGCCCAGTCATCGAAAGATATTGATATCAACACAATTATGCAATAACGCTGCAGTTGAGATGTTACAGAAGAGAACATATCTGTGTCTGCAGGAGATAATGTGTATGCAATTGTCAATCGAGAAAAATGACAAGACAAGTCTCAATCATTTTAGGAGATTTATTTGCCAAAGTTAAGGACATGCACCCAGGGGACAGGTGTATGCCTTTCTCCAAAGATGATTTTGAAGGCTCCAAATTTAAAGGGGAAAGGGTGGGATATTGAGAAGTACACAATTTTCATGTAAAAGGTGGGTAGAAAAAATAGTCATTCATGCATTTTTCTGGCTCAGTGAATCTGGATTTTTTTACATAAGATGACATAAACAAATGAGGCAGAGGAATAATGCAGGAAAGCTGCATTTTACATAAGACAACATAGGCAAAATGGGGCAGGGAGACAATCAATATGCATTTGTGTCTGGTGAACTGGGGATGACTGCACTTGTAAAGAAAAGTTATCAGTTTGCATTGCCATGGTGCAATTTTAACAGCTCATGAGGAATTTCCTCATGGGCAAAATATGGGGGAGGCGTGTAGCTTTTCATCTTGTAGCCATATTATTTAGGAACCAGAAGGGGGAGGCAGGTTTGTGTGACCCAGTTCCCAGCTTGATTTTTCCCTTTGGTTAAATGAGTTTGGGGTCCCAAAATTTAATTTCCTTTCACACAAGAAACATTGGAAAGCTTTCAACTGGGGTCTACCACTGAATGGTTGGTCTAGGATTCAAAGGTAGTGAAATGAATGTATAGATATATGTGGGTAAACCATTAAGAGCTTTTAATATTTGCCCCAAAGGAGAACTCTCTCATTCTGGAGGATCCTTTTGAATGTAATGATTCGGGAGAAGATTGCACTCGCAGTTCCACAATAACTCAGTGTTTGTTAACTCATAGTGGAAAGAAACCCTATGTCAGCAAACAGTGTGGAAAATCCCTTCGTAATCTTTTGTCCACTGAACCACATAAACAAATTCATACTAAAGGTAAATCATATCAGTGTAATCTATGTGAAAAGGCCTATACTAATTGCTTTCACCTTAGACGGCACAAGATGACTCACACTGGAGAGAGGCCATATGCATGTCATCTATGTAGAAAAGCCTTCACTCAGTGTTCTCACCTTAGAAGACACGAGAAAACTCACACGGGACAGAGACCATATAAGTGTCATCAATATGGGAAAGCCTTTATTCAATCCTTTAACCTTCAAAGACATGAGAGAACTCACCTTGGAAAAAAGTGTTATGAATGTGATAAAAGTGGGAAAGCCTTTAGTCAAAGCTCTGGCTTTAGAGGAAACAAAATAATTCACACTGGAGAGAAACCACATGCTTGTCTTCTATGTGGGAAGGCCTTCAGTCTGTCTTCCAACCTTAGATGACATGAGAGAACACGCACTGGAGAAAAGCCATATGAATGCCATTTATGTGGGGAAGCCTTCAGACAATGTACTAATCTTAAAGAGCATCAGAAAATTCACCCTGGAGAGAAAATTATAAACTTCTTCAGAACATATTCTGACTTTAGATGACACAGTGTTAGGAATGACGAAGGTAAGGAATGTGGAAGAGACTTCAGCTGTAGTTGTAGCATCTAAACATGCCAAAGGACTCACATTTTGAAGAAATACTGTAATCAACATGGAAGATACTTCAGTTACCTTTATTCTTCAGTCCACATCAATAAATTCATATGGAAGAGAAATTGTATGACATGTATGTACCAAAGACTTGTTAGTGATCTGAGCATAAGTGACATGAGAGAGCTGAAACTGTCAATATAATCAACTAAAAGTCTTCAGCAACAGCTATAACTTAAAACATGTGGGACTTTCAGGTAGAGAATCTCTAACTCTGCATTCAGTGTGAAAATGTTTTTATTTGCAATTTATTGTCAAATAACATGAGAAAACTTTACTTGGATGAACCCTTTATTTGTATTTTCTGTGAATGAACATTCAGCCAAGCACCAGGCTTGATGTTCACAAGAGAAGAGTGACAAAATGCTGCTAAAATGGAAAATAAGAGAGGAAAGCCTTCATGAGCTAAATAAGAAGGGAAAATCTTTCCAAGGGCAATGAATTCTCTTGGAATACCAAATACTTCTTACTGGAGAAGTTATGCAATGAAAAATCATGAGAAATCCTTTCTTCATAGAGCAACACATGTGGCACATGTGAGATTTCTCACTGGACAAAACATGGTTAGCATCTTGAAAGGAGAAAATTCTTTAGTGGTAATTCATTTCTTAGTTGACATTGAGTTTCTCACATTGAGGAGCTATCAAACTTGAAAATCACTGTGGAGAAACCTGATAGATTTCTCATCAGAAAAGTGAGTCAAGAAGTTGGACCCCTAGAAAAAACTCTTAACACATACTTTAGCAAAATAATTCAGAAATTTGAGAAAATATCTATTCATAAAAATGTGGCATGTAAATGCATAATAGCAAAGTGACCAGGGAATAAATTGCGTGCAGAATTATATAAGAAATCTCATTAAACTTTTCCAAAAGATCAATACTTACAAATATTGAAAGAATACAATCTGTTGTTGAAAAAACTTAGTATGTTGGCAAAGCCCTTGTTTCATTTATGCGGCCCTAACAAATGGATTTGCACCTGCACTCCTTGGGTGAGATTCTTGGTCGAGATTCTACCCCAACTTCTGAGTCTCCCCAGTCTTCAACAGCTCTTTCCTCACAGCTCACCTCCCTTTACTTCAACGTCCACTAAAACCACTTGTTTCCATCCAACCCTCGAGTTGACACACCAGGGATCTTCAGCCCCACTTGCTAGATTTCTCAGTGTGTCATTGCATAGATTTAGCAGGGAAATGGAGGCTGTATCAAAGACACCTTGTATATGCATTTGGGTGTCCGCAGCCCTTTCCTCTGTCTCTAAGCAGTTAACTGGGATCAGAGAATAAGGCAGCTCTTCTCTTCTATCCCTCAGAAGACTCTTGAAATTTTGTCCCTGGAGCCTCTCTAACTGGAAGTAGCAGTTCATCTCATAACACCCCACATTTTATTCTGGTAAGTCCTGAGTTATTACACAGAGACAGACACAGCTGTGCTCCTTTTACTGCAGTCCAGAAGATAAAACACCAGCATGATAAAACAGCCGAACCTGTCAGCCACCTTGCAAGCCTTTCCTATATTTGATTCAATGTACTTTTCCTGAAGCAAAATGAAAGTTCTCACAGAGGGGCCCTCCTCTGCCTTGTCCTCAGAATTGGAAAATGTATTGTCCGTGAAGGAGCCTCACCACTGAACCTAAAACTCAAGAGAAAATGTTTCCTGAATATTAAGTGGGATGACTTGAAATTTTGCCAAACAGGCACAATCTTAATACGATCGGCCTTACTAAGGCTAAATGGCCTTATCCATGGTTGAAGTTGACACATCATTATATTTTAAAATCTCTACAAGTGATTGATTTTACTCTGCAGCCAGGGTTTATGTCAAGTGTGAGGATAATGAGCAAGAAATTCAAGCCCTTGGCAAACTGGTTGGAGAGGCAAGGACTGTGTCCAGGCAGAGCTCATATCATTATTTATTGTTTAATCTATTTAATTAAATATGTAATTTACCCACAAACTGTGACTGACATTATATGTACTCCTGAACCACATTAAGATGTACTATTTGTGCTGTGAAATTCTATGGGATTTGACAAATGCATGGTGGCAGATCTCCAGCCATTATTAAAGCGTAACACAGAATGCTTCTCTTATTCAAGCTCGTCTTCCCTCCACATAGAGGGAATCAATCGGCTTTTGTATACTGATTTTTGAATTTGCTTCTTTATTTCCATCTTCTTTAATTAAAGCACAAGGTATCATACTCAATTTCCATTTGATCTTCCAAAAGAAAAGTACTGAATAATCTACACCTGAATTTCAGTGATTCAGACTCAGGTCCACCGCTAAGGCCAAACGTCCTGTGCTGCCACCTCATGGCCGACAGAGGGCAATGAAACCCATCTTTCCGGCCATGCAGGGCGCATGCGCGGTCTGCCTCCCGCGGCGGGCCGGGTCTCCAGGGAGGACCTGAGTTTTCTTCACCCATGGTCAGGGAAGCGCCATCGCCCTGGCTTTGAGGCTGGGGCCTCCGGGGAGATTCCGGTAGGGGCTTTGAAGAGGCCGCTGTTTTTGCAAGGCCGAGACGGCGGGCCCTGCGCAGGCCGCCCTATTCCGCGCCCTCAGGGCGTCAGTATCCGCCTGAGGCCGGATACCCCCTCTGGGCCCGGATGCCCCCGCTGGCCCCGGAGCATCCTCGGCGCTGCCCTCCCAGAGCCCCGCAGAGGCTGAGGTGGCGCGGGGGCGGCCCCGGCTCCGCGAGAAGCGGCGGCAGCGAGGGCTGGAGGACCCGGGCTACGGGGCTCCGGGGCGTCTGGCCTGGTTGGGACTGAGCCCATCCAGGGACTGGGACTCTGGGATTCTGGTGTAGGTGGATCCGGGGCAGGCTCAGGACCAAGTCCCTCTCCTTCCACCAAGGAGCGCCCAGAGGCCGGCGGGAGCTCCAGGTTCACCTCCTCCTCCTCCAGGTGTTTACTTTTCCTTTATTTCTGTGAGGCCAGAAATTGCCGCCATCCTTCACATCGGTGAATCGGGACCCTAACACTCATTACCTCAGGTTTATTGTTATTGCCATTAACAGTGTTGGTGGCATTATCACTAAGATCATCATTGTTGTTATTATTGTCATTCATGATTATTAGCAGATGTGTTCATCATTTTGTCTCACTATGCATATATATATATATTTGGGATTGGTTTTGTATGACGTTGAATTGAGCTTCTTTAATCTTGACCAGTGTTGTCAGATTTCTGAAGAGCATTCCGGAGGACATCTCCTGCCTTTCAGCGCAGCCACAGAATTTCGTGGGCACAGGAGAGCACCTAGAATATTCCCCTTTCATTGCACAGCAGCTTTGGGAAATAGTGGCTTCCTGGCTCTGAGATGAGGTAGAAAAGACTGGATACTGGGGCAAGTGTTAGCACCTCCACTGGTGTTTTTATGAAGCTAAGAGCACTGTCTCCCAAGTAGACTTAGAATAAAATCTGATGGCTCTAAAGGGCTATGGCTGCCCTTCCTGGGACTTCCTGGGAACCTTTAAACCTTCTGTGGTTCCTGGAGTAGGTAGGTTGCCAAGTCTGTGCCTCATATGGTAGCACCAGTCTTTTCTGGGCCAACAAGGGCACTTAGAATGTTTCCAGAAGCTCAGGCATGCCGTCTCTGTTCCTCCCTTCTGTTCAATGGCAATTCCCTGGGTCCCTGGCTGTCATAGAACGTCCTGCAGAAGGTTGGGCTTGGGTGACTTCCTGGCCAGCCTTCTCAGGCAGTCATCTTTGAAAACCTTGAAGAGACTCACAGAGGCCATTCACTGGTATTTCATGACTGCAAGTGGGGTTTCTGGATCCTTGAGTTTACTTGGAATATTTGAATGGCTCTGAATGGCCAAGAAACCCTCCCTGGTCTTAGAAGCTGCCAAAAGCTATTACTGGGCCTCTGAAGAGACTTTAAAATTTTTCCAAGTACATTTGGGCATAGGAAACTTTTCCAGGTCTAGCTGAGCCAGCTCAGGTCGAGTCCTGAAAAACTGGTGGGTACTGGGGGATCTCATCTTATGAAAGAGCAATTGGTGGCAAAGCTGGGTCTCCAGGACAGCTGTGTGTGTATATGTCTGTAGAACATGCCTTGTAGTCATCTTTGGTAACTGAACACCATTTGTGAATGGATAAACTATATTCATTGCTGTACAATAATGAAAAATCCATATTAACAATGGCAGTAATAAAAATATTGATGGATATTAACAGGAATAATGATCATCATGATACTAGTACTAATGGTTTTAATAGTGATAATAATACTAACCCTATGGACTTGGGACATATAAGTTTTCCATAAGTGGATAATAGGCATAAATATTTGGCTGTGTACGGTTATTTCAAGTCCCAAAAAGCAAGGATGAACATCTAGAACGAGAAGAAAAACAATCTGGAGGTTAGTATGTGCACACCTGGGGACTCCTGTGTTAACTTCTGGTGTTTCAGCCTAAGAGAGAATGTTAATATAACCCTGGTCCTGGAACACCATGCTGACCAACACCTATCAGCTTTCAGGAGATAAGACAGCTGGCTGATGGGGCAGGGATCCAGAGAAGGCACGGGTCCACACCTGCATATGTTGCCCAGTGGCACAGTTCATGACAAGCAATAAGCCCCAGGACAATGTCATTCCCAGCAACCTGGCTGTCATCTGTCTTTCATGGCCCCTCTCTACTGGTACCCCTAGACATTGGCATGTCCTCCAGAGGCTGTAGGAGGGCATGATACTCAGTACTCTCCCACGTGCAGGAGGCAAGAAAGATGGAAACAGCTAAATACCATGGCTTCTGGATTTTTTTTGGTGGGCATGGCATATTTTGCATTTGCTTTAATAATGTTGGAACCCAGTCAGTGGCTTGCAATACAGATCTAGATGACTCTGGACACCTGTAGAGATTTTGACAATTTCCAGAAGGTCACAAGTTCTTGGAGGACTTTTTCATGAGTTCTTTGACTGAAAAGGTGGTTCAAAGAGCTTCTATACCGACTTAGAAAATGTTGCAGAGGCCAGGTGCGGCGCCTTATGCCTGTAATCCCAGAACTTTGGGAGGCCAACGCAGGTGGATCATGAGGTCAGGAGTTTGAGACCAGTCTGACTAACATGGTGAAACCGCCTCTCTACTAAAAATACAAAAATTAGCTGGGTGTGGTGACACGCACCTGTAATCCCAGCTACTCAGGAGGCTGAGGCAGGAGAATCGCTTGAACCTGGGAGTCGGAGGTTGCAGCGAGCCAAGATCGCGACACTGGACTCCAGCCTGAGCGACGGAGCGAGACTCTATCTCAAAAAATAAATAAATAAATAAATAAAAAGGAAAAAAAAGAAAATGTTGCAGACACTCTGGTGAACAGGTAGGCCCTCTCCTGCCACTCCAGATAAAAGTTTCTTGGCCACAAACCTGATTTAGCAATATCCCTTCATCTTAGGTGGGTAACAGAAAGCCATTCATGACCTATCCAAGCATGGAGAGGGGATTTGACTTAGAAAACTGTTAGGTGGACTAGTTGGTGAAAGAAAGTGCATTCTAGGGCTCACAGGCCTACACATAGAGTTGCTATCACATAAAGCATATGTACGAATTCTTTCTGAGACCATGGCAAGATGAGGGTGCACTTCATCAGTCTCCTATGCTGGTATGAATAGGTACTTGCCTGAAAAATAAAAGAATAATTCAGGAAGCCCATTCTTCTACAGGACACCAAGCAGTACAGTAGGATTCCTGGGGTTGCTGTGGTATTTATGTTTTAAGGTTGTCTTTTAATCATCTTCAGCAAATTCAACAGTCTTCAGGAACATAAAACAATTATTCAACATTGCATAAAAACGACCACAAATATATCCATGATAAAGAACTGTATCAATATAATAATAACATTAATAACAATCATAATGGTGATGATATAAATGTCAATTTAATGAAGAGAGTAATAGAAAAGCAGATATTTAAGAACATATTCCTGTAAGCCTGTGACAATGTTCCCATACGAACCCTCATGTTATTGATTAGATGGAGAAGCTTAGGGCTACACCTTGAAATATCTTCTGTGATGGCAAAGAAGAGTGGCAGTAGGGAGAATAATTCTGAGCCACATGAGAGCATGGGCAAAAGTGGAGATACCTGTGCCATGTGGAAACGCATTACAAATGGACTATGGCAAAGGGTCTGGCCAGAGTCTTGCCTGACACAGGTCGTACAAAAGCCTTCAGTAGTTCACCCCAAGAAATAGCTGGTCCAGGCTGTAGATGAGAGACACTGGGCAGACAGATCCACACATGCCTCCTGAGTCTCAGAAGTCTGGTGTGCATCGAACATTAAGCCCCTAGCCTACTGAGACTTCACCTCCCAGCTGCTCTTCTACCATCTGATTCTTGAGCCCCATCACGTTAGTGTCATCTCCATACTGGAATTGCCAACAATGTCTGATGGAGGGTTTCACCCAGGATACTTGGTACCGGCAGTGTATGAAATACCAGAAGGGAGGCTCCAGGGCTTCCATAGAAGACACATTCAAAAGTTACTCAGGTGATCAAATGGTCATCTCAGAGATTTTCAGTAGAACTGCAGCATTTTGTCAATACCTGAGTGAATGCAGAAACTATCCAGAGGCACGGGCATTCTAGGAAGCTCCCTATGTAAATCAAATACAAGGAATATCTACTTCTGGGCTCAAAAGCTAACTTAGAGAAAAAAAAAAGTGAGATGCTGGCAGAAGGCAAATAACTCCACTTCAGTTCCCAAGAGAAAAATGGTTCTGTAATCTCTGAGTTTATTTGGAAAAATTTTGGAGCCTCAGGAAGACCGAGTATATCATTCCTGATGTTTCCAGGACAGATTGGACTGCTTAGGCCTTTGGGAATATTCTAAGTCCTCTCAGGTTTCCATGGGAGACTGTAACTCTACTCCTAGAGCTCACACCACCCCCGAGCAAGCTCATTGTTTTCTAAATATTCCAAGAAAGCCCATCCAGGGTATGCTTGTATTGGTGAGTTTCACTTTGGACTGGCAGGAGAAGACTGAGAATGATACATCCTGAGTTCACTTGGTAAAGGTAGGGGAGCCAAGAAGTCCAGATCTGGAGAGCACCTGAAACACCAGATGGCAGAAGGACAGTAAGGAGGTAAAGTCAGCTATGGAGTTGGAGCTTCATGTTTACTGCATGTAGGATTCTGAGTTCCAGGACTGATGGGCTGGTGGGGATCAGAGACGTGTCTTCCTTGCAGGGAGCCAGGCCAAACCAGCCATCTGGTTGCACTACTGAAAGCTTTTGTGTGCCCAGTGGTGGGCAGGACACAAATCACAGTCCCTTCACCTCTGGCTGGTAGTTCTTGATGAGAGAGGTTTGCACACAAATGTTCATATTAGCCCATGGTCTCCTGCGGCTTGCTTTTCTTTCACCTCCTGTTTTTGATGTTTGCCATCATGGAACACATTTCATAGAGAAATTCTTTGACTCTGACTCCAAATTACACAAGGAGGACACAGTCTGTGAAGTTTTCATATATTTAGGGGAAGCTCCACATTAATTTTTGTATCCTTACATTTATATTGTCTCCAGTATTAAAATTCATACTATTTAGGTCATTGAGTTCATTATCATGATTATTAATTATTTTTCATATATCGTTTCTTTTTATTGATTAATTTTTGTGGCAGCTGTTATATAACAATCACTAGAGTTTCCCTATTCATGAAAGATGTCCAAGTTAATGGAGATCACTAGGAGTGTTACTTTACAGGTATGTAAATACAGATAATCTTGGCTGGACTGTGGCTATATTGTCTGGTGTCCCTTTGAGGGTGAAGCCTCTTGTATTATTCTAAGTGACCTCTGGAGAAAGCAACTGTCTCATAATTGCAGGGACGACTTGAGAAGGCATCCTGAGCCTATGCAGAAATGCAGAAACACTTCCATGATCTAAACAACCTATGTGAAGGCCTGAAAGCCAAAGCAAGATCCTCTTGTTACAAAGCTGTCCAACAAAATTTTTCCAAGTAACACTGGAGGTCCATCAGTCACTCTTCCTGGTCTGGAAATGCCAGAAATGTCCTCCTTGGTCCTTCTGAGAGTCAAGATCTTTTCAAAATCACCTCAGGAGCCACAGAACCACTCCATCCTACCTGAAATTGCAGGATGACTCTTCTTTTGACCAGAATCTCAAAAATATATTCGTTGATAGTATTGATTCCTGGGAGCCGCCATTGCTTGCAAAAGATGTGCCAGAGACTAGACATTTTCTGTCTCCTCACTTGTCCAGGGAAGACTGAAGTTTTACTGAAACACAGCGATGGGAAGCTGACCCTCTGAGCAGCCTCAGGATTTTCTAAGTCTTCCAAGCAGAGTGGAAATACTGGTGAGGACCCATTGCACCCCCTGATGGTCTGGAATCACATAGGATGATGCTTTCAAACAACTCTAGGTGGAGATACATTTTCTGAGATATTCCAAGGAGGAGGGACACAATCGGACCAGATGTTAGAAGGACAGCTGAGCATTAAGTGCCCATGTAGTGTTTGCAGCTTAGTGTCCCATGCAGAAGGGGAACCTGGGCCCTGGTGTTAGAATTCAGTGTAATTCTGGGTTCCTGCTTTCCTTCCAGGAAATCCCACTTCCAACTGGATGTCTGGATGAACTACTGAAAGCTGCTGAGTGTCCTGCAGCAGGTGAGCTGTGGCCAGAGCCCAAGGATGAAGGGGGCTCCCTCACTCTGTGACTGTGAAGAGGAAGCCTGAGGTGTAGCAGGCCCAGGCCCCAGAAGTATGGAAAAAATGAGGTAGGGAGGGAGGGGACCTCAGGAGAAGACTGAGGTCTACAGAATCCCAGGGTCAAGGGGATGGTGCGGTGTCCTGGCACTATCCTTGATGTTCCAAGAGGGGTGAGAATCCATCTCCTGAGTAAAAGCTTCACATGGGGTGAGGAGGGGAGAATTGAACAGAGAGGAAGCAGGGAAGGCCAAGACAGCGACCAGCCTTACAGCAATTTTAACCAGAAATGGACACAGACCCTGGACCCCATCACAGGAGTGCAGGCCTAGGACTGTCTCCAGGTGATGCATAGCTCCCTTGTCAGGTTAGTGGGTGCAGGGATTGTGACGTCTGCAGGGGTGTGGAAGGCTGGGCAATGGGAGCAGCTTACTGGGCTGGAACAGAAATACTGAACTTCTTTTCCATCAGTGAAATCCGCTTCTAGGTCAGAAAAAACTGCGAGTTCTAGAGAGGCAGGGCCTAGGAGGAGGTCAGGTCCTGAGCCTTCCTGGTTTGACCCCTTCCCACCCTCTGTGTTTCTGGGTCTGTCCTCACTTCCACCCAGCGGATCCTGAGTCTCTTCCTTTGAGTCCCTGTGAGTGTGTTGTGTGCAGTGGGGCCGGGCTGCTTCATCCACTGCACGTTAAATGTTTCCAATACTTTCCGGCCAAAGCTTAGAGTTGTCAGACCACTGACTTTGAATGTTGACCTGGTTCCTTGTGGAACAGAGTAATAGCTATTGAAGTTTAAAGTCACTTTCCTGCGTGGATGGTGAAGAGGCAGGCTGTTCAGGCATAGCTGTCCTCAGGCCTGGAGGGCTGTGGAGGTCACCGTGGGCGGTGGGTGGATCCGGAACCTCTGTGGCTCTAGACTTTCAACTATTTCATTTTTTCTTTTGTAGTTTTTGTTTGTTGCTTGCTTTTTTACAATGAGAACTAGAATGTAAGATGCTAAACTCAGCCTGTGGGGAACATGGATTTTCACAACAGCAACCACAGAACGTGGTTTCCATTTCTATTCCCTGTTCATGTGGGAGGCAGAGAAGGAAATCAGGTGCTCAGTTCCAGGGACATCACAGGACTAGGACATGTGCAGTGAGGGTGGAAGGCAGAGGCATTGCTTTAGGGCAATAAAATTACTGCATGCACACACATATGTATGTATATGGATGTATGTACACAAACATGCATATTTATAGATTCTGTTCTCCCTCTGTCTATATAATTTTTTTATTTCACACTTGATATGATTTCTAAATTTAAATACCTTTGAGACAAACGTGAATTGTGAAGGGATTTAAAAATGTCAGTGAAAAATGGAATTAACAATAAAAATATAAATATAAACTTTATTTCTCCATATAAGCTCTACTGAGGTCCAGACACTCCATTAAAGGATGATCCCAGCCATTCAGTCCATTGCTAAACAACTGAGGGTAACGGGAATTTAACCGTGTCAATGCAGTCTTCTATTATTAACTAAAGAAAAATGGGTGCCCTTTACAGTTATTTTAAGGTTAGGGAAAAAAAGGTCAGAAGAAACCAAATCAGGACTGTAATGTTGATGCCTAATAATTTCCCATGAAAACTCTTGCAAAATTACCCATGTTTGATGAGAGGAAGGAACAGAAGTGTTGTTGTGGTGCAGAGGGACTCTCTAGTGAAGCTTTACAGGGCGCTTTTCTGCAAAAGTATTTGCTAATTTTCTCTAAGAACTCTCCTAGTAAGCAGATGTTGTGGTGCTTTGATCTTACAGAAAGTCAACAAGCAAAATACCTTGAGCATCCCCAAAACCTCCATGGCTTTTGCTTTTGAGAAGTTTGCTTTTGCTTTGACTGGACCACTTCTACCTCTTGGTAGCCATGGCTTGAATTGTGCTTTGTCTTCAGGATCTTATTGATAAAGCCAGTTTCACTCCCTGTTAAAATTCTTCAAAATAATGCTTCAGGATCTTGATTCCGCTTGCTCAAAATAGTTACTAATAGCTCTGCTTTTGTCCACTGCTGATCTAGGCACAAGGGTATTTGGGACTCATCAAATGTAAAGTTTCTCAACTTTCACGTTATAGTCAGTATTGTGTAAGCTGAACCAATTGAGATGTCTGTGATGTTGGCTACAGTATCTCTTGTTAATTGTCAATCCTCCTCAATGAAGGCATAGAAACGATTTTTTTTTTCTCAAAAATTGGTATGGATGTCCCTCCTCTGTTGACTTCATCTTCAACATTGTATTATCGCTTCTTAGAATAAGGTATCCGTTTGTAAATGACTGATTCTTCAGGTCATTTTTCCCATAGACTTTTCTTAAAGAATAATTTATTTCACCATTTTTTGTACCCCAGCTTCACCATAAATTTGATGTTTGTTCTTGCTTCAGGTTTGACAGAATTCATGTTGCTGCCATAGAGGGGCTCTTTTCAAACTGATGTCTTAAATCTTGTTCAGATATGTTAAAACAGGGCCAGGCATGGTGGCTTATGCCTGTAATCCCTGCATTTTGGAAGGTTAGAAAAAATAAAGTTTTTTAAAATTTTATTTTATTTCATTTTAAGTTCTGGGATACATGTGCATGATGCGCAGGTTTGTTACATAGGTAAATGTGTGCCATGGTGGTTTCCTGTACCTATCAACCCATCACCTAGGTATTCAGCCCACATGCATTAGCTATTCATCCTGATGCACTCCCTCCCCACTCACCCACAGACAGGCTCCAGTGTGTGTTGTTCCCCTCCCTGTGTCTATGTTCTCTCATTTTTCATCTCCCACTTATTAAGTGAGAACATGTGTATTTGGTTTTCTGTTCCTGCATTAGTTTGCTGAGAATAATGACTTCCAGCTTCATCCATGTCCCTGCAAAGGACATGATCTCATTCCTTTTTATGGCTGCATAGTATTCCATGGTGTATATGTATCACAGTTTCTGTATCCAGTCTATCATTGATGGGCATTTGGGTTGATTCTATGTCTTTGCTTTCATGAATAGTGCTGCAATGAACATACCCATGCATGTATCTTTATAATACAAGAATTTATATTCCTTTGAGTATATATGCAGTAATGGGATTGCTGGGTCAAATGGTATTTCTGATTCTAGGTCTTTGAAAAATCACCACAGTCTTCCACAGTGGTTGAACTAACTTACATTCGCACCAACAGTGTAAAAGTTCTCCTATTTCCCCACAGTCTCACCAGCATCTGTTGTTTTTTGACTTTTTAATAATCACCATTCTGACTGGCATGAGATGGTACCTCACTGCGGTTTTGATTTGTATTTCTCTAATGATCAGTAATGTTGGGCTTTTTTTTCATGTTTGTTGGCTGCATAAATGTCTTCTTTTGAGAAGTGTCTGTTCATGTCCTCTGCCCACTTTTGAAATTTTTACATTTTTATTTTTTAAGACAGAGTCTTGCTGTGTCACTCAGGGTGGAGTTCAGTGGCACAATCTCGGGTCACTGCAACTTCTGCCTCCCAGATTCAGGCGATTCTTCTCTCTCAGGCTCTTGAGTAGTTGGGATTACAGGTCTGCACCACTACATCCGGCTAATTTATTGTATTTTCAGTAGAGACGTGGTTTCACCAGCTTGGCCAGGCTGATCTTGAATTCCTGGCCTCAAGTTATCTGCCCACTTCACCCTCCCAAACTGCTGGGATTACAGGCATGAGCCACTGTACCCAGCTTTTGCCCACTTTTATATGGGGTTGGATTTTTTACAGTTTTGGGTTTTACATTTAAGTCTTTAATCCATTTTCAGTTCATTTTTGTATAAGGTATAAGGAAGGGGTACAGTTTCAGTTTTCTGCCTATGTCTAGCCAGTTTTTCAAGCACCATTTATTATTAAATAGGGAATCCTTTCCCCATTGCTTGTTTTCATCAAAAATAAAATGGTTGTAGATGTGCAGTCTTATTTCTGATATATCTATTCCATTCCATTGGTCTATGTGTCTGTTTTGTACCACTACCATGCTGTTGGGTTACTGTAGCCTTGTAATATAGTTTGAAGTTAGGTAGCATGATGCCTCTAACTTTGTTATTTTACCTTAGGATTGTCCTGGGTATATGGGCTCTTTTTTCATTCCATATGAATTTTGAAGTAGTTTTTTCTAATTTTGTAAAGAATGTCCATGGTACTTTATGGGAATAGCATTGAATCTATGAATTACTTTGGGAAGTATGGCATTTTCATGATATTGATTCTTCTTACCCGTGAGCATGGAATGTTTTTCCATTTGTTTGTGTCCTCTCTTATTTCCTTGAGTAGTGGTTTGTAGTTCTCCTTGAAGAGGTCCTTCACTTGCCTTGTTAGCTGTATTCCTAGGTATTTTATACTCTGCAGCAACTGTAAATGGGAACTTATTTGTGATTTGGCTCTCTTCTTGTCTATTGTTGGTGTATAAGAATGCTTGCGATTTTTGCACACTGATTTTGTATCTTGAGACTTTACTGCAGTGGCTCATAAGCGTAAGAATCTTTTGGGCTGAGATGATGGGATTTTATAGATATAGGATCATGTCATCTGCAAACAAAGAGACAGTTCAACTTCTCTTTTACTATTTGAATATGCTTTATTTGTTTCTCTTGGCTGATTGCCTTGGCCAGAACTTCCAGTACTATATGGAGTAGGAGTGGTGAGAGAGGGCATCCTTGCCTTGTGCCGAATTTCAAAAGGAATGCTTCCAGCTTTTGCCTATTCAATATGATATTGGCTGTGGGTTTGTCAAAAATGACTCTTATTATTTTGAGATATGTTCCATCAATACCTAGTTTCCTGAGGTTTTTAACATAAAGGAATGTTGAATTTTATCAAAGATCTTTTCTGAGTCTACTAAAATAATCATGGGGTTTTTGTCTTTAGTTCGGTTTACATGGTGAATTATATTTATTGATTTGTGTTTGTTGAACCAGCCTTGCACCAAAGGGAAGAAGCTGACTTGATCTTGCTGGATAAGGTTTTTGATATGTTGCTGGATTTGGTTTGCCACTATTATATCGAGAATTTTTGCATCAAAGTTTATCAGAAATATTAAACTAAAGTCTAGTAAACACATTGAAAATAATAACAGACTGATTAAAATACTAAATAATATGAATCCTAAGTGTTCTCACAACTGATTTATAGAGTAAAAGCATTGTTAAACCAAATGAGCTTGGCCAGAAACTGTATAGAGTCTGAGATGTTTTCTGAACTTCCAGTTACTCATTGTGAGGTGGAACTGCAGTAACTATATTTGGTGCAAAATTTCATGTTGATGGAAGCTGAGATGTCCTGCAGTCTCAGAGGGACAGAATTCTGGTGTATCTCCCTTTGGCCTATGAGGAATGAAGATTTAGGCCCTGAGGGTTTTGTCAAAATTTATAAGATGTAAGAAATGGGGACGTCTTTAGGCCACGAGGCAAGGCCTAGAGGTGTAAAGAAAACAGCTTCTGACCCAGGGCTCATGAAGTCAGCATAGTGTCAGAGGCGATGGTGGAGTGAGCATAGTATGGTCTTTGGAACCATTCCTTCCCCATATTTCTTCATAGGCCAAGTATGCGCAACCAGGGGGCATCTCGGGCCTGATGAGCAGAGTCCTGAAGAGATAAAGGGGCAATCCTGAGGAAGAGACTTGACAGGGAGGAAGGAGCCACCATTTTCACTGCTGAGAAAACTACTCCTCCCTAGTAAACCATAGGATTTTCCTTGATCCAGTGAGAGTTTTCCTGAGTGAAGAGAAAAGAGAGAGAAAGGGACTGATGTGTTATCTGTTTCTACCACCTGAAGTGATTCTGAAACTTTGGGGGACAGGAGAATTATCTTCAGAATCATGAGCAATCCAGATGCCATGATTACACATGAGAAACTGGAAGTTCTTATCTCTGGGGGGTAGGCACTAGGCATTGATATTCGTTAAAGCTCATTCACTGATTACAAAGTGAGACAAATAAATCTGCTGCAAGATTTATTCATGACATATTATTTCACCACAATTCAATTGTCTTCAGCACAAAGAGCTCTTGGTTCTCTGCCTGCGGACACCCTGTAACTGGGTCTTCCAAATTCATTCTTCTGGATGTAAAAGAGGACATAGGCCTGTTGACTCTAAGGAGAAGTGATACCAGAGGCAGTGACCTCGGCATCATCCATTTTATACCACTGGCCTTCTTGAGTTTGACACAAGAGAAGTAATGTCCGTTGTGACAACTCCACCCGGTGATGACGAGAACAGCATAGAGGACATAGAAAAGAGGTCCTGTGTTCTGCTGAGACATGTATGGCTGCATGTCAACGCACTCAGGATATTGCAGATTCTTGGCAAGTTTGTTGCCTGTGACATCGGAGAATCTCTTCAAGACAAGGATGAGGACCTTGGCAGAAGTGGGTAAAGTTAACGTCTTGGCGGCAGGCGCCTTCTGGAGACAAAGACCACAATGATAGGCATTCTCTCCATTGAGTTCTTCGGGCTTCACCAACTGTTCCTAAGCTTGCTTGACACTCTGAGCTGCCTGGATATCCAGGGCGATATCCAGGTAAGGGTCGAAGGTGTCTGAAATGCCGTGGAAGTAGAGACACTTGATTTGAGATCTCTAGTACCCTCCAAATATTTGGTGGATGAGGATGGTGTCCTTGCAGTGATGATCTAGCTGCTTGTGCCCGGGAAGGCATGCCTTTCTAATGGCATCCACAGTGAATATGAGAAATTCATGGGCATCTTCCTGCTTGTCTCTATGGAAGTCAGCAGCCAATGCCTGTGAGGGCTGGATGACATGGCCAGGACGGTGGAGGTGCCCGTGTGCTGTGAGCTTCCATAATACAGAGCATGCAGCACTTGGGACGATGACACATTTGAGAGAGCTCCCAGGACAGCATGTAGTTGGCAAGGGGCGGTGTGTATGTCAGGCACTGCAGGGAAGCATTCAAGTGGCAGGTATTTCCCATATTCTGGAGACCAGCTCCCACCGCAGCAGGTCTCCTGCTACTCGGAGGAAGCTTCTCCCTGGGAGCAAGCTGTCTTGTCACAGGAGCCAAATCGTCACAGAGGTCGACACGGGTCTCCGATGAGAGTGGTGACTTCTCAGGGAGAGAAGTCCGCTGGATTTCAGGAAAAGCTGCATCTGGCTGAGAAGATGTGAGTTTTGAAAAGTGGTTGAACTGCCACTCACCTCCCAAGTAGAGTGAGTCTTCCTCCATGTCGCCCGCAACAAGGATCACAAGGTTTTTCTGCTGGGACCGTAGGTTGCAGAAAAACGCTATCTCTTCCGAGAGAGTCTTCAAATAACGAGTTCTCTGGCCAAATCAGCCCTTACATAACTCACCCGCACCAAGAGCGAACACCCCACCCGCACATAAGGTGGGCAATAAACCAATCAAATATCAGCACTCAATTAAGGAATGAGTCACAGGGTGTGTCCCCTTGCATCGCTGGGAATTCAACAGACACAGTCCACATCATGACTTCTAAAACACCTTCATCAAATTACTCCTCAGGATGATAGGCACATATAATATGATGGTAACCGGGTTGGGACAGTGGCCACACAGTTGCCTTATTTTAGGTAAAAGAATGTCAGGGAAGAAATCTTTACCTATGAAACCGTGTGAGTATGTGTGTTTGTGTGCGTGTGTGTGTGTGTGTGTTTGTGCTGGGATGTACTTCCGAGTATGTGCTTTTGGCAGATACCATCATCCTTTCAGCGATAGAAGGAGAAGTCTGAAGTGCGCTTTCTGACCTGAGAATAGGCAATGAAGTACAGTAATTAGCACAGCATATTTTTTTCCTCAATAAAAAAGGAGAGATCCGTGGAATCAAACAGACCTCCCAGCGATAACCTTTCCATGTTCAGCCTAATGATTCTATATCCGAGTGAAATTACCTGCCAGTGGAGAAAAAGACAAGTCTTTACATTAAATGCTCTTGTGGAAGCTAGATTGCTGAATAATAAAGCATTAAGTCGTAGAAACATGCACTGAAGTTTGAAGAGATACTCAGTGCACAAACTAGACTGTAAAAGACTTTGGGGAAATAATGCAATCACCGAGAGACTAATTGATGACATTCCGAAAATTTATATTTGCCAGAAAAGAGAGATGGTCAAGACATTGCATAGCGAGTGGTTTTGGACGTGCGACGGCAGTTTAAGAAAACATGAAACAAAAAACTGGAGAAATCAGAAGGTATCCCAACTATAACCTTTGTTTTACAAAAGAATTGATGAAAATAAAAACAACGTATCTCACAGCACGCGTGATAATATTTTCATACGTATGTGATAATGGAGCAACATTTGATAGAGATGAAATGAAAATTTCTAAATTTGACAAAAGCGAACAACAAAAATTACACCGTAGAAAAGCGTGGGTGACGGCAGTGACGCCCTGTCTCAAGAAGTAAACATCCGAGAGATTTAAAAGTGGGGAGTGAAACCAAGGATAGCATAACATTGTTAATACTAGCCATTGTTTCAGTGGGAAAAGGCAAAAATAAGCGGTGTGTCTCCTAGATTCTCACATGAATTGTTCAGGATATGAGATGTTGCCTCTATTTCCAGTTATGCATTGTATGGTGGAATTGCAGTTAGCACATTTGGTGCCAAAATTTTAATGCTGACGAAAATGGACATGTTCCCTGAACTAAGAGGGACATAATTTGGGTGTGTCTCCAGGCTCTCTGGCTTACCAGGATTGAAGATCCAGGCTCTAGGGATTTTCCCAAAATGTCTTAGACAGTAAGCACCGGGGCAGAATTGAGGCCTGGCGCCAAGGTCTCGAGGTGTAAAGAAACAGCCGTGGCCGCAGAGCCCATGAAATTAGGATGATTTTAAGGAGGACGGTGGAATGAGAGGACTGTGATGTTTGGCCCCGTTTCTTATCCCTTGTCTTTTCATGGGCCAGGTGTGCTCCATCAGAAGGCTTTCTGTGCCTGATGTAAAGTGTCCTGGGTGAAGAAAGGGCACTGCTTAGAGAGGTGCTCCACAGGCAGGAAGGAGCCACCATTTTCAGGAGAATGATCCCCAGAAGCATGAGCAATCCAGATGCCGTGGCTTCACACAAGACGTCGGAGGGTCTTATTCCTGCAGCCGGGACCTGGGCATCGGTGTCCTTTAATGCTCATAACTAATTTTGAGGGGAGCCCAATCGATAACCTGTCTGCAAGTCATGCTCATCACACTGTAGTTTTCACACACGTCACACAGAGACCCTGTTCGTATGCACATTTGGGTGCTTGAGCAGGGTTGCGCCCAAGATTCTGTGGTTCTACGGAGCCCTGAGTTGTGACCTGGACAGCTTTCCTCAGGGGTTGGTCAACTTTGATCACTGCACCTAACAAGAAAGGGACCATGAAATCTAATCAGCAAATACAGAAAAGGAAGGGGCCATTTCCCACAATAATTTCCACAGAAACACCACGTCGGATAAATAAGTCTGATTGCAGGACAGGGACTGTGTTTCAGAGATGCAGCTTTCGCAGCTGGATGAATGACCTGGAATCTCCCCAAATGCCATTTGTAAACACACCAAATGAGGTTTATTTCAGGGCTTTCTGAATGTATTTTAGATGAATACACACACTCCAGTGTTTGATTTCCTTTAGTATCAATGAGACTTAGTTCCAAATGACTTCCGTGCCAGTGGGAAAATTTTCCGGTTCCACTCACTGGAAGTGGACACCGTGAAACAGGTAAGTCGGTCTGTCTGTTTCCCGCGTTATGTGGGTTCCAGCAAGAGCCCAAGTCTCAGGGCACCTGAGGTCCATTCAGAAACCAAAATAAAATGGGCGAGCCAGGGTAAGAAAGGAGAGCACCGTTCCTATCTTCCAATTGAATTCCAGTATCCACTATTCAAGGTGGCGAGAATGATCCACGGATGTACCACATGAGCAAAATTTCACCTTCTCTTGCCGACCAACAACTGACGAATGAAACAAACCCCAACAGGAAATAGTAAACCATGTCCCCTGCAATAACCTCACACGCAAACCTACAGGTCAATAGGTCACATTAAGAAATACACACTGAATGTCATCTACCATGAACACAAACACACAGACAGTCCCTCCAGAGGTTCGGAAGACTCACGAACCCAAAACTTGATGTTTCCCATGTGTGGGCTCATCCTGAGACGCAGCCATCACTATCCAATTGTCCCTGTTGTAGAGACAGAAACTGGGGCTCCTCATTACTTTATGTAGGATTGACGGTGTTCGTGTTTGTGTGGGTGTGTGTGTGTTTCCGTGCGCGCTTGTGGGTGTATTTGTGTTTGTGTGTGTGTGTGTGTGTGCACCCCTCAGTGTGGGTCGGTACTTCCACTGTGATCACTGGCACACAAGCAGAGATCTCTTGCTGTGTTTGTTATTCCCTTTGGATCTCCTGGTGCTCCCTTGCAGAGAAGCGAGTGTGCCAGTGTTCATGGACTCCTGATCTGTCGGTTTCGTCGAAGAGAGGTTTAGCAGGGAGCTTTGCTGTTCAGGATGATGGTTTTTCATACCACACTTGTATTTTGATTGATGAATCACAAGTACGTTGGGAGGCAGGGTACCTTCAACTTTTCTGACGTTGAACTCAGGCTTCGTTTTGTTTTGCTTTTGGGGGAATTTCCAGTGGTCTAAGGTGCTTTCCTGAGTGGCTCTTTCCACCAAGTGCTCGTCCAACTCGGGTACCTGGAGGCAAGGGTGGTCTCTCTTGAGCTCTCCTTGCGTTGCTGGCCTGTCTGTGTCTTCAGCACCAAGGGCTCTTGGTTCCCTGCCTCTTGACACACTCTCACTGTGTCTTTCCCATTCACTCTTCTGGATGTAAAAGAGGACATAGGCCTGTTGACTCAGGACAGAGGTGATGCCAGAGGCAGTGACCTCGGCATCATCCATTTTATACCACTGGCCTTCTTGAGCTTTGACATAAGAGAAGTAATGTCCGTTGTGACAACTCCACCCAGCGTGGACCAGCACAGCATAGAGGACATAGACAAGAGGTCCTGTGTTCTGCTGAGACATGTATGGCTGCATGTCACGGCACTTAGGATATTGCACATTCTTGGCAAGTTTGTTGCCTGTGACATCGGAGAATCTCTTCAATACAAGAATGAGGACCTTGGCAGAAGTGGGTAAAGTTAACGTCTTGGAGGCAGGCGCCTTCTGGAGACAAAGACCACAATGATAGGCATTCTCTCCATTGAGTTCTTTGGGCTTCACCAACTGTTCCAAAGCTTGCTTGACACTCTGAGCTGCCTGGATATCCAGGGCGATGTCCAGGTAAGGGTCAAAGGTGTCTGAAATGCCGTGGCAGTGGAGATACTTGATTTGAGATCTCCAATACGCTCCAAATATTTGGTGGATGAGGGTGGTGTCCTTGGAGTGATGATCTAGCTGCTTGTGCCCGGGAAGGCATGCCTTTTTCATGGCATCCACAGTAAACATGAGAAATTCATGGGCATCCTCCTGCTCACCTCTATGGAAGCCAGCAGCCAATACCTGTGAGGGCTGGATGACATGGCCAGGACGGTAGAGGGCCCATGTGATGTGAGCTTGCATAGTACAGAACATGCAGCACTTGTGAAGATGACACGTTTGAGAGTCCTCCCGGGACAGCATGTAGTTGGAAAGCGGCAGTGTGTATGTCAGGCACTGCAGGGAAACGTTCACATAGAAGGTATTTCCTATCTTCTGGAGCCCAGCCCCCACCGCAGCAGGTCTCCTGCTACTCAGAGGAAGCTTCTCCCTGGGAGCAAGCTGTCTTGCCACAGGAGCCAAATCATCACAGAGGTCGAAACGGGTCTCAGATGAGAGTGGTGACTTTTCAGAGAGAGAAGTCCGCTGGATTTCAGCAAAAGCTGCATCTAGCCGAGAAGATGTGAGTTTTGAAAAGTGATTGAACTGCCAGTCACCTCCCAAATAGAGTGAGTCGTCTTCCATGTCGCCCGCAACAAGGATCACAAGGTTTTTCTGCTGGGACCGCAGGTTGCAGCAAGACGCTATCTCTTCCGAGAGAGTCTTCAAATGACCAGCTCTCTGGCCGCATCAGCCCTTATATAACTCACCCCCTCCAACCGCGAACACCCCACCCACCCATCAGGTGTGCGATAAACCAATCAAATATCAGCACTCAATTAAGGAATGAGTCACAGGGTGTGTCCCCTTGCATCGCTGGGAATTCAACAGACACAGCCCACATCATGACTTCTAGAACACCTGAATCAAATTACTCCTCAGGCTGATAGACACATGTAATATGAGTGTAACCGGGTTGGGACAGTGGCCACACAGTTGCCTTATTTTAGGTAAAAGAATGTCAGGGAAGAAATCTTTACCTATGAAACCGTGTGTGTGTCTGTGTGTGTGTGTGTGTGTGTGTGTGTGTGTTTGTGTGTGTGTGTGTGTGCTTGTGCTGGGATGAACTTCCAAGTATGTACTTTTGGCAGCTACCATCATCCTCTCAGCGATGGAAGCACAAGAAGTCTGAAGTGCACTTTCTGACCTGAGAATAGTCAATGAAGTATAGTATTTAGCACAGCGTATATTTTTCCTTAATAATAAAGGAGAGATCCGTGGAATCAAACAGACCTTCCAGCGATAACCTTTCCACGTTCAGACTATTGATTCTCTATCCGAGTGAAATTACCTGCCAGTGGAGAACAAGACAAGTCTTTGCATGAAATACTCTTGTGGAAGCTAGGCTGCCAAATAAAGCATCAAATGGTAGAAACATGCACTGAAGTTTGGAGAGTTACTCAGTGCACAAAGTAGACTGTGAAAGACTTTGGGGAAATCATGCAATCACCGAGAGACTAATTGATGACTTTCCCCAAATTTATGTGTACCAGAAAAGAGAGATGGTCCTGACATTGTATAGTGAGTGGTTTCGGACGTGCGGCGGCAGTTTAAGAAAACATGAAACAAAAAACTTGAGAAATCCAAAGGTATCCCAACTATAAGCTTTTGTTTATTAAAGAACTGATGAAAATAAAAACAACGTATCTCACAGCATGGGTGATACTGTTTCCATACGTATGTGATAATGGCTCAACATTTCATAGAGATGAAATAAAAAGTTCTAATTTTGACAAAAGCAAACAAGGAAAATTATACCGTAGAAAAGCCCGGGTGACGGGAGTGAGGCCCTGTCTGAAGAAGAAAACATCGGAGACGTTTAAAAGCAGGGAGTGAAACAGAAGATAGCATAACCTTTTTAATGCTGGCCCTTGTTTCACAGGGAAAAGGCAAAAATAAGCCGTGTGTCTCCTGGATTCTCTCATCGATTGTTCATGGTCTGAGATGTTCCCTCCATTTCCAGTTATGCATTGTATGGTGGAATTGCAGTTAGTACATTTGGTGCAAAAATTGTAATGCTGACGAAAGTGGACATGTTCCCTGAACTAAGAGGGACAGCATTTGGGTGTGTCTTCAGGCTCTCTGGCTTACCAGGAATGAAGATCCTGGCTCTAGGGATTTTCCCAAAATGTCTTAGACAGTAAGGAACAGGGCAGAATTGAGGCCCGGCGCCAAGGCCTCTGGGTGTAAAGAAACAGCCCTGGCTTCAAGGGCTCATGAAATTCGGATGATTTTAAGGAGGATGATGGAATGAGAGGACTGTGACCTTTGGCCCCGTTTCTTTCCCTTGTCTTTTCATGGGCCAGGTGTGCTCCATCAGAAGGCTTCGTGCGCCTGATGTAAAGTGTCCTGGGGGAAGAAAGGAGCACTGCTTAGAAAGATGCTCCACAGGGAGAAAGAAGCCACCATTTTCAGGAGAATGATCCCCAGAAGCATGAGCAATGCAGATGTCGTGGCTTCACACAAGACGTCGGAGGATCTTATTCCTGCAGCCAGGACCTGGGCATCGGTGTGCTTTCATGTTCCTAACTGATTTTGAGGGGAGCCCAATCGATAACCTGTCTGCGAGTCATGCTCATCACACTGTAGTTTTCACATACGTCACACGGAGACCCTGTTTTCGTATGCACATTTGGGTGCTTGAGCAGGGTTGCGCCCAAGATTCTGTGGTTCTACGGAGCCCTGAGTGGTGCCCTGGGCAGCTTTCCTCTGGGGTTGGTCAACTTTGATCACTGCACCTAACGAGAAAGGGACCATGAAATCTAATCAGCAAATACAGACAAGCAAGGGGCCATTTCCCACAATCATTTCCACGGAAACACCACGTCGGATACGTAAGTCTGATTGCAGGACAGGGACTGTGCTTCAGAGATGCAGCTTTCGCAGCTGGACGAATGACCTGGAATCTCCCCAAATGCCATTTGTAAGCACACCAAATGAGGTTTATTTCAGGGCTTTCTGAATTTATTTCAGTTGAATACACACACTCCTGTGTTTGATTTCCTTTATTATCAATACGACTTATTTCCAAATGACTGACATGCCAGTGGGAAAATTTTCCATTTCGACTCATTGGAAGTGGACACCGTGAAACAGGCAAGTCGGTCTGTCTGTTTCCGGCGTTATGTGGGTTCCAGCAAGAGCACAAGTCCCAGGGCGCCTGAGGTCCATTCAGAAACCAATGTAAAAACGGTGAGCCAGGGTAAGAAAGAAGAGCACCGTTCCTATCTTCTAAATGCATTCCAGTTTCCACTATTCAAGGTGGCGAGAATGATCCATGGATGTGCCACATGAGCAAAATTTCACCTTCTCGTGCCGCCCAACAACTGACGAATGAAACACACCCCAAGAGAAAATAGGAAACCGAGTCCCCTGCAATAACCTCACACTCAAACCTACACGTCAGTAGGTCATATTCAGAAATACACAGTGAATGTCATCTACCATGAACACAAACACACAGACAGTCTCTCCAGAGGTTTGGAAGACTCACGACCCCAAAACTTGATGTTTCCCATGTGTGGGCTCATCCTGAGATGCAGCCATCACTATCCAGTTGTCCCTGTTGTAGAGACAGAAACTTGGACTCCTCATTACTTTATGTAGGATTGACGGTGTTCGTGTTTGTGTGTGTGTGTGTGTTTGCGTGCGCGCTTGTGGGTGTATTTGTGCGTGTGTGTGTGTGCGTTCACCCCTACGTGTGGGTCGGCACTTCCACTGAGATCACTGGCACACAAGCAGAGCCCTCTTGCTGTGTTTGTTCTTCCCTTTGGATCTCCTGGTCCTCCCTTGCAGAGAAGCGAGGGTGCCAGTGTTCACGGACTCCTGATCTGTCCGGGTCGTCGAAGAGAGGTTTAGCAGGGAGCTTTGCTGTTCAGGATGATGGTTTTTCATCCCACACTTGTATTTCGATTGATGAATCACAAGTACGTTGGGAGGCAGGGTACCTTCGACTTTTCTGACGTTGAACTCAGGCTTCGTTTTGTTTTGCTCTTGGGGGAATCTCCAGTGGTCTAAGGTGCTTTCCTGAGTGGCTCTTTCCACCAAGCGCTCGTCCAACTCGGGTGCCTGGAGGCAGGGGTGGTCTCTCTTGAGCTCTCCTTGCGTTGCTCGCCTGTCTGTGTCTTCAGCGCCGAGGGCTCTTGGTTCCCTGCCTCTTGACACACTCTCACTGTGTCTTTCCCATTCACTCTTCTGGATGTAAAAGAGGACATAGGCCTGTTGACTCAGGACAGAAGTGATGCTACAGGCAGTGACCTTGGCATCATCCATTTTATACCACTGGCCTTCTTGAGCTTTGACATAAGAGAAGTAATGTCCATCGTGACAACTCCACCCAGCGTGGACCAGCACAGCATAGAGGACATAGACAAGAGGTCCTGTGTTCTGCTGAGACATGTATGGCTGCATGTCAAGGCACTCAGGATATTGCACATTCTTGGCAAGTTTGTTGCCTGTGACATCGGAGAATCTCTTCAAGACAAGGATGAGGACCTTGGCAGAAGTGTGTAAAGTTAACGTCTTGGAGGCTGGCGCCCTCTGGAGACAAAGACCGCAATGATAGGCATTCTCTCCATTGAGTTCTTCGGGCTTCACCAACTGTTCCAAAGCTTGCTTGACACTCTGAGCTGCCTGGATATCCAGGGCGATGTCCAGGTAAGGGTCAAAAGTGTCTGAAATCCCGTGGCAGTGGAGACACTTGATTTGAGATCTCCAGCAGCCTCCAAATATTTGGTGGATGAGGGTGGTGTCCTTAGAGTGATGATCTACCTGCTTGTGGCCGGGAAGGCATGCCTTTTTCATGGCATCCACAGTGAACATGAGAAATTCATGGGCATCTTCCTGCTTGCCTCTATGGAAGCCAGCAGCCAATGCCTGTGAGGGCTGGATGACATGACCAGGACTGTGGAGGGCCCATGTGATGTGAGCTTGCATAGTACAGAGCATGCAGCACTTGGGACGCTGACATGTTTGAGAGTGCTCCCGGGACAGCATGTAGTTGGCAAGGGGCGGTGTGTATGTCAGGCACTGCAGGGAAGCGTTCTCGTAGCAGGTATTTCCCATATTCTGGAGCCCAGCCCCCACCGCAGCAGGTCTCCTGCTACTCAGAGGAAGCTTCTTCCTGGGAGCAAGCTGTCTTGCCACAGGAGCCAAATCATCACAGAGGTCGACACGGGCCTCAGATGAGAGTGGTGACTTCTCAGGGAGAGAAGTCCGCTGGATTTCAGCAAAAGCTGCATCTGGCCGAGAAGATGTGAGTTTTGAAAAGTGGTTGAACTGCCACTCACCTCCCAAGTAGAGTGAGTCGTCCTCCATGTCGCCCGCAACAAGGATCACAAGGTTTTTCTGCTGGGACCGCAGGTTGCAGCAAGACGCTATCTCTTCCAAGAGAGTCTTCAAATGACGAGCTCTCTGGCCGCATCAGCCCTTATATAACTCACCCCCACCAACCGCGAACACCCCACCCACCCATCAGGTGTGCGATAAACCAATCAAATATCAGCACTCAATTAAGGAATGAGTCACAGGGTGTGTCCCCTTGCATCGCTGGGAATTCAACAGACACAGCCCACATCATGACTTCTAGAACACCTGAATCAAATTACTCCTCAGGGTGATAGGCACATATAATATGAGTGTAACCGGGTTGGGACAGTGGCCACACAGTTGCCTTATTTTAGGTAAAAGAATGTCAGGGAAGAAATCTTTACCTATGAAACCGTGTGTGTATCTCTCTCTGTGTGTGTGTGTGTGTGTGTGTGTTTGTGTGTGTGTGTGTGTGCTTGTGCTGGGATGAACTTCCAAGTATGTACTTTTGGCAGCTACCGTCATCCTCTCATCAACGGAAGGACAAGAAGTCTGAAGTGCGCTTTCTGACCTGAGAATAGTCAATGAAGTATAGTATTTAGCACAGCGTATTTTCTTCCTTAATAATAAAGGAGAGATCCGTGGAATCAAACAGACCTTCCAGGGATAACCTTTCCACGTTCAGCCTATTGACTCTCTATCCGAGTGAAATTACTGGCCAGTGGAGAACAAGACAAGTCTTTGCATGAAATGCTCTTGTGGAAGCTAGGCTGCCAAATAATAAAGCATCAAATGGTAGAAACATGCACTAAAGTTTGAAGAGATACTCAGTGCACAAAGTAGGCTGTGAAAGACTTTGGGGAAATCATGCAATCACCGAGAGACTAATTGATGACATTCCCCAAATTTATGTGTGCCAGAAAAGAGAGATGGTCCTGACATTGTATAGTGAGTGGTTTCGGACGTGCGGCGGCAGTTTAAGAAAACTTGAAACAAAAAACTTGAGAAATCCAAAGGTATCCCAACTATAAGCTTTTGTTTATTAAATAACTGATGAAAATAAAAACAACGTATCTCACAGCGTGGCTGATACTATTTCCATACTTACGTGATAATGGATCAACATTTCATAGAGATGAAATAAAAAGTTCTAATTTTGACAAAAGCAAACAAGGAAAATTATACCGTAGAAAAGCCCGGGTGACGGGAGTGAGGCCCTGTCTGAAGAAGAAAACATCGGAGACGTTTAAAAGCAGTGAGTGAAACAGAGGGTAGCATAACCTTTTTAATACTGGCTTTTGTTTCACTGGGAAATGGCAAAAATAAACCGTGTATCTCCTGGATTCTCGCATCAGTTGTTCATGCTCTGAGATGTTCCCTCCATTTCCAGTTATGCATTGTATGGTGGAATTGCAGTTAGTACATTTGGTGCAAAAATTGTAATGCTGACGAAAGTGGACATGTTCCCTGAACTAAGAGGGACAGCATTTGGGTGTGTCTTCAGGCTCTCTGGCTTACCAGGAATGAAGATCCTGGCTCTAGGGATTTTCCCAAAATGTCTTAGACAGTAAGGAACAGGGCAGAATTGAGGCCCGGCGCCAAGGCCTCTGGGTGTAAAGAAACAGCCCTGGCTTCATGGCCCATGAAATTAGGATGATTTTAAGGATGGTGATGAAATGAGTGGGCTGTGACCTTTGGCCCTGTTTCTTTCCTTTGTCTTTTCATGGGCCAGGTGTACTTCATCAGAAGGCTTCCTATGCCTGATGTAAAGTGTCCTGGGGGAAGAAAGGAGCACTGCTTAGAAAGATGCTCCACAGGGAGAAAGGAGCCGCCATTTTCAGAAGAATGTTCCCCAGAAACATGAGCAATCCAGATGCCGTGGCTTCACACAGGGTGTTGGATGGTCTTATCTCTTTAAGCGGGACCTAGGAATTGTTGTCCTTTAATGCTCATAACTGCTTTTGAGGTGAGCCGAATTGATGTCCTGCCTGCATGTCATGCTCATTGCACTTTAATTCACACACATGTCACACACAAACACTCTGAATAAGCACATTTTTGTTCTTGAGCAATATTTCACCCAAGATTCTGTGGTTCTACTGAGCCCTGAGTTCTGTCCTGGACATCTCAACTCTTTGGTAGGTCAACTTTGATCTTTGTACCTAATGATAAATGGACTATGAAATCTTATCAGCAAATATACAAAAGTAAGGGGCCATTCTCCACAATCGTTTCTCTCTGGTAGGTCATCTTTGATAACTGTACCTAACAAGAAATGAATATGTGATGATTCCTAATCAAAAAATTTCTTGATTTTTTGCCATTTTAATTAATTCTGTTAATGTTTAAATAGAGTTTTAAACCCGAGATTTGGCATGAAGTCTAATCGTCAAATACACAAAAGGAAGGGTCCGTTCTTCAAAATCTTTTCCACTGAAAGACCACCTCTGATATACAAGTCTCGTTGCATTACAGGGATCCTGCTTCCAAGATGCAGCTTTCACAGCTTGATGATTGACCCAGAATCTCCTCTAATGCCATTTTTTTACACCCAAAATGAGATTTATTTCAGGGCTTCCGGATTTTATTTTAGCTGAATACATCCACTCTTCTGTTTCCATTTCTTTCAAACTCTTTTAAATAATTATCTTGCTGCATCAGCCCTTATATAACTACTGTCCACCCACCGAGACCATTACATTTATCCATCAATTACCCTATTTACTAATAATATATCAGGATTCAATTAAGTTTTTTGTCTTAGGTTGTATCCTCTTGCATTCCTCAGAGAATTTAATGGACACTGCTTACACTGTGACTATGGAAGAGTTGAAGCAGATTTACTTGTCAGTATTATGAGCAAATATGTTAGGTGTGGAACCGGGCTAGGATAGTAGCTAAACATTTGCCTTATTTCATATATAACAATGCTATTTAACAATTGTGTACATATTAAACAGTTTGTGTGTATGAGAGAAATATTCATGGCATTTTTAATCCAAGGGTTTCTTGTATATGACATCATTTTTAAAAAAGTCAAAATCAGAAAAGCTTCACAAATTGGAAGATATCTAAGCTAAAACCTTTTGTTTCTTAAAGGAACGATGAAGATAATTGCAATGTAACACACGGCATGTGTGATAATGTTTTAATACATATCTAAAAATGCCTTAAAATTCAATAGAAGTAAAATAACAACTTCTAAAACTTGACAAAAGGAAACAACAAAAATTACACACTGGAAAAGCCTGGCTGACTGGAGTGAAATCCTGTCTCAAGAAGGAACAGACAAACACACAAACAAGCAAAGGATTCTAAAAGCAGGGAATCAAACAGATACTTGTACACCATTCTTCCTACTAGCAATCTTCATAGTAGGAAAAGGCAAAAACAACCCAAATGTGTGGTGAATTACTTCATCAGTTTTTTAGGATCTGCAATACTGCCTCAATTTTCAGTTACTCATTGTGGGGAGAACCTGCAGTTACCACATTTGTTCCAAAATTTTATGGTGATGAAGGTAAACCTGTCCAGCATTCTCAGAGGGACAGAATTCTGGTGTTTCTCCAGGTTCCTTGGCTTATCAGGAATGAAGATCCAAGCTGTATAGACGTTTTTCAAAAGTATGTACGTACGTATGTATGTATGTATGCATGTATGTATGTATGTACGTATTTCCTCTTTTTAAATTTAAAAAATACAGGATACATGTGCAGAACGAGCAGGTTTGTTATATAGGTATCCTCTGCTATGGTGGTTCGTTGCACCTATTGACTTATCCTGTAAGTTTCCTTCCCTCACCCCCAGCCCCCAACGGGCTGTGTTGTGTGTTGTTCCTCTCACTGTGTCCTTGTTTCCTCAGTGTTCAACTTTCACTTATTAGTGAGAACATGCGGTATTTGTTTTTTTTTTGTTGTTGTTCCTGTGTTAGTTTGCTCAGTATGATGGCTTCACCTTCATCCATGTGCCTGCAAAAGACATGATCTCATTCCTTTTTATGACTGCATAGTATTTTTTGGTGTATACGTACCACATTTTCTTTATCCATTCTAGCACTGAAGGGCATTTGGGTTGGTTTCATGTCTTTCCTATTGTATATAGTGCTGCAATAAACATACGTGTGCATGTGTCTTTATAGTGGAATGATTTATATTCCTTTGGGTACATAGCCAGTAATGCGATTGCTGGGTCAAATGGTATTTCTGGTTCTAGATCCTTGAGGAATCGCCATACTGTCTTCCACAATGGTTGAACTAATTTACAGTTTCACCAACAGTGTAAAAACCTTCCTCTTTCTTCTCAGCCTCACCAGCATCTATTGTTTCTTAATTTTTTAATAATCGCCATTCTGACGGGTGTGAGATGGTATCTCACTGTAATTTTGATTTTCATTTCTCTGATGATCAGTGTTGTTGAGCTTTTTAAAAATATATTTGTTGGTTGCATAAATGTCTTCTTTTGATAAGTTTCTGTTCATATCTTTTGCTCACTTTTGATGGGGTTGTTTGTTTTTTTGCTTGTAAATATGTTTAAGTTCCTTGTCAACTTTGGTTATTAGACCTTTGTCAGATGGGCAGATTGCAACAATTTTCTCCCATTCTGTAGGTTGCTTTTTCATGCTGATGATAGTTTCTTTGCTGTGCAGAAGGTCTTTAGTTTAATTAGATCCAATTTGTCAATTTTGGCTTTTGTTGCAATTGCTTTTGGCATTTTTGTCATGAAGTCTTTGCCCATGCCTATGTCCTGAATGGTATTGCTTAAATTTTCTTCTAGGGTTTTTATGGTTTTGGATTTTACATTTAAGTCTTTAATCCATATTGAGTTAATTTTTGTATAAGGTGTAAGGAAGGGGTCCAGTTTTAGTTTCTTGCCTATGGCAAGCCAGTTTTTCCAGCAGCATTTACTGAATAGGAGATCCTTTCTCCCTTGCTTGTTTTTGTCAGGTTTGTCAAAGATCAGATGGTCGTAGATGTGTGGGGTTATTTCTGAGGTCTTTGTTCTGCTCCATTGGTCTATATGTCTGTTTTGGCAGCAGTAGCATGCTGTTTTGGTTACTGTGGCCTTCTAGTATAGTTTGAAGTTAGGTAGCGTAATGCCTCCAGCTTTGTTATTTTTGCTTACAATTGTCTTGGCTATACAGGGTATTCTTTGATTTCATATGAAATTTAAAATAGTTCTTTCTAATTCTGTGAAAAATATCAATGGTAGCTTGATGGGTACAGCATTGAATCTATAAATTAGTTTGGGCAGTATGGACATTTTCACAATATTGATTCTTCCTATTCATGAGGATGGAATGTTTTTCCATTCATTTGTGTCCTCTCTTATTTCCTTGAGCAGTGGTTTGCAGTTGTCTTTGAAGAGGTCCTTCACATCTCTTGTACTCCTAACTGTATCCCTAGGTATTTTATTCTCTTTATAGCAATTGTGAATGGGAGTTCATTCTTGATCTGGCTCTCTGCTTAACTATTGTTGATGTAAAGGAATGTTTGTGATTTTTGCACAATGATTTAATATCTTGAGAACTTGGTGAAGTTGCTTATCAGTTCAAGAAGTTTTTGAATTGAGATGATGGGGTTTTCTAAATATAAAGTCATGTCATCTGCAAACAGAGACAACTTCACTTACTCTCTTCCTATTTGAATACATTTTATTTCTTTCTCTTGCCTGATAGCCCTGGTGAGAACTTCCAATACTATGTTGAATAGAAGTGGTTACAGAGGACATCCTTGTCTTGTACCAGTTTTTGAAAGGAATGCTTCCAGCTTTTGCCTATTCAATATGATGTGGGCTGTGGGTTTGTTATAAATAGCTCTATTATTTTGCAATATGTTCCATCAGTACCTAGTTTATTGAGAGTTTTTAACATGAAGGGATGGTGAATTTTATCAAAGGCATTTTTGCATCTATTGAAATAATTGTCTGGTTTTTGTCTTTGGTTCTGTTTATGTGATCAATTACATTTATTCATTTGTGTATGTTGAACCAGCCTTTCATCCCAAAGATGCAGCCGACTTGATTGTGGTGGATAAGCTTTTTGATGTGCTGCTGGATTCCGTTTGCTAGTATTTTATTAAGAATTTTTGCATTAATGTTCATCAGGGATATTGGCCTGGATTGAGCAGGTATGTGTGTGTGTTTCTACCTTGGTTTGCCAGTAGGTTGATGTGTGAGTGTGTGTGACTGTGTGTGTGTGTGTGTGTGTGTGGGTGTGAATGTGCGATAGAGAGCCAAACTAGAGCAGAGGAAGTTCCCTGGCCTGCCATGACATTAAATGTTCTGAATTCAAGATACCAAGGGAGGCATGAGACCCACAGTGGAAACTTCAGGATGTGGCCAGGTTTCAGGGGTTTCTGGGAGCTGCCAGTGGGCATGTCTCAGGCTTGCTCCCACTGACAATCCATGTCTTCTCTCTAAATGGGAGATGGCTCTGTATGGAGAACAGGCAACAGAGAGCATGATATAAGGGTTCTACCTCATACTCACTAGGAAAGAAAACAGTTTTCATCATCTCTCACTCCATTCACAATGTAACTCTATAGACACAGGGGACAGTTACCTGAAATATTAGCATAGCTAAAGTCCTCAGACCAAATTAGATGTCCTACCTTCTCATGTGGATCAGATCCTAAAAAAACAACTGCTTCCTGTGGTCATTATCTTTTATCCCAGGCCATTTCCAATCCAGCGGAAGACCTTCTAGAAGAGATGATGGTGGGAGAGTGCTGACATACTATGTGAAGCTACTATTTGGAGTTGGACACGAGTGCATGTGTCCTTGTGCCACAACGGGAATGTGAGCTGGATGACAAATGGAGATTTGGACTTGTGATAATTGGCCTCTGTGTCATTGTGTGGAAGACTGACTGGTCCCTTTATTTCCTGTAGCTTGACTACAACACAAATGAATCCACTCAAATGTTGGCAAGTGGAGCAGAGTCCCAGAACAGGTAAGGCACTTTCCCTGCTTTTTCTTAAGATCAATCCTCATGCCTACAAATTAAAGTCACATCCCACACGATCATTAAAGTAGAGAGTGCATTCTGCAGGATGAGTGAAAAGGCATTTATGATTCTTGGGGGCAGATGTTCTACAGTTGCCTGTGCTAGTTCATGTCTTTCTGCAGATCACTTTCTTAACCTCTAGAGAGTCTGGCAGGACCAGAGCCTTACCTTTCCCAGTCTGCAATCTCTACAGGTACAGAAACACCCCCAGTTCAAGGATCTTCACACCTGGATTTAGGCCTACTCCTGCAACTACCCCAGGTAAGTTTCCTTGTTCTTCAATGGCAAAGTTTGGACAATGCTGTTCAAACTCCAGGCAACAAGCAACATCTAGGGAATGTGCTTTTAGGTAGGGTCAGCATAATATCCCACCCTGGGAGACATTTTTATTTTAAAGTTGTAGAGGGTGTTGCTGCTGTCGGCTCCCTGCCAATCAGCACCATTTGCAGCCTCTTTTGAAGACAGAGAACTGAGGGCTGTCCTTCGAATGGAGCAGTGTGATTCCAAAAAAAGAGATGCTCCTTGTGGTCCTGGGACCAGGGATAGGACTCCAGTTGAGCCTGGTGGAAGAGGTCCTTGTCCTACCCCAACGGAGAGCCATGCAGCTGAGCTTGGGTGATGTGGTCCACGTGGTTGTTTCTGAGTGTGTCCTGAGGTTGCAGGATGGCTTGCAGTTCCCTATGCAGATCCAATGCATCTTTTGCTTTTTTACTTCTACAACCTGGAATTTATATGTTCAAGATGGAGCCATCCCAGCCATGACAACAGAGAATGTACCACTCTCACATGAGGAAGAGGGGTAGGCAGTGCTCCTGTATCACCAGCCCTTAATGAGACCCTGAGGAAACCACATCATGGAGATCAGCCCTTCTCTCCTGTAAGGAACTCATCCTATGAAAGAGCAATTAGTGCCTGCAAGAGCTGTCTCTGGGACAGCTGTTCATGTCTATATCTACAGGGTAACCCTCATAGTCATATGCAGTCATATCCATAGTCATATCGGGAGTCAGATTCCAGTTTGACTGAGTGAGTGGAGAAACTAAACATTTATTACTGAATAATAACATTAATAAACCATCTTAATGATAGTAATAATAAACATATTGATGAGTATTAACAGGAATGATGATGATTATTATGATACTAATATCCATAATTAACAATTTTAATATTGATAATAATACTAACCCTGTGGACTTGGGACCTAAACAGCAGTTTCCCCTTACAATTATCCCATATTTGGCCACAGGGGGTAATATTGAGTTCCAGAAGGCAAGGATTAACATTCAGAAAATAGGAAAAACAACCTGCAGGTAAGCATGTGCACACATTGGGACTCTATGGATAAATACTAAAGTGACTCTTGTTCTGGATCTCCATGCTAACAAACATACACCAGCTTTCAGGAGGTAGTACAGCTGGCTGATGGGGCAAGGCTTCTTGAGGACATGGCAGGAGTCAGAAATCACACATGCTGCCCAGCAGCAGAGCTCATGACAAACAGTAAACCCCAGCGAAAGGACCTGGCTGCCCTTTCTGCCATCTGCTCTCCCATGACCTCTCTTGACTGGTACATCTAGGCACTGGAATAACCTTCACTGGCTATAGGAGGGCATAATCCTCAGTATTCTCCCACCTGCAAGAAAGACAAAAATTAATTGAATACCATGGCTTCTGGGTATCCTTAGTGGGCTTAGCGTATTTTGCATTTGCTTTAACAGGCCAGTTATCCAGGCAGTGACTTTCAGTGCAGCTACAGTCACCTCTGGAAACCTGTGGAGACTTTAAAAATTTCCAAAAGGTCAGGAATTTTTGGAGACTTTTCTCATGGCTACGTTTCCTGCAAACGTGAATCAATAAGCTTCTGAACTGACTTAGAAAATGTTGCAGAGACTCTTGTGAACAGATAGACCCTCTCCTGCCACTCAGATAGATGTATCTGGGTCACACACACCTGATTTAACATCTCATTATCTCAGGTGGGCAACAGACAGCAATTTAGGACCTATCCCAGTGTGGATGAAAGACATTGAGTTGGCTTAGAAAAATGTTAGATAGACTAGATGGGGCAAGAAAGCCCATTTTGGGGCTCAAAAGCCTTCACATAGAGTTGCTGACACATAAAGGGTATGTATAAATTCTTTCTCAGACCATGAGATCAGGATGTACTTCATCAGTATACCATGCTGGTATAAAGAGATTCTTGCCTCCAAAGGGACTCAGAATATTTCAGGGAACCTGTATTAGTCCATTTTTACACTGTTGTAAAGACACTACCCCACACTGGGTAATTTACAAAGGGAAGTTGTTTAATTAATTCACAGTTCTGCATCACTGGGGAGGCCTCAGGAAACTTACAGTCATGGTGGAAGGCAAGACAGAAGTAGGCACCTTTTTTCACAAGGTGGCAGGGAGAGAAGTGAGTGCACAGAAAAAAAAAAAAAAAAAACCACCTACTCTTAAAACCATCAGATCTCCTAAGAATTCACTCACTATCATGAGGATAACATGAAGTAAACTTCTTCGACACATGGCGATTACAGGTCCCTCTGTCGATGTGTGGGGACAATAATTTGAGATGAGGTTTGGGTGGGGACACAGAGCCAAACCATATTATTCTGCTCCTGGCACCTCCCAAATCTCATGTCTTTTATATATATTTCAAAGCCAATCATGCTTTTCCAACAGTCCCCCAAAGTCTTAACTGATTCCAGCATAACTCAAAACTCCAAGTCCAAAGTCTTATTTGAGACAAGTCCCTTCTGCCTATCAGCCTATAAAATTAAAGAAAAAAAAGTTAGTTACATCCACAATGGGGGCCTCATGACCCTGACCAGTGCCCTATCCTACTGTGGCTCAACTGATATCCAAGATGCAAGACAAAGTCCTTTCTACTCTTTCCTCTAATCTCCTCTAGCAGAAGGAAGCAGTCTTTTTTGGAGCTGCAAGCTGTGCTGCCTGGGGTTGGGGGAGTGGTAATGCAAGTACTCCTTTAGCTGTCCTGGCTGGTGTCTCAGTAGGTTTTATGGCCACTCACCTCAGTACACTGGCTCTGAGTACAGTACTATTGTGTCTGCAGTAGTGTATGAGATGGAAAATAAGTCTCCATTCTCCAAGACTCTTCTTGAGCATCAAGGCTGCCTGATTGTTGAGCTATAGCTACAGACTTTCCTCGCTGAGCCTAGCATGCACATGTTCCTCTGCTGGAAAAAAAACAGAAACAAACAAACCACCAAACAACTTCCCACAAGTGGAATGTTCTGGGACTCAAGGTCATCTAGATTATTTTGTCCCCAGGGTGCTCCCTTGATGTGGTGTGCTTCCTCTTTCCTCAGAGTAGGAGTCCCTGAAATTCAGATTACTGCATATGCTGCTGCTGCTTCTCTGGGTCTAGCTACCCAGTGGGGCTGCCGCACACCAGGCTGGTGCTCAAGAATGTCTGCAATGGATCCAGTGATATAATCTGTCCTCAAGTCTCACAGCAGTGTGTATCAGCAGCTGATCAGATGGGGATGGCAGGGGAGTGATGTAGACTCTGAAAGATTCCTTGGTTATAAATAGTCCTAGTGTGTTGTGTATTGGATTTCTCAAATGCCAGTTGTAGTAGTAATGAACTCATCACATGGACAGACTCATGGCCTCCTGCTTAGCCAGAATGATGCAAGCAATGGTAACAGTTGTGGTCACTCACAACTTTTCTCCTTCCTGGGTGCTATGTTATTCTACCTGCAGATGCTGTAAAGGACTGTCAGTAGGCCTTCAGCCAGGAGGTGGTGCTTCCAAAAGACTGCCAGCTGTGGTGGTAGTGGTGAGATTTGGACTTGCCTTATGTTACCCATGGGAGGCACTCTGGTGTCTCAGGAAATAGGTGGAGCCATAGAGCTTCTAAAAGTTTCTTCTGTTATTTGTGTTAATCTACCAGGGTAGGTGGTTGAGCAAAGCCAGGTGGGAACTAGGTCAGGTAAGGTGATGCTCTGGCTGTCTATGTGTGGGACAAGCAGTGGCTCCAGTGGGAATTGGAAGGCAGTTCTTGGGCCACTGGAGTAATTTTCCAGAGAGAAGTGAAGCTGTCTCTGCCTCTGTACAAGGAGAGTCCATATGAGGAATGGGGAGTAGCAGCTTGGTAGTAAGCCCCATCCAGCTCCCACACACTTGGCAAGGCAGGTCTCACACCCACAGTGTTCCAATGGGAGTAGCTAGCTAAGTTTCAAGAAGTCTGAGCTCAGAACTCAAAACTGACCCATACCATAAGACTCCCTTATAGAGACAGCAACTGCAAACTTCAGGCCACACCCTTCCTGATCCACCTGCAGAGCAGGGGCCCTCAGCTCCTGTGCTTGCTGCTGCAGCACACTTCCCACTCACCTCTCAGTTCTGGCCTGGGGAGTTTGTCCCCAGTCAAGATTATATCACACATTTCAGTTGGGAGGTTGTCTCAACCTGTGACCACCATCTGAGTTAGCTGGCAGACTTCTAGGAGGTCCTGTCTGAGGTAGAATCAGAAATGGCTTCCCTCCATTCTACCAGAAACTGGGAATGTGCTGGAGATTCAAAGCACATCCCAATGCCACTCCTCATATACTCACCACTCTTCCCTAAATCAGCTCCAGCGCTGAGTAGGGTTAAGGCCTTCCCTCACGGCCTGGATTGATAGGTTTCCCAGTGGAAGTGTATATCTTAGAGTCAGTTTACCCTCCTGTCACACCCTGGAAACTTACAATTTTCTGCCTAGCTTATGGTGTAAGCTGCATCCTGCCGTTTCTTTCACATGGTCTGTGGCTTATTTCAATTTTCCTGTTAAATTCCTGTGTTGCTTCTTGAAAGAAAGTTCACAGTGTGAGTCTCTACATGCCATTTTGTCTTTTCAAGTGCAAGAGGCAAACTAACAATGCCTTCAATCCACCATCTTGGAAAACGAAAGTAACAGTTTTCTCATTTTTAAAAGTTTTGTTAAGATCTGTTAATGACTCACAAAGAAATAGTACTTGGGTATATTTGAAATTAGTATTTATTCATTTATGTTGATAAGTGAAAATGCAAGATGGTTATCAAGATGGAATTACTTAATATGTATATTTTAATATTCTTAGATGCAAATAACTTCACTTTTGATGTATTTTTATTTTGTCTCAGTTTCATTTCAACTTATGTTTAAGGGGTTCTTGATAATCTGACATGATAAGTGGTGTTGGAATTGGCATTAAAATCCACCATGTTCTACAACACTTCATCCTTCTTCGGCAGGCACCAATTTGATCTTCTACTACTTTGCAGACATCTCTTCTGCAAACACCAGACAAATTGAGACAATGACCTTCCACAGGACCCAAATCACCTCTTACTGCAGGAAAGAAGATCCAGTGAGAAAATTAGTCCACAAATGGAATGTAAATCCATAAACACTCTTAAGTAACAGAATAAATTTAGTATGAACGTTTTTATGTGGGAGCTCTTGAAATGGTTGCTGCTCATATGTCAGAGACACATGCAGTTTAAGAAAGGTAGCAGTTCCAATCCTGGTTTGGCCCAACAGTCACTGCATTTTTGGTGGGGAAAAGGGATGTGGGAGGAGATGGTACATCTTCATCTTTTTCTCTGGGTTTTCTGTCAGAAAGGGATGTTGCTTACTCCAGTGGCAAAAAATGCCAGTGTCTTCTGCCAGAGTGGGTTACTGAGGGCCTTGGTGGTTCCACCTTGTGGCTGATACAGATAGTCCCTTTCTGTTTTTGTTTCTAGCCAAAAAAGATGTTTCTGGCATCTCAGGTATGCTGATTTCAGCAGCTGTTTTTTCTATATGGCTAGTTTTTTTTCTTTCACTCTCTCTATCTTTTTTTTTTTTTTTTTTTTTGTCCTCACTGTGTTGCCATAGTTTCTTAAATGGTCCCTTGAACCCTCCCAGGGCTATTTTGGTTTGTACATAACTATCTATATATTTTTTTCTTGCGGGGAGGGTGTAGAGCTAAAAGCTGATATATCCTGTTCCTGCTCCCCAAAAGTGACGTTATTCCCCCAAGCTAATATTTCAGGCTTTCAATTTATTCATGCTTTCATCTGTTTAAACATAAGTAGAAATTACTTTTTCTCTCCACATTTAGATTTGATCTATCTACTTTAATTGCTAGTAGTGTCTTAGGCATAGAATAGATTAGTTAGAAAAAAGTGTTTTTGACATTATAAATGATTCTTTCAATTTGTGTCTAAAAGTGGAAAATACTAGAAAGCTTAACATTTATTATTGTATTCAGACCAGTATTTCCTCCAGATGACCTTTATTACAACAAAGATAATTTAAGGAAGATCTCTCTAATGGCAAAGCTGAGGGCTTTGTGTTATTACAATATCCTTCAAATAAAGTGACGGTCTGGTGGAAATAACAAGTAAAGCAAGGATTAGGAAGAAAACAGTTAATACCTTCATTTTGGTCTCACTCTGCATTAAGAGTTTTCATTGTGTTAAGGATTTATTATACATTAAGTAATTTAATGTTCATTTAATAATAAATGGATCCTATTAAATATGATTTTTAAAATTATAATCACATTACTTTTATTCACATCTGTCCACTGATGCCATTCCTAGATGAGAATGGTATCACATTATTTTATTTTTTTTCATTTTGCTACCTCTTTACTTACTTAGGATTATGCTGTATCAAACAATGTATGTGTGGGAGTAATGGATGATTCAGGAATGTATGAGGAGGAGGTTTAAGCTCCTTAACCTTGAACAATTAAAATTAGCAACATAATATTGAAATACATACAGAACACTCAAGTGGTACTTTCAAAATAGTGTATATTTCCTCTGTTTATTTGTAGCTTTTAAACCCAGCTAGAAGCATTCTATTTCCTTTAGGTACCATAGGTCTGAAAGTCTGTAGTGAAAACTACAAGTAGTAAATGATGCTAATTCATGTGCTTCCGCCTGTGGAAGAATTGAATGTCTTAGATAAAAAAAGATGGTGCAATTGGTGTACAAAGTATCTAGAATACAATTTGGTGGTGGTTTTTTCTGTTTCCATAGTAGAGTAACATATATAATATTCCCCTTTCATCAAGTTATTTAAATATGCCTTTGAATGGGGAGAATTGAAAATAATACTGTGAATCCTGGTAAACATTTTAAATTAATGAGAAGAATATTGCCTTTACAAAGTCAAAATTTGTCTGAATACAACGCATATAGCAATTTCATAGCAAAACACTTCCTTCAATCCTATTAAAATCAGAAGGAAAAGAAGAATACCCACTGTCAATGTTGTATTAATATAGTTCTAAAAGTTCTGGACAATGAAATATGTTGTAAGAAGAGAAGTCAGGGGAGACTTGAGCCCATTGTTTTTCCTCTCCTTCCATACCTCCCAAAATACCACTGGAATGTTGTAACATTTTGAAGAATCTATAGCAGTGTCCCAAATCATAGAATAGTATGAATACATCTGAATCTGAGATATCTCCAAAAGATACAAAATATCTGTGATTAGAATGAAAGAAAGATTTAGGCTTTTGGCCATGATTGCAAGTTAGCTGTTCTTAAATGACTGCTGCTATCGAACAAATACATTTTAGAGGATCTCTTTGAAACATTTCTATCCTTGAAAATGGTTAGGGAAGTTCTTAAAATATCTCCTCTTTCAAATACAAAAAATAGTCTGTGAACTGGAGCTTGAGCACTGGGTACTTTGTATTGGCTAGCTGATGGAGGTGGGTGAGGGTTTCCCAGATCTTCTAGGATGATCTGCTATTATCAGTAATGCTAATGGTGGTACTACTGACTCTTGGGCCATCAGAAATTCCAGTTCGTTAATCCTGGAACTTCCATATTGAGATAAAGCTTTGAGTCAGTTTCACAGAGGAAGTTTGGATAATAGCATTCTCATTTCAGACCGTAGAATGATGGCAGATTAAGGAAGAGCAATGAGTTCAGTATTAAAAATGATCAGGTAAGCAAGACAGCATGAATAAAAGTTAATGAAATGAATAGCACATTTAAATCCTTGAAAACTAAATGTGTTGAAATTGTCAATGTGGAGAAATAATTAAGCACCTGTGTATTGATTGTTTAAAGAAACAGTCTACTATTACAAAGATGTAAAATCAATAGTAAAACAATATAGATGATAGAAAAAATGGGCAGATCTGGCTGGGCGTGGTGGCTCATGCCTGTAATTGCAGCACCTTGGGGGGCCGAGGCGGGTAGATCACGAGGCCAGGAGTTCAAGAACAGCATGCCCAAGATGGTGAAAACTTGTCTCTACTAAAAAAAAAAGTATATATATATATAAAAATTAGCTGAACATGGTGGTGGGCACCTGTAGTCCCAGCTGCTCAGGAGGCTGAGGCAGGAGAATCACTTGAACCCGGGAGGTGGAGGTTGCAGTGACCCAAGACTGTACCACTGCATTCCAGCCTGGGCAACAGAGTGAGACTCTGTCTCCAAAAAAACAAAACAAAACACAAAGGCAGGTCTGAATTAAAAAAAAATTTAAAAATAAATGCAAGTTATTAATGATATATTAGATATAGGTAACAGCATAATTAGTAAAGAAAAAAATGCTTAAATGATATACCCAGAATGTAGCATGGAAACACAAGGTCTAACATTTATTTAATTCAAATATGGGGGGAGAGAAGTGTAAGAGGATTCACCGTTTCAAGAGATTCTCAAAAAGAAATTAGGAGAAAGTATAAATCCATTGATTCAAAGAACGTATTTCTAACAGATGTTATAAAAATAAATTCACATTAGTTAAATTATAAATTATAAAACATTAAAACTAAACACCAGACCATATAAACATTGAAAAAAGGACAATTTATCATGAAATAATATTTATCTGATTATTATAGTAAAGCAAAAACTAAAAATGGGTAAACTAGTATCAACAAATGTTGAGAGAAAATAACTGTTAGTATAGAATTGGGTACTCAGTAATGCTGTCTTTCAAGAACAAAAATAAAAATATGAAATTGACAGATAAAAACTAAAATTGTTCACTATCAAGAGATCTGCAGCAAATAAAATTTCAAAGGCTATATATCAGGAAGAAAGAATTTAACCCAAAAGCTGATCTCAGAGTCAACTTGGAATTCCATAAATATCACTAAACTGATGATAATAGTAATACTTTCTGACATGGGGGGGATCCTGAAAAGAAGTGAACTTTTACTTTTGTTTAGAATTTAGAAAGTTATAGAAAAATGCTCTTGCCCTGACCAAGAGAATAAGCTGGATAATCTATAGATCATAGATTTCATTTTAAAAGACAGAGCTGAGGTCTCAAAAAAAGCTAATTAACTTAAATTCAGAGTAATGAAAGCCTACTGAAAAAAGAACGGATCCACAGATGATTTGTGTGTACCTGAGTTGCAGCAGCAGAAACAGGAGGAAGCTGCCCTTGATGGAGATAAGAAGGAAACAAGTGAACCTCAAGCAAATGTTGAAAGGCTGAATGTGGGCTTGTGATAGTTTAGCAGCAGTAGGGGCCCAAACACACTCACTCACTCACTAATGCTTTAATGCTTTTCTTTTCTTTTCTTTCTTTCTTTCTCTTTCTCTTTCTTTCTTTCTTTCTTTCTTTCTTTCTTTCTTTCTTTCTTTCTTTCTTTCTTTCTCTCTTTTCTTTCTTCCTTTTTTTTTTTTTTTGACGGAGTCTCACTCTGTCACCCAGGCTAGAGTGCAATGGCACGATCTCGTCTCACTGCAACCTCCGCCTCTAGGGTTCAAGCGATTGTCCTGCCTCAGCCTCCCGAGTAGCTGGAACTACAGGCACGTGCCACCACACCCTGCTAATTTTTTGTATTAGTAGAGACAGGGTTTCACCGTGTTAGCCACTGACCTCGTGATCCCAAAGTACTGGGATTACAGTGCCTCGGCCTCCCAAAATGCTGGGATTACAGGCGTGAGCCACGGCGCCCGGCCCCACTAATTGTTTTTTCATGACCTATCTTGTGTGCTCCTAGGTAAGATCAGATGGAGAGCAGGAGAACTACCTGAGACACTTTTGAGGGACAGGCATGTAGGAACTGCTGCAATTAGAGATCAAAGAAAGGTAGAGGTCGCACTGTGAGAATCGGGGAAAATCCTCTGTTACTGGGGAGTGGGTTGGGGAGCAGAGAGAAACCCCCTTCACTCTCTGTTCTCACAGGTGCATAAGAAGAGAGGCCTGATGAGGTCTGAAGGCAGGGCAGGACAGGTAGCTGAGAGAAGTAGATTCTCTGGTCTTTCACTGAGTGTGAGGCAGCTACTGCCCGAGGTTGGGCAAGGGATGGAAGCCCTGAGAGATTCTTGAGGTGCAGAGATAGAGGCTTGCTGAGGATGAAAGTGGACAGAAAAGCTAAGAGAGGCTCCAATGCTGACCATGGCACTCTGCAAGAAGAGAAAAAATGTGTATGTAGAGGTTTATGAGGGAAAATCGTGAGTTTGGTTTTGGATATATATTACTTTTGAAATCAAGTGTCCAAGTAGATATACCAGTTATGCAGTTGGATAATTTATTTAAGCCTGGAGTTCAAAAGGAGGTCCAAAAGGAGAATTGAAAGGGATGAGACTTGCTGAGCCCCTCCAAAGAGTGTGTGGTGAGGGAGAAGAGAAGAGGACCAGGAACTGAGCTCTGCAGCTCTCCTATAGGAGGTGTGATGCAAAAGATGAGGAAGAAACAAAGGAAGCCGAAGTGGTAGCTCCAGTGAGACAGGCTGAGACTCAAGTGAATGTGCCATCCTGGAAGCCAACTGAAGAAAGTATACTGTGAAGAAGGAAGTGATTATTTGTGTCAAATGCTGCTAATAGGCCGATTAAAGTTGTAGTGAAAAATGATCATTGGATCTAGTAATGTGGAGATTATTCGTAACTTTGACAAAAGTGGTGTCAATATCATGATCGAAAAAGGGAGAAAGAGCCTGATTGGGATATATTTAAGAAACAATGAGAGGAGAGGAATTGAAGACAGAGAGTATGGACAACTATTCTAAGATGTTTTGTTGAAAAGTAGAGCAAAAAATGGGATGACAGCTGGCATCAGAAGAAAAGCAAGGAAATTCTTTTTCTTAGATCAGAAAAACAACAGCATATTTGTATGCTGATGGTAATAATTTACTAGCATCAAAATTAATGACATGGTCATGATATAGTGAACTGCAACAGGAAAATCCCCAGGTACACAGCAAAGAGGGAATATAATACACAAATTTAAAAATTATTTGGATCTCTGAAACATCTGTTTTGATATTAACCTTTCATTCCTGCAATAGTTATTTTAAGCATGTTCTCATTTTCTCTTGTTCAGTGTTGCCAGGTTATTATAAAGTGTATTAGACTTTTTGAAAAACATTTTTAAAAATACTGGTTTTTTCTCATTTGTTTCATTAATTTATATTTTGTATTTATAATTTTCCCTTTATCTTCTTTAGGGTTATTATGCTGTTTTTTTTTCCCAGAAGCCCCCAAAATGCATGCTTAGCCCATTAAATTTTAGCCATTTTTGTATCGAAAGTTATGTTACCCATTTCTGTGTGGTTACCTGTAATATACCATGAGCAGCACTTCTTGGTGTCTTTGCTCCTTATTAATTCACTTGTCTGAAGTTCCTTTAACTTTCCTTTCTACTTTTCACTTTCACTTTGCAAATCATTTTTTATTCATAACCGCATAAAACATAATTTATTTTGAAAAGTCTCTCATATAATTTTCACTTATTCTAGGATTATAATTTTTCCATTTGTCTCTTCAAATAAAACCTTCAGGTTTGTCAACACTCATTAAACAGTAGCTCCTATTGATAGGATTCCATCCATCTCTTTTGACCTAGTAAGTGAATATAATAATAGATGCCACAGAAATTCAATCCTGTCAGATCTAACTGCCTACATATAAATTTCCATGTCCCGCAAAGGCATCTCATTGAGGTCACATTCTGTTGTATCTTTACTTTGTATCTTGAGGTGCTTGGTGGGGCATGGAAATTTACATGTAGGCAGTTTCATCTGATAGGATTGAATTTCAGCAGCATCGATTATTATATCCACTCACTAGGTCAAAAGACATGGATGGAATCTTATCAACAGGAGCTACTGCTAAATGAGTCCCTTTTCTATTTTTCCCTATTATAATCCTAGTGAAGCTGTAAATATTAGGTACTTGAACCCACAGGACTGATTCTAGTATCTTGTCTGGCCAGAGATATAGCCTTCTGATCTGCAGAACCTTATAGTAATCAGCTACCAACTTACCTGGGGATAAGAGAATTTAAAAAAGAAGGAGAATAAGGAGAAGCAAATGGAGTCTCATGGCTGAAGGGCCAGCATCAATGTGGGTTGAGCCTGGAGTCTCTGGGCATCGTGGGTCTAGGCCTTTTTATGATGCTCTCTGAGTCTGTGATTTGTTCTTGGTCAGTAAAGCCTAACGAAAAGAGAATAACTAAATCTCCCACAGGAAACTTCCAGGGACACACAAGTACATAAATGTGGTGATATCTCAATGGATGAGAAAGCAGGTGAATGCTATTTATTTCCCAAAGATTCAGGATGTCTTTATTGTCACCTGCTTTCTTTATTATTTTTGAAATGCACATGCAATAATCATTGATCTCACTTTATACATCTATCGTTTGCCAGGCAATATAGTAGGAACTGAAGTAAAATTGTTATACACAAACAGTACATAATTAATGGATATAGTTTGGCAAGTTTGCACATATATATTATCTTGTTACCACACCAATATCCAGGTAATAATATATCCATCACCTCCAAATGTTTCCTACGTCCCTTTGTTGTTGTTGTTGTTGTTGTCAGAACCCCTAAGATCGACCCTCTTAACAAATTGTTAAATACAAAATACCTCATTGTTAACTATAGGTACTATGTTTTGGAGCCTATCTCTGTAATTGACTCATTTTGTATAGCTTTAACCCTTGAACAATAACTCCCCATATTGCTCTTTCCCCACTCAATAAAACACCAAACTCTTTTAAAGCACATTCTATATAATCCACTTTATGAAGCTTTTCCTAACACTCTTTTATCTGTTCCCCCCCAGTAAAGGGAACTACTAATATAACAATTACCTATTTTGGATTATTGTGTCTTTTACAAACATTCCTTCATGAACCCATTTAACACTTATCTCCCATTATCTTATTATGAAGTAAAATAAAACTTGACGTGATTTTAAAAATGAAATCACAAAAGGGCTTTGTAAAATTATGATGTACCATTGCTTATTTGTAAGAATTCAAGTTACACTAGGGGTTTCTAAAAATCTTTTGTCTTTATTTGTTGCATATTGTAAGCACAGTGTCTTTTCCAGCTATTTGCTTTGGGAAGAAAAGTTAGAGTTACAATGAACAGCATAGGCTATCTTGTCTAGTCACTTACATTAGAGATGAGGAAATGAGCTGAGGGAAAGGAAGAAACTTGCGCAGGATCACCCAGTGATCTAGCGAGGAAGGCGATAGGGACAGCACTAAGGCTTGGTATTCTGAGCCTCATTCTATTTTCTCCTCTTGCCCCTTCTCTGTTTCCTCCTCTCTTCCCCAGCCTTCCAGAAAAACTTTACAGTTCTGCTGCAATGTCTACCTAAGGACATCCAGAGGAGACCTCACTTTTCATTAGACTGCTTTTTTAAGCACTGTCTTGCATTTTCTTCTTCAGTCTTGTTGTATCCCATTTTTGGCTATAAGTAATGCTTCTGCTGTGCTGTTCCATCCAATTAGTTTCTTCTATTTTCATTGAGAGAAAATTAAAACAAAAAACCATTAGTTTATCTAAATTTGGAAGTTTTAAAACTTGATTAGAATTTCCTGGGATATGGATGTAAGACATATATTTTAAAATATTTTTCATTTTCAAAATTAAAAATCAAACCCATATATTTATCCAGGATGACTACTTGATAACTACTAATCAGATGGGTCTTCAGCAATGCCACAAGGATAAACATCTTATAAATCAATTCCCTGGCGTTATGTGCTACTGAGTTAATACAATTTGATATGGTATCACCTTTAAGCAGGCTTTACGGAGTCACACAAAGGAACAGCACAACAGAACCATAGGGTGGAATGTATAGGGAAAGCTGGGATGTAAAACCCAGCCTTGACTCTGACACTTACTCCACTGTTGAGAAAAGTACTTCAGTTCCCAGAGCCTTAATATTTTCCTCTATAAAACAGGAAAAATAGAGCCATATTTAAGGTTTTGTCAAATCTTGTTGCTGAGTGATTTTACAGTGTCTGCAGCTATCCTCTCTGCTAATCATAACAAGGCTAACGAACTGTTCTTTTGTTTAGTTAAAGTTATTTTTGCATTTGTTTACAAATTGTTATTCTTCCCTTCACAGAAAAGGAAACATTTTAAAGGTAATTTATAAAAGGTTAAGAGTCTCTTACATATCAACTCTTCACAATGTGACAGAGTAGCTTAACCCCATCCCTAAGAGTATAGTTTCAGATCAGCCCCAAACCTATGTGGAGTGTGGGATACAGAATATATTTCAAACACATGCAAAGGCACACACACGTGCGCGCGTGCGCACACACACACACACACACACAGTATTACCTAAGGCAGAGGTGCAGATGACAATCTTGGATAGACAGCTCAAAACTCTTAGTACTAAAATAATCCTAATAATAATTTTCCTTCCAAAGTTACCACCAACAATCAGATCTCTTAAGGGTTGGTGCCTTAGGTTTTCGAGCCTTGTGTATCTTTTGGCTTTCTTTTTTGGTTGTGTGGTATTTATCTCATAGAAAGAAACCTCTTCTTCATCCTATGCCAGTGCTGTATTGTAGGGGCTTGTTGACATCTTCCTGATATGTAGCAATCCAGGTGACTGGCCTCTGGCTTCTTAAGAGCAAGGCCATCACATGCTTTTTTTTTTCTTTGTCTGCTTGTTTCCTTGTAAGGGTCCCACATACAGTGGGCGCTTAACAAAAATTTGATCAACTGAACTCATTTTCTATCTCCGTTCTCTCCACTTCAATCTTTCCCTTTTACTTCTTCCAGATTAGTTTTCCTACAGCAAAATGGGAATTGTCCAAAAACTGCCCTTCATCTTTATAACTTGAAGGATTCATTTACCCTAAGCCGTCCTTTTAAATTTACTATCACAGACTAGATAGAAATGTCTGGGTTCACGAAGAATAGGCATGTGTGCCACCATATTTTCTGTTGAAAACTTTGGAAAGTGTCTTTTAGCAAACAACATGAAGCATAGAATTTGACCATCCCTGACAATGTACAAGGATCATCCACATTCTCACATGTCCATGGCTACTTTCCCACTCCTTCCCCAACCTTGAAATCTTGAATTCAAAAGAAAATATGAGAAGACAGTTTGCCTCATATAAGGCAACAGGTTGCTTAATCTTTCTTGCCTACACACATTCAAGAGCTCCAGAAAATTTTCTGATCTACTTAGAATGCCTGATCATCTTCTTGGGTAAAAGCAATAAGTCTTACACAGAATCACCAAAACCATGTCTGTTCAAGGGGTCTTATACCTGTGATTCATGATTGCATGCTCAATGCAGAAGGGCGTGCTCTGTTGCAGGGTCATATCTGGTCATTGTGTTTAAGTTCTAATTTAGAAGACTAGTTGCTGAGGAGGAAGAGGGAAGGATAATGTTAGGAAATGGAATCAAACTTAAGGGGAAAAGTCCAGTACAAGGGACCAACAGTATTGAGGGGCAATAGGTTGAAGATTTCTTAGATTATTGCAATATTTTCAAGGAGGCCCCACGAATCCTTCCTGGCTGACCCCACCAAAGCTTTGGCATAGCCTTTATGCCAAATGTCTTAGACTAACTAACTTTTCCAAAAGAAAATAGAGGAGTTATGGAGACCAATATTTAATAGAATAATGCCTGATTATTTTGCTTTTGAGGTCTAGTAACTGCTAGTAAACTTGCCTAATTAATTCACATTTAGAAGTAGAGTAAAGAGGGTTTCAACCACTTGAAACACCACTGACTTCATTTCATGTGAGAGTTGCTATGGAGAGCTAATGAACTATGAGGCTGCAGGTCTCTCAGCCAATAGGTCTTCTAGATTTCCTATGTGACTCCCTTTTCTGGTCATAGGCGATTTTGCTTTTGCTTTGAGTGTTATAGCACAATAAGGTGTCAGACACTCTACTCTTACCAAGTCTTACACAAAGTTTATCTTGTTATTTGGTGGAGCTTGGCTCATAAAAACAAAAAAAAAAAAACGAGAATGATAAAGAGGAGGACAGCAATCCTCACGGCTGAGGAAAGAAGAAAGCTTGGCTTTATTTCCAGTAGACAGAGAAAACTTCCGTCTGTGGCTCTCTAGCACCAGTGGAATATCTCTGTTTGGATAATAAGTGTCCTTCCATACCTCATTACGCATATTCACAGAGATGTACTATGCACACAAAATAACCTTCATAGGATGACTGAGAGTCCATGTTTTATTGGACACTAAGTTCATTAGAATGATGTGGGTGCACAGTTTTGACCAGAAAACCTTGTTAAATGGGAACATAAGCTACCAATATTTTGGCAAAAGATTAAGGTTTATGAACAAACAACCATTTATGTTAAGTTACAATTAATTAGGCCATGTTGAGAAACCTTTTAGTTTAGTTAATGATTAGACATTTTGTTAGTGAACCTTCCCAGAGTTTACTAGCCCTATTAATCCCCACTTTGCCGCTGGTCTGAACCCCCACAGTGCCTTGTTTATGGTACAGTGCCTACTGCCTTGTATGTTAGATTAGTGAACGTATATTTGCCTCCTCTACTACTGCAGGAGTTTCTTGTTTGCCAGGACAGGGCTATATTCCTCAGAGTTGAGGAGGAGTTGAATCAAGTGGTCATTTATTCTCAAATCCTCTTCATCAAGTGAAGCAAAACAGGACAGTGAAAGGTCACTGCACATGGAAGCAGGAGGTCTGGATTTCAGTTCTAAATCTCTAGATCTATTACTAACTGGAGGTATGGATAGAGTCAGGAAAATTTTCTTCCTTAAGTCTTGATAGCACCTATGTAGGTCCAGATCCGTTGGATCTAGATAAGGGGATTCTCAATAATTACTGTGCATAAATCAACTGAAAGAGTTAGTTTGCAATGCAGATTCTTAGCCCCATTCTATGAAATTTTTACTGTTTTATAAATTGATAAATAATTTTTATTAGACAATGTAATTTTCCTTACTTGCACCAGCATACAAAAATATTGAATAATATTAGCAGCAGAATCTTTCAACAAAATATCTATGTATAGCTATTAAACCACTTTGTTTCACTGCTTTTTATTTTCTTTTATTTATCACTATTGTCTTCATTATTATCGTCACACATTATTGAATACCCATCATGGAGCATATGGCATAAACATTGTTTCTGCTCATAAGGAGTATGTATTCTCTACATGTTTATAAAATTAATGCCTGAATAAGTTTGCTTAAACAAGGCAGAAGTTGATTTCTTTTTCACTTAAAATTAACCTGTAGTTATACCATTCAGGGCTAGTACAGATTCTTTCTTATATCATTAGGGATGCAGGTCCCTTCCAGCTCTTTGCTCTGCTATACTTTAGAAAAGGTCGTAGTTTGGCTGCTAAATTCCCACCTATTATTTCTGAATTCTAGACAGCAGGGAGAAAAAAGGCATGAGAGAATGGCAAAGGAACATCTACCCTTCCTTTTTAAATTTTTTAACCAACCCCCCTTAAAAACACTTTGTTGAGACATGATTACATTCAAAAAGCTGTACCTATTTAATGTGTATATCTCAGTGAGTTTGAGAATAAGGATACATTGTGAAAGCATCACTACCATCAAGATTATAAACATATTCATCACCTCCCAAAGTTCTCCCTCCCATTCTAATTATTATTTTTATTGGTAAGAATAATTAACATAAAATTCACCCTCCTATTATATTTTAAGTATGCAATACAGTATTCATAGCTATAAGCACTAAGCTGTAAATTAGACCTCCTGAACTTATTTATGTGGTATATCTAAAACTTTGTACTGTAATCACACCTACACACTTACCTGCACCACAGCTCCTGGCCAGTCTACCCTCTGCTTCTGAGTTTGTTTTTTTGAGATTTCAAATACAAGTGGAATCATACAGTATTTGTCATTCTGTGTTTGGTTTATTTCACATGACTTCATGCCCTTCAGATGCATCAATGTTGTCACAAATGACAGGGTTTCATTATTATATAATACTGAATAATATTCCATTGTGCATATATATATATATATATGTATAACATTAATTCAGCCATTCATGAATGAATGATAACATGTATGTCTTCTTCATAGATCTTGACTATTGTGAACAGTGTTGAAAGGAACATAGGAGCGCAGATATCTCTTTCACATACTGATTTCAATGACTTCATATATATATATTTATATATATGATATATATATTATATATAAAATAAGTGGGATTGCTGGAACAAAATGGTATTTTTATTGTTAATTTTTGAGAAACCTCCATACTGTTTTCCAAGGTGGCCATACTAATTTACATTCCCACCACCAGTATACAAAGGTTCCCTTTTCTCCACATCCTTACCAACACTTGTTATCATCCATCTTTTTGATAATAGCTATTCTAACAGGTGTGAGGTGATATTTCTTGGTTGTTTTCATTTGCATTCCCGTGATGACTAGAGAGGGTAAGAATTGTTTATATATATGTTGTCCATTTGTATCTCCTTTTTCGACAAATGCTTGCTCATATATCTTTGTTCATTTTTATGTTTTTAATTTTTATTTTAGACACAGAGGATACATGTGCAGGTTTGTTACATGGATGTATTGTGTGCTGCTGAGGTTTACAGTATGAATGATCTCATCACACATGTAGTGAACATAATACCCAATAGGTAGTTTTTCAGGCCTTGCACCCAACCCTCCCTCCTCCCTCTAAGAATCTCCAGTGTCTGTTGTTTCCATATAAGTGAGAGCTGAACAGTGTATAACCCAATGTTTAGCTCTCACTTATACATGAGAATATGTAATATTTGGTTTTCTGCTCCTGCGTACCACACCACACTGGGCTAATTTTTATATTTTTGGTAAAGATGGGGTAGCTTCAGCATGTTGGCCAGGCTGGTCTTGAATTCCTGAGTTCATGCGATCCACCCACCTCACAAAGTGCTGACATAACAGGCATGACCCAGTGCACCTGGCTTTTCTGAACTTTTTTAGCTTATATTAGGTTTGTCTGTTCTAGAATTTTGTATACATTTATTTATATTATAGGACACTTTTTAGCTTAGCTTTCCCCACTCGGGGTTAGAAAGATTATATTGATCCATGATCATGATGTCGATTCATAGAGTTGATTATTCCCATTTATTGATAAATATTACTCCATAATATGCATATAATTTATCAATTTCCTCTCAATAGACATTTGAGCTGTTCCCAGGCTTCAGCTATTGTTAATAGAACTCAAGGACACATTTTTAAAAGAAAAAATTTCAACCCAAAATGTCCTTTCCTTTTGGCTCTCCAATATTGTGTCAGGGTTATATATTTGTTGTCTTGAAAATCCAATTACATTGAACAGGAGGTGTCTCTAGAATCAAGGTTCAGTATATGGTGGTCTGGCTGTGTCCTGGAATGTAGCCCTTATTAGTTTTATTGAGCATTTTCCTATATAAATTGAAATCAAGTTGAAGACTCATTTTTCCACAGTAGGACAAATAGAACAGTTTAGGACTTTGGAGAGATAGCAACTTGCTGCTTGCCTGTGCAACCCACCTCAAAAGATACAACTCCTCCAACTTTTGATTTCTGGTGACTTCTCCAAACAATTAGATGTGAATTGACCTTATTCCCTTACATTACTACATGTCGATATTCTGCACCTGGCCAAATACAGTATAAAACTGATGAGCATACATTTCTTTTAGTTTCATATTTTCTATTTAAAGCTACTCTCTTTGGCTGGGCACTATGGCTCATGACTGTAATCCCAGCAGTTTGGAAGGCCAAGATAGGTGGATCACTTGAGGCCAGGGGTTTGAGACCTGCCTGACTAACATGATGAAAGCTGTCTTCCTGAAAAATACAAAAATTTTCTGGGTGTGGTGGCACGTGCCTGTAATCCCAGCTACTCAGGAGGCTGAGGCAGGAGAATCACTTGAACCCAGGAGGCAGAAGGTGCAGTGAGCCAAGATCCCACCTCTGCATTCCATCCTGGGTGACAGAATTAACCTCCATCTCAAAAAAATAAAAAGCTAATCTATACTTTTCTTTTGGTGTATTATTAGAACATAGAAGGCAATAAGGCAAAACTATTGTGGGTATATTAGTGCGTATCTGTAGCACCTAGCACAGTGCCTAGCCCATAACTTGTGTTGAAAATTAAGAGAACCTTCTTCATGACAGATCATTTGGAGAACATGTTATGGGTGTGGGAGAAAAAGATTCCTAACTCTCCACCCCAGAAATAATTTTGCTGATACAAAAATCAGCCAGACATGGTGGCACAGGCCTATAATCTCAGCTACTTAGGAGGATGAGTTTGAGGATAAGGATACATTGTGAAAAAGGTGGGAAAATCACTTGAACACAGGAGGCAGAGATTGCAGTGAGCCAAGAGTGCCCCACTGCACTCCAGCCTAGGCAACAGAGAAAGACTCTGTCTGAAAGAAAAAAAAAAGTTGTTGCTATATAGCACATAATTTCATTGTCATCTCATTTAAAATTGAATAGCACATTTGGGTTGAATTCTTGTGCCTGCAGATACATTTGCTTCTGGCTTAAAATCACTGGCTGTAGGAGGAAACTCCAGCAGAGGGCATCGTAAGGATTTCATAGTGTCTATGGTCATCTTGGTAATTCCTCAGATAATTCCTGGCAATTCTATTAGGTCTTGAACTTCACTTACTTCTTACATGTTTAATAAAAAGAAGTTCAAAACATTGCCATGGCTGTTGAATTCCCACAGGCTTGTCTTCCCTTTAAAATTCATCACATGGTTTGTACTCTTTTGCAGATATAATACGTAAGTTTGCAGGTGGATGCTTTCAGCCAATAAGTTCAAAAGTACTGCTACAAGGGCCAGGCATGGTGGCTCACACCAGTAATCCCAACCCTTTGGGAGGCCAAAGCAGGTGGATCACGGTATCAGGAAACTGAGACCATCCTAGCCAACATGGTGAAACCCCATCTGTACTAAAAATACAAAAATTAGCTGAGTGTGGTAGTGTGTGCCTGTCGTCCCAGCTACTCAGGAGGCCGAGGCAGGAGGATTGCTTGAACCCGGGAGGCAGAGGTTGCAGTGAGCTGAGATTGCGCCATTGCAGCACAGCCTGGTTACAGAGTGAGATTCCGTCCCCCACCGCCAAAAAAAAAAAAAAAAAGTACGCTACATGGACATCCATTGTTCCAGCATCTCTGCCATAATAGCGGAGGAATTATAGAGAATGTCTGTTAATTTCTTTAACTCCAAATTTGTGTTATGTCCCTTGGTCTCCTGTCATACCATAAATTGTATTATTCATAAAATGGACAATTTGTCTACAGTTATTTCTTCTCAGTATGCTACATCTCTTTAGAATTTAAACATAGAGTGTCTCCCAACCTGAAATTGAAAAACCAGAAAAATGTTTTCGGACACCTTTTATTTCCAGCTGTTTTTATGTCCTCTCCTGAATCCAAGTTGAGGGTAAAGTCCATTCATCAGCATTTCTCCTCAACTCACAACAACCTCATTCCACTCCAGTATGATGTTTGTCCCCACAAATTGATGCACATAATTCTTGCTGGCAGTGGTAATGTCCTAATAAAAAAATATCACGAGATGGCGTCAGACTTTATTTTCTAGCTCAGCAGAATTTGATTCCTGTCTGATAAGGAAACCCTATTTTCCCTAGAAACTTTTCACTTTTGTCACAGGTTTGGTTCCCAGGGAACTGGATATAGATAAAGTTTAGTGTGCAGGATGTTTATTAGGAAGTGATGTGAGGATCCACATCTGTGGAAAGGATTGGAGGGAAGCCTTATGTGCAAAGGGACAAGTCTAATGGCAGTGCAGCCTGACATTGTCACCTGGCCACACGGACAGAGCTGTAGAGCTAAGAAGTCCTCCCCTATTTGTCCCAACTGAATCAAATGGCAAAGCCTATGTACCCCTTGCCTCCATTAATGATTGTGTGCTTGCCACTTGTGGAGGATGAGACTTTGAAGCAGGTGGCTTTCTGTGGCTGAAGAAAACCTTAAATGTGCTGACAAAGCTTTCCAAAGAGACAGAGAATGGCATCTGCCAGGTATGTTGCCCCTTTCCAAAGAGGAAGCAACAAGGGTAATGGCCTCCAATGGCTCTGTATGCAGATAGGTGGACAGTAATGTCTGTCCTTCCTGTGACCTAAGAAGAACAGTTGGCAGACTTGCAGCCAGGCAGTTAGAGGTGACACAGTGTTAGGAGATAAACATCTGTCAGAAGCAGTGCTTCTTTGAATCAGGTGTGACACGAGCCTTGCATCCCTTGCATGGACCCCTTCCCCATTATCTTGCTGTCCTACCTCATGAAGGTGGGTGGGTGCTGGCTGGTGGGTGGTCCCTGTACCAGGTACACTTTGCCTGCAGTCTTTCCACATGAGTTCCAAGGTACCCCATGTGGTCATCCATGAACGTTGTGTTTTCCTTATGCTGCATGTCCTTTGCCTTTGAGGAACACGTTTCATTTGACTCTGAGTCCAAACAACTCAAGTGTCCCTATATCTGTACATTGTCCTTCACTTAAGGGAATCTCCAATCCCTAATGACTTTCTTTTATTTTTGCTATTAATATTATAACAATTAACATTGTCATTATTATCTTCATTGTTGATATTCAGTTATTTTTATTAATAGAGTTACTGTGAATTATTATATTGTAGCTACTTACACCAAGATGAAGATAATTTATTAGTTCAGGAAGAATCTGCATTCTGAAGACAAATAGAAGTTCCAGCTACAGATGGGCAGACACATGCCCTCTCAATTCCTGATGGACCTCCTAGTGCCTTCTGGACCTAAGGGGCCTCCCTCAATGTTCCAAGATGCCACCAAGGCAGGGATCAGCTCGTGCATTCCTGAGAACATCCCGGATGAAGTGAGGCTCTGGAAAAATGCAAGAGTTTCCACATAATCCCAAAAAACACTACAGGTGAACTGGATGCCACAGAAAGAGGAGTGGTCTTTGTCACAACGAAATCAACAAAATTATTTCGAAGTCAATTAGGAAACTCAGAAATCACTCTTGCTACCATTAAGAGGAAGAACAGGAGCCTGTGAATGGCATCCCTGGCCTACCTGAGACTCCAAAGATATTTCTCTGTGGCTTCTGACAGCAGAAATCTCTGTGATTTTCAGAAAGGTAGGGACAGCTCCTGCCAGCCCATCCTTCTGCAGAATGTGTCCCAGCAGATCAGTGGCATGGAACCATCATGGACAGCACAAAGGCTCAAGGGCAGCATCCCAGGCCGGCCTGTGACTCTAGATAAGTTCTGAGTCCCCATGGGGGCTCAGGAAAGGTTAGTGATGACCTGGAAAGAAGGGACAGGCTGAAACCGCCCCTAAGCAATCTGCAGGATTCCAACTTCAGCAGGAAGCCAAGGACCAGCTATTACCACACCTGCGCCCCCTGAAAACGCTGGATACAATCCCACTCTGCAGAAAGTTCCACATAGAAGTGGCTGGGAATTTTGCCTTCTAGACTGCATTTTACACTGCCTCTGGACATGTGATGAGAAATTTAACATTGGTGTATCTAACTCTGACATTTTTCACGAAGTGATTTTTTAAAATATGGTAAAAAAGACAAAATATAATTCAAACATATGCATTATATGTCAAAGTATGCTTCGCTGGCATCAAGTAGACTCACCTTGAGATACAATCTTGGACAACCTCCATCTTCAGAATATCTAGTTTTTCAAACCAAAACTCTCCAACCAAAAATCAATAACATCAAAAGTTTGCAACTACAAGCCGACGGAAAATAAATACATGAATTCTACCACAGTGAATTGGACTGCACTGGGAAACACAGATGAAGAAAGCCAACACCGCTTTGTCCTTCAGTACCTGGCTCCCTTTTCAGCTCGTCTTGCGACTCCAGGCATTATGCCTGAAAAGTCTCCTGGACGCCTGTGAGGCTCTAATTCCCTGGGACCCATTGTCATGTCTCTGGATTTGCGAAGATTAACCGGACCTTCTGTGGAACTCCCGTGTCCCTCAACTTTTGTGACATGTCCCCTAATTCTGCCCATGGTCATCTGCACCTGCACGACTTAGGGTCCATGTTCCTTGGACGGGAAGAGACAGGCAGGAGTCGGAATGATGAACCAGCACACTGGGGCATTTTCTCATGTAGCCCAAGTGACCCCATGGTCTTCTTGAGCTTTGGAACCAGTCGCGTCCCCCTTGACACTGCACCCGACTCCCAGTTTCTCAATCTTGTTGGCCCTCCGGCGATCTCCCGTTGGATGAATTGCATCTGCTGAAACTCGAGTCCCCTTTGATTTGTGCTTCATTAATTATTCATGATTCAGGTTGGAAGGCCTGCTGACGACCCCCTGTGGCCGTTTTCCGAGCTTTCCGGTCACATCGTTTCCTTCCACCCTCTTTGGTTCCTTGTGGTCCTGCTCCTTCTGCTGTCAGAGGAGCAGAGAGTTGATCTTATTGATTCTGGATACGGATACTTTGTAGGTGATCTGGATAATCAAGATAACGACCCTCAAAAGCGGCGGAAAGGGAGCAGCCATTTGGTGTGTCTCAGCAAATCCCGCTGAGTTCCGAGGCCGCCTAGGTATGCAATCCTGCTGAGAGTTGTTCCCAGGTCAGAGAATGGAGAGAGCCTGTGCATGATGGGATATCCCTGCCTAGATCTTTCAGTGAGTCTCTACCTCAGCTACTCTTAGGATCAGGGGGAGAACCATGGAAAGGCCCGGTGTCAGACATCCGGAAAGAAGAGGGATGAATGTTTCACCTCTGAAGTACATCCCAAATGTGGGAGTTAACTTCAGCTTTGCTGGGGTCTACTTGGCCAGCGAAACTCTGCCTGGTTCATTCGCACATCCGGAAGCCACTTCACGGGGAGCCGTCGCAACCGGAACCACACACTTGGCATCGGCGGTTGAGCCAAATGGGGACTCGTGGTGCAAGCAACGCTCCCCACGTGTTAGCGTGCGTGAGATTCAATTGGCGGAATTTTACTAGGTGCGTGTTGGTAGAGCGGGGCTGAGGTTTTCTTGCTCCTGTGGATGTATAGGAAGTCAAAGGTCCTGCCCAGCCCTGCGGTCCCCTCAGTCAACTCTGTTTCGGAGACATAACGATTTGGATTGCTAACAAGTCAAGAAATGTTCAAGTCCTTGGATGTAGGGAAAAGAAAGAGAGATCAGACTGTCACTGTGTCTATGTCGAAAGGGAAGACATAAGAGACTCTATTTTGAAAAGGACCTGTACTTTAAACAATTGCTTTGCTGAGATGTTGTTCATTTGTAGCTTTGCCCCAGCCACTTTGCCCCAGCCGCTTTGACCCAACTTGGAGCACACAAAAACCTATGTTGTATAAAATCAAGGTTTAAGGGATCTAGGGCTGTGCAGGACGTGCCTTGTTAACCAAATGTTTACAAGCAGTATACTTTGTAAAAGTCATTGCCATTCTCTAGTCTCAATAAACCAGGGACACAATGCACCGTGGAAAGCCGCAGGGACCTCTGCCCTTGAAAGCAGGGTATTGTCCAAAGTTTCTCCCCATGCGACAGTCTGAAATATGGCCTCGTGGGATGAGAAAGACCTGACTGTCCCCCAGCCTGACACCCGTAAAGCGTCTGTGCTGAGGTGTATTAGTCAAAGAGGAAAGCCTCTTGCAGTTGACATGGAGGAAGGCCACTGTCTCCTGCTTGCCCCTGGGAACTGAATGTCTCGGTGTAAAACCCGATCGTACATTTGTTCAACTCTGAGCTAGGAGAAAAGCTGCCCTGTGGCGGGAGGCGAGACATGTTGGCAGTAATGCTGCCTTCTTATTCTTTACTCCGCTGAGATGTTTGGGTGGAGAGAGACATAAATCTGGCCTACGTGCACGTCCAGGCATAGTACCTTCCCTTGAACTTAATTATGATATAGATTCTTTTGCTCACATGTTTTTTGTTGACCTCCTTATTATCACCCTGCTCTCCTAGTATATTCCTTTTTGCTGAAATAATGAAAATCATAATCAATAAAAACTGAGGGAACTCAGAGGTCGGTGCAGGTCCTTGGTGTGCTGAGTGCCGGTCCCCTGGACCCACTGTTGTTTCCCTATACTTTGTCTCTGTGTCTTATTTCTCTTCTCCGTCTCTCATCCCACCCGACTAGAAACACCCACAGGTGTGGAGGGGCAGGCCACCCCTTCACTTGGAAAATCAGTTACACACAAACACGGAATGAGAGTCAAAAGACAATACGTCATCTTTTTGAGAATTTTATTCACTTCAAAACAAATTCAACACACCTGTTTACAAAGGCATTCCAGAGCCCAGTTTTCGAGGCTGAGGAAAGACCCCGAGAGCGCTTCGCACAGCACGCTTCCCAGCGTCCGAAACACTGCTCTCAGGGCGGGGCACAGCGGAAGGGCTGCACCTCTCAGGGTTCCCTAACTTTTCCCTTATTCAGTCATCTAGAGAGCAAATACACAGTAATTCCCCAGTTTCCTATTGACGTCCCAGCGGAAGTCTGACTCCTGCGCGTCACGCAGTTTCTGAGGCAACGAATCTCTGGCACGGAAGCTTTTCCTGGCGTGTTTCCGGAGAACCACGCGAACTACAACGTCCCTCACCAGAATTCAATGAGGCAGAGTCCCTGCATCTGCTCCCTGCCTGGCCTGGGCTCCCACATCCACAGAAGCGCCACAGCCGGGGAGCTTCGGAGTCACCGCACAGAGTCTGCTCTCTGCTCTGCGCTCCTCAGTCCCACAGTCCCCTCCAAGTCACGGGAGCTGGAGGCCAAGGAGCCCCTGCCACCTGCAGTCTCACTGCAGGTCAGAATCGCTGTCCTCTGAGGAGGAGGAAACCTGAAGGTCTTCATAGAGGACGTTCGGTGGGACACGAACACAGGGACCCTCAGACTTCTCTGACACATGAGGGCTCTGAGCGAGGAAGACTCCCAGCTTCTCAGGAGAGTGAAATGAGGGGGCCGCCAGGAGGCTGGAGCTCCAGCGTCTGTTTTCTAGTCTCCGGAAGAGCACTCTGAGAGGCTGGGCCCCATCATGGCTGGCCGCTGGGTGATGGGACATGGTGCAGGCCTGGGCAGTGGGCAGGCAAGGTCTGCTGTGCGGAGGCTGCCGGTCGACGCCGGGCACCTGGGCGGGTGTCCTCCTGCCCATCTGGGGCGACGTACTTGGTCCAAGTTCGGTTGCTGCTGGCGGAGGTTGGAGATTCTCCAGGGCCCCCAGCTCACCTCCCTGGATGGCGCTTTCGGGGATCTGGAAGGGACCCAGTCTCGGTTTCTTGGGGAAGTTCAGGCAACCCTGAATCGGAGCCTGGGCAGGTCTCTTGGCTCCTGGTCTGAAGCTGAGATTGGAGCCTAGGCCCAAGCTGTGTGTGGCGGCTGGTGGGCCGGGCTGTCAGGTCACCGCAGGACGTTTGTCTTGTGCCTGGGGTCTGACGGCCTGGAGCAGGCCGTGGGTTTTGGAGGCAGCCTGGGGAACTTCTCGGCAGCCACCCTCACGGCTGCTGTGTGTCGGCTTCACCACGAGGAGAGGCTCGGGGCCCTGGTGCCTGACTGCAGGCTGAGGGATGTCGGCCGCAGCACCTGTCTGTCTTTCCTTTGGTCCAAGACTTGAGGAGGATCTCAGACTGGCTTTTCTGAGGGGAGACAGTGAAGCCAAGACGGAGCCTCTGCCAGACATTTCGGTAGCTGAGCGATCAGCGAGTTCAGGGTCCACGCACGGCCTCTTACTTGTTGTGTGGACCGGCATTGGCCGGCTTGCAACCTGAAAGAGAGGAAACAACACAGGTTAGAAGTTCCTCAGCATGGAGCCAACGTGAAAATCAAGCACATCCAAAGACAAGGTGCACACGCCATGAAATTCTTAGTACAGTATCGACAGGCGGTCCTTGGAAGTAGAGACAGACCCTCCACCTGAGTGCTGATCAGGACAAGACACATGAACGATGCGCTCTCGAGCTATGTGTAGCTGATCTAAGCACACCATTGTTCAAAAGATCGCGTCTTGGGCATTAACTGGATCAAAGCGCCTCCACTCAGCCTTCCATGAAGTGGAACAGACTAATGCCCTTCCGAAGGCAGGTTGGTGGCTCAAGGGTACTCAGGACGTCTTCTCTGAACACATGCATGTTCCAGAGTTTAGCCTTCTCCATGTTTGGGGCCTCTGAGGGACAAATTTCCTCATGCCGCTAGGAACATGTTGTTGGCAGGCTTGCCATAATTGGACAGAAAGAAAGCAACAGGAAATACGGCATCTTCAGATGCCTTCGCCTGGAATCAAATTGACCTGGAAGGATCGTGAAGTCCCTGACCCCAAGAAGGCAAGAAAGAGGGGTTCCCCGATTCCCTCCCGCAGACGGGAAGCTGAAAGGAAATCAACCAGGGTGACCTAGAGGACAAAAAGACCAGGGGCCCAGGGTGACACTCACCCTCAGAAAAACAGAAGATTCCGTGGATCCTTTTCGATTTGGCAGCAGCTTCTCTGGAGGTTTCCCGGAAAATATGTGGAGGAGAGCCTTTCTCTGCGGGTCTTGTTGCCTGCAGAACAGAAAAAGGTCAGGCCATGGCCCCTGGTTTTCCCCAGGAGACAGGGAGAACCCTGTCTGGGGCTCAGTCCCATTCCGTGTTTTGTGATACAGAAATGGACATCTGGTGCCCTTTCCGCCTCTGCACCTTCCCTCACGTGCCAACCTTCCCATCCTCCAGGTGGCCCTCTAGGCTTCCGAACTAAGGACTGTGATTTGGATTCCATCGCTTTTCCCCCTGTCGTGGGGAATCTGCACGAAGCACCCCCGCCTCTCCCCGTCCCTGAATCTCCCAGAGCCAAAGGAACTCCTGGGTGTGGAACGCCGGAGGACACGGAGCTCCGGCCTATTTCTCTGCAGCGTTCCTTCCCTGGCCCGGAGACGGAAAGGCACACGGTGTGCAGGTGCAGAGACACCATGTCCTTAGGAGGCAGTACCCTAAGAGTGGTGAAAACCCCTCCCACTGCTCACCTTGGTCTCTCTTCCTTCTCTCCCTTATCCTTGTTCAAGGGCCCCGGGTTGGCTTCAACCTGGGGCTTCCATGGTTTCAGGTTTTCCTTCCCTTCCTTTTTCCCCAAGGTCGGTGGAACCAGGGCTGCCTTCCAGCACTTCATGGGGCACCTGGTACTTCTGACCGTGTGGCCAAGGGCCCTGCAGTTTTTGCACTTGAGCTGTGGGTGGAAAGGAAGTGATGTCAGTGAGTGAGCTGAAGCCACAGGCAGCGATCCCACGTCAACATTGAGACGGATTGTGAATTCAGAGCTGAATAAGGATTCCAAAGAGGGGACACCAGCATGGGGGCCATTAAGTGCTGGGAGAGTTCGGATGCGATGTTCCCTCCCAAAGCCCATGTGACGGAGGAACTCTAAAAGGCAGGACTCAAGGTTCTAAGGGGCACGATGGTGAACCCGATGTCAACAGCACAGCCAAACGTGGCTGCACAGGACTCTAAATAGAAAGGGAGGTTGCCCCCAAGAGTCTCTCAAGGGGCCTATCGGGCCGCGGAGGAGGTCCCAAGCCACGCCCACCTTGGATGGGAAAAGCAACCTGGGTGGTGGTGACAGAACTCTTTGGAATCCAACCCAGTCTCTGAGGACCGTGTGACAGCCCCTCCCCCCGTCCCCACCCCCACCCCGATACCCAAGAGATCCAGGGCTAGACTTACCCTGGGATCTTCTTCATCGGGCGGGGGAGCCCTTGGCCCAACTGGGGCCCTCCGCTGCTTCTGGAGGGTCTGGGCTCTCACCAGTCTCTTTGCCCCAGGTTTGGGGTCACGACGTGCCGTCATCTTCGTCTCCTGGGGGTTTTGTGACCGCCTTTTTCAGGGGTTGACTGTTGGGTCACCTGAAACACACACAAACACACACATGTGGATGGTTAAGCACGTTGGATATTCACACACCCACAGGAAGCCCCCCGCTAACTCCTTGCCGGTGTGGTCATGAGGAGACCTCACCACCAGTCGGTCAAATCTGTGGAACACAATGTGCTGTGTGCATCCTCAGATATTGTGTGTTCCTCTGCCATGATTACCTAGTCCAAGAGTAAACTTCGCCTGCCACAGGGCCTGTGGCCTAGGTATGGGGAGTTGAGCTTTCAACTCCAAACTAACAACTGATTCTGGAGACTGGACTTAGGTCTATTACGATTCACTCCGGTAGAAGACACGATGATTCTATCTCCCTTGACGGACAGAATGATCGAAGCCACAGGGCATGGCATTTGTCACCCTTTGGCAGGTCTGTTTGAAATCTGGGATAAGGGATGCTTCCTGTCACAACTTGAATCGCTACTCTTGCCATTTCATTAGGCGACTTCCAAACACAAATTCATAGAGAGAAGTTATCTTCCTCTCTACCACACTAGCAGGTGATGGTCTTTCCTGTTCTATCTTTTTGGCTTTAGCTCCAGCCCCTCTTTATTTATTTTTCTGGTATTTTACACGTGCCACACGAATTCATCTAAACAAACGGTGAATAAGTGCCATATCGTATCGACGTCTTACACCGCTGAAGGGCAAACCACCCTTTTTTCCAAAGTCCTTTTTCCATTTACCCACCAATTCAGCATGCTGCAGTACATTTCTTTTCACATTCCCATCTTGGTCTTCTCCCACACGTGGAGACGGAAATGCTTTCTCGTTTTCTGTTCCAAGAATTGCTAGTAACGAGAACACATCCTACCCCATCAGCAAGGCCCAGTGTGATCGGTTTCTCTCGGCGTCCTTTGTCTCTTCCCACCCACCCCTCAGGGATTGCGTGAAAAAAACAACTGTACAGTGAAACTAACCTGAAATTACACGTCTACTTTCTTTCCCCGGCTGGCGCTGAGATGGGCAGGTGCTGGAGCAGCCCCCCTGGAAGCGATGCAGCATCCAGGAAGATGGAGGAAGGGGCGGAGAGGGACCTCTGCTTTCCAGGCTGCCTTTTATACTGCCTCTGGTCACCTGACGTGGAACGTACCCTAACCTAATCAGTTACATGTAAGTTAATTGCAATTAACTTAATCCAATTACATGACCCGGAAAGGTCTATCTGCACAGCCCACTCTAAGATCATGTCCACTGCTGACAGACATTCTAAAACCTACGTGTACAGCTGCAAGCTTTGAAGAATAGATGTTCCCCGTCAGACATGTAACACTGGTGCCTGTACCCCTGTCTTTTTTTCCATCTTTTTTGTTTTTGTGTTTTGTTTTGTTTTAAAAAATGTGGTAAAATAGACACCTTTTAATTGGACCATATTTACTCTACCTCGACGTAGGCCTCAGTGTCTTCAAGGAGATTCTCCTTGACATGCAGTCATGGCCATGATCCATCTTCAGAGTTTCTCTTTCTTCCCCACGGTAGGTCTGTCAGCAGAGAACCCTGACCACACCCTCATGTGTTTTCTCCTCCAGGAGGCGCTTGGAAACCACCGTCAATTGGACCGCACTGGGAAACACAGATGAACAAAGTCAACACCGCTTTGTCCTTCAGTGCCTGGCTCCTTTTTCAGCTCGTCTTGCGACTCCAGGTACTGGAGTCCAGGGAGGGGTACGTCGCCTTTACCCTGTGCTTGCCACGATCTTGTCTCCTTAATCCTCACTGCAGTTCTCTGCCATAGAGTCTTATACTGCTTTACATGTGGGAAACTGAGGCTCAGAGAGTTTCACAGCAGGGCAGGGAGCCCAGATGTGAATCTGTAGATACCAAACTTTCTAATTTTTCAGTAGTTTCCAAGCATCTTTTATTTTTCTTGTTTCTTCGTTGGTGTCTTTTTTTTTTTTTTTTTTTTTTTTTGAGACAAAATCTCTGTGCCCAGGCTGAGGTGCAGTGGTGTGATCTCAGCTCACTGCAACCTCGACGTCTCACATTCAACAATTCTCATGCCTCAACCTCCCGAGTGGCTGGGACTACAGGTGCCCACCACACCCAACTTATTTTTGTATTTTTAGTAGAAACACGGTTTTGCCATGTTGGCCAGGCTGGTCTTGAACTCCTGACCTCAGGTGATCCACCCGCCTTGGCCTCCCAATATGCTGGAATTATTGATATGAGCCATTGGGCCCGGTCATGTCACTGGTGCCTTAACCAAGCCTCTTTTAATTTTTCAAACGGAAGAGCCCCTGTCCCTCAGTTACGGCTGCTGAGCCCTTTCAAGGTGAGTCAGTGAGGAGGGAGAAAAGCGGAAGTGGTGTGGGAAGAGGCGGGGTCTGGGCCAGCTGCTGGTCCTGCTCTCCTCCCTCCTTTGGCCTCTAGGCTCCCAGGAGTGGTTTCGAACCTGCGCCATGTGCTCTGGAGGCTGTGGCAAGGCAGGCGCGGCTTGGAACCCGCACCATGTGCTCTGGGGGCTGTGGCAAGGCAGGGGCAGCTTGGAACCTGCGCCATGTGCTCTGGGGGCTGTGCCAGGGCAGGGGGAGTCCTCGTGTCCCCTGCGCACAACACAGACAGAAGGCTGGGTCCACCCAGTGGGCGGTCGGGTGCCAGGCCAGTGCTTACCCCGCCATGTTTGCAGCCCGAGGCCAGCTGGCTGCAGGTGCAGGACTAGGCGTCAGGGGTCAGGGTGCACACATCCCTGCAGGTCTCGGGGCTCCTGGGTTGCTTCTGGAAGGGCACAGATGGGGCCTGACTGGAGCTGCCGAGGGGTGGAGCTTCTGGGGAAAGGATCCCTCCTAGGGGGAGTGTCTTGGGCCTGGGGCCACGTGGCAGGGACAGAGACGGGTCCATGGCAGTGTCTGCTCTTCTCTGTGAAGGCAAAAGGCCTCTGAGGGAGTATTACAGCCGCCTCATCCACCAGAAGCATTTCCAGCAGATCCAGGTCTGCACCCCCTGACTGCAGGGCCAAGGACTACCCCCGCTTCTAGGTGAGAGGCCAGCAGGAGGCTCAGGGAGGAGGCGGGGCCTTAAGCAGGGGGAGCAGGGGTGGGCATGATGTACTTTTTCTGAAAAGGTGGCTCTGGAGGCCACTTGGGGACAGGACCTGGGCTCTGGCTGAACTCCCGGGAGGAGGCTACTTCCTGGTGTGCCAGCCCCTCCCTGCCAGGTCGCCCCAGAGGCCCTTTACCAAGGGGTTTGAGGAGGCCACGTCCTTTCAGTCTGCCACGCCCTCCATTCCATCCTCTTCCTTCCTCCAGGAGGGCTGGGCCTGGGTTTGGGGCCACTGTTGCCCAGGTGGGGGAGGGCAGTGGCTTTGGGAGGAACAGGGACGATGTGTCAAACAGCATCGCCTCTCCCAGTGAGATGGTTCTCCTTTGCCTCCGTCTCTTTCCCCATTGATTTCTCCAAGTGGGGAGTCATGGCTTGGTCCTGATACGTCTCTAGAGCTGCATCTTCCAGCTTCGAGTGAGCAGAGCAGTTGGAGTCTGAGGGCCTTTTCCTGGCAGGATTCTCCAGCTAGTCTTTGTTTTAGACAGTCTTGCTCCGTTGCCCAGGCTGGAGTGCACGATCTCAGTTCATGCAACCTCCGCCTCCTGGGTTCAAGCGATTCACCCACCTCAGCCTCCCAAGTAGATTACAGGATTACAGGAGTCCACCACAACAGCTGGCTTATTTTTGTATTTTTAGTAGAGACAGGGTTTCACCATGTTGTCCAGGCTGGTCTTGAACTCCTGACCTCAAGTGATCCTCTCGCCTTGGCCTCCCTAAGTGCTGGGATTCCAGGCGTGACCCATCATGCCTGGCCCCAGGTAGTCTTTAGAAATGTTAAGCTATTTGGCTTTATTTTCACACTGACAGCTGGTTTGTGGTGGGTGTGTTATGGTTTATTATTATTATTATTATTATCATTATTATTATTTTGAGACGGAGTTTCGCTCTTGTAGACCAGGCTGGAGTGCAATGGCACGATCTTCGCTCACCGCAACCTCTGCCTTCCCAGGTTCAAGCGATTCTCCTGCCTCAGCCGCCTGAGTAGCTGGGATTACAGGCACATGCCACGGATTAGCATCGCTAATTTTGTATTTATTTTTAGTAGAGATGGGGATTCACCATGTTGGCCAGGCTGGTCTTGAACTCCTGACCTCAGGTGATCCACCCGCCTTGGCCTCCCAAAATGCTGGGATTACAGGCGGGAGGTGAACCTGGGAGGTGGAGGTTGCAGGGAGCTGAGATTGTGCCACTGCACTCCAGCCTGGGTGACAGAGTGAGACTCTGTCTCAAAACAAAACAAACAACAACAACAAAAAAACAAATTGTGGTTACGTAGAAGTGTCAACTTACATTTTCAGATGTCCCAGCCAGGCCGTGTGGCTGCTTGGCCAGCTTAAGCCACTTGTGCTTGGGGCTGTCGGGGGCCTTATCCAATTTTCACTCCCCTCGGGGGATGTTGTCTCACTGTGCTGGGAGGATTTGTGTTCCCAGGGCAGAGACCAGCACTCTGCCCCACCCCTCTTGCCTAGCAGGGTTGGTGGACCTGGGTGTCTCTCTGGACACATCCTCCAGTGGCCTGGACCTGCCCATGAAGGTGGTGGACATGTTCAGGTGCTGTTTGCCTGCGTGTGCCGTGAACTTCAAGTGGTAGGAGCAGAACCCGAATCTTTCTGGGGATAGCTTCACAGATCCACCGCTGACGGGGAAGCAGTGCAGAGTGAGCTGCCCAAAGTGAGGCCCTGCCCCTTGGTCAGTCCAGCACACACTGGAGGCCACGAGGAGGAGCCCTGCGGTTACTGTGGCTGGGCTGAGCCTCACTGAAGTAGGTGCTTCCATTTAGAGCTCATGCTATATTTAGGTTGGTACAAAAGTAATCACGGTTTTTGCCATTAAAACTGAAAATTACTTTTGCACCAACCCAATATGAAAAAAAAATAAAGCACCTTAAATACTAGAACTCCACTCGGGGCTTTTGCTCCTAGAGTAGAATTGGCGGGAAATGCCTGCAGGCTTACATGGTTTTCTTTGTTTTTCTCTCCCACCATGTCCCTTTTGGCCAAGCTCACATGGTGGGTTTGAATGAGTTAAATGAGTGTCATGCTGTGGCCTCACTCCACCCAGCATAGACGGGTGTTTGGAAGGGTGGCGTTAGAGGAGATTCTAGAAGCAGTAGCCCCAGCACAAGTTGAGCCCTTGGCCCCTGCTCAGCAGCCGGCTCCTGGATGGGATTCAGGGATGCGAGCCCCTCGTGTGAGCTGAGCTCAGGGAATGTGGGGATCAAATCTGGTGTCCTAGAAAAGTCATCTTTTATGTGCTGAACCAGTCCCCAGGGGGTTGCCTTTACTTGTTCCATGGCCATGGAATTAAGAAAAACATGCAAAAGTAATTCTTCAGTACTTGAAGAGCATCCAGCACAGAAGGTACAAACCTTCCTTAAGGCTCCCTCCTCAAATCGGTTTGGTCATTTTGATGTGCACCCCCCCAGGCCTTTATACCCTTCAGATGCCAAATCTAAGAACCAGCTCCCAGAAACCACACGCCCTGTTCCAAACCCCAGCCTGGCTTGAGCGTGGGGTGGGTGGGATCCCAGCTGGGCACCCCAGGAGTCTGGTGTCTTCCCCAGGCAGCTCTCAGGCTCCCTTGGTTCTGTCTGCAGTTTACATGAGCTGGTGAAACATGTAGAAAATGGCCTGATCTTTGAGGAGTCAGAGGAACTGGCAGCTCAGCTGCAGGTAGCCATGTCTGCCACCACGCCAGGGTGGGCAGGGTTCTGGAGACTGGCATCGAGCCACGCTCCCTGATCCCTGCTTCCCACAGCCAGGGTGGGACCATGGGGGGTCTGGTGGAAAAGCTAGTGGGGGAGCAGAAGTCACAGAGGCCTCCTACTCTGCTGTCCCATTTCGGTACAGTAGGCTCGGGAAAGTTAGGACACAACCCCACCTGCCCTCTGGATTTATGGAGCTGACACTCCATAAATGATGCTGGAGCCGGGTGGGCCGGGCTGCAGTTTAGGAAGTGATCGGATCAGGTAGGTGCGTGGGCAAAGGGAACTTCTGGGACCAGCCTTGAAAGATGGGTGGAATTCTGCAAAGGTTACTTGTTTCTTATTGCAAAAAGTAATACATCATTCTTGTCAACAGAATGATTGGGAGGATTTTCAGTAAATGTCCAGGTCAGAAGTCATTTAGACAGGGTACCCCAGTCTCTGTCAGAACCATGGTACTCTGTTGTGGTGTGAAAGTAGCCACAGATCATCTGTAGATTAAGGGGTGTGGCTTTGTTCCAACAAAGCTTTATTCACAAACACAGGCTGTGGGCTGGATTTGGCCTGCAGGCTGTAGTTTGTGATCCTTGATTCAGACAGTTTAGCAAGGCTGAAAAGAACACCCACACCCCCTTGTTACCCACAGATGGGTGGGACTGTGTTGGCCAGAGGCCGAGAGGAGGGTGCTCACAGGGGAACGTACAGCATGTAGAGGCCGGAAGGTGCTCCAGGGCACCAAGTGTGGGAAAGTGGGACATACGGGGAAGTTTCCAGAAAGCATGATGTCAAGTTGGAGGTGGAGCGCTGCTGGGTTGTGAAGGGTCTCAAGTCCAAGTGAGGGGGGTTGTGAAGGGTCTCAAGTCCAAGTGAGGGAGTTAGGGACTTGGGAGGGGTTGTTGTTGGGTCGGGGACCTGGGGTCATCCAAGTGGTGACCTGGGATGGGGTGGGGACAGGCAATGAGTTAAGCTCTGCTCTTTAGCATTTTGCAGATGCTTTTCTCAAACTTTTCTGATCCTGCAGGCAAGCTAAACCAGTTCTGGAAGAACCTGCAAGAGTCTCAGCAGCTCTGATGGGATGAGAGCTGGGTGCAGACTGTGCTCCCTTTGGTTATGGACACATAACTCCTGGGCCAGAGGCTAAAACCCCAGGGCCCCTGCTGTCCTTCCCGCAGCTTCTTGGAGTCTCAGGGCAAAGCCTTTCGAGCAGCGCCTCCCAGTGGCCAGAAGCTGAAATGACGGCAGTGGTGTCACCTGGTGAATGACCCGGGAAGCTGTGGTTGGCCCTGATTTCTTCTTTGGAGTCTCTGAAATGCTTCCTGTCTTCTGTTCTTCATGCCCCATGCCCCTGCTAGCGTATTACTGTTCTGTGACTTCCCTGTGACCTCTGCAGTACTCCTCATCCTGCATTTGGTCTCCAGGTGTCACCTTTCTGCCATGTTCCTAACACTTTCATTCCTGTCTTGAAAAAAGCGCCTGCTGCACCATAAGCCCTGGGATGTGGCAGCTGCAGCGGGCTTGGCTTTGTGAGGAACCGAGTGTGTCCAGGGATGTGGCAGCTGCAGCGGGCTTGGCTTTCTGAGGAACCGAGTGTGTCCACGTTGGGGGAACGTCATCCTTGATACACACGTTTTTATTTGCAGAAAGAAAATGCTATTTTTGGAGCCAGAATTTTCATGTCTGATTTATGATGATTTTCTTGAGAACCAGAACTGCTGGCAGAAAGGGGGCACCCACACGCCTAGACAGCTAATGTCTTATTAGAGGGCAGTTTTGATTCCTGATTTGGAATTTAATAATCTCCAAACATTCCAGTCCAATGAAAGTTTTATCCACTTTCCCATATAAAAATTCTTCCCACGAGAGTGACTTGATTCTCACAATCCCTTTGGAGTCATGTGTGAGTCCTACAGTGTGAGGTTCAGCATTGCCATCTCCAAGTGCTCTCCATAGGGAAACAGTTTCTGGTCATGATGAGCTTCTGCTTCCCATCTGATCCCATCCCGGCCTGGAAACAAAGCACGTGTTTGAGGATGGCGGTGTTTGGGGACAGGACATGAGCGTTTTGTGTGGGGCTGCTAGGACAGGCCTGGCGGGGTGGGGGGTGTCTAAGTCAGTTTACTTGGTTCACAGGTTCCGAGGCCCACCCACATACCTAGAATTCGCCTCCAGGATGGGACCAGAAATCTGGTTTTGCATAGAAATGGCTAGCAGCAGGCACCATGCCGCTGTCCACTCTGTGCCTGCGTCTGCCCCAGCACTTGGCACAGCAGGACAGAAGCAGAGATCTGAACCCACATCTCCCTGGCTGCTCAGTCAACTCACTCTTCACAAAGCTTAGAAAGTGGCCGGGCACAGCCAGACTCTGTCTCAAAAAAAAAAAAAGGTTGGTTGAGGCTTATACTATGTGTGCTGCTTGGCACTGTTTTTTTCACTTAAAAGATATTGCAGGTTTTTTTTCACGTAAGTATCTGAAGAAAGACTTCCTTTTTTTTTTTTTTTTTTTTTTTGCTTTTTGCTTTTTTGAGACAGGGTCTTGCTCTGTTACCCACGCTGGAGTGCAGTGGTGAGATCAGGGCTCACTGCAGCCTCCACCTCATGGGCTGAAGCCATCCTCCCACCTCAGCCTCCCGAGTAGCTGGGACTACAGGTGTGTGCAACCACATCTGGCTAGTTTCTGTATGTTTTGTGAAGATGGGGTCCCACTATGTGGCCCAAGTTGGTCTTGAACACTTGGGGTCAAGTAGTCCTCCTGCTTTAGCTTCCTAAAGTGCTGGGATGACAGGCCTGAGCCCCGCGCCCGGCCAGCCTCCTGTGCGAGGTTGTGTGGGACTCTGTCATGGAACCCAGTATGCCTTCATGTGCTGGCTTGTTTGTTGACTCTGTAGTTAATGGGCTGCCCCACGTGGACAGGCACTGGGTCATCCATGTCTCTGTGTACAGGCAGAGGCTGCTGCGGGTACATCTGTGCACATGGCTGCCAGGAGGGGCTGTGCTCAGGGGGAGCTGGGGCAGAGGCTGGTGGCAATGGGGGGCTTGGGTGTAGTGTGGAGGCACGAGAGCCAGGTGGCCGGGCTGCAGTCTGCGGGAGCTCGGGGGTCACTTGGCCTCTGTGTGTCCTAGTGTCTTTGTCGGTGAGATGGGACAATGACAGCACACCCTCACAGGTGCTGGGGGTTGACAAATGTCAGGTCTGAGGACAGTGGCTGGCCCACTACGGGGCCAGTTTCCCTTCTCTATAGTCACCCTGCTCGTCTTCCATCAACTGGGTGCTCAGGACAGTGGCGTGGTGGATCCGCCTGTACAGCCTGTGCTCCAGCGTCCTGCAGTCCACAGCTGTGTCCAGCCCTGACCCCGACTGCCGCTCCCGCCACCTCCATTTTATAGATGAGGAAACCAAGGCCCAAGGGCTTAGGGAACCCTGCTCTGAAGCACATAGTAGGGCTGCTGGGCTCAGACCCTCCCTCCCTGTGATGAGGTGTCCTCCTCCTGCCGCAAGCCCCCCACGCCCCGAGCCCACCCTGCTCACCGGCCTCTGCCCGAGTTCCCCGCATAGTGTGGGAGTGTGGAGCATCCTAGCTTTTCCCCAGCGCCCAGTTCTTTCACTCTCACTGGAGTCCTGCAGGGACAGCTCGGGCACCATGTAGGCCCGGGTGGGCGTGGGGGCTCACCTAGCTCGGTGGTGAACAGCTGGCACGTCTCTGGGTTGCGGACGGTAAAGGCCACGTAGACCTCAGGAGCCCGCTTGTGCTCCCGGCAGGCAGCCAGCCTCTGCAGGACCCCGACCAGCGACACGATGGCTTCTGGGCAATACAGCACGTCTACAGTGAAAGTTTCAGGTTACTGAAAGGGACAAGTGGAAAGTTCCATTTCATGCTGACCTCAGCAGCAGGGCGAGGCCAGAGAGGCAGCGGTCATATGAGACTATTAGATGCCATTTGACCATTTGGGCCATTAGATGGAAAGGCAATTATTTGGGTGAAAAAGGAGAACCCTTATTAGAGAAAGCTGCAAAAGACCGAAGCAAAAGAAAAAAATCTCCAGACTCACTGGTGTCCTTAAAAAACCAGCTCTGGTTCTCGGCCTGTCTAGAGGGCTTTCAATGACAGAAAGCCTGACCCTGCCGTGAACTTCGTGTTTCAGGTGTCTGCCGATTGGTCTGCTGGCTTGCAGGGGTGGGCCTGTGTCCCTGGCCACCGCTGGACCTGTGGGTTTCAGGGCTGGGACCCAGGACTACAGGCAGAGCTCTGTTCCACCAGAGAGGGGACTGAGTGTGCTCACAGGGGTGAGGGGTTTTTGGTGGCCCAGCCAAACAGCACCTTCTCTCAAGGGCCCTGACCTCGTACCAGAAGTGGTTGTTTTCCTCCTGCGGTCTCTGAAGGACACAGGGCATGGCTCTGGGACAGAGCCATGTGGTGACGACTGTAACGGGAGTATGCCTGTCTCCAACAACAGGGCTGTGGCTTGAAGGTCACCTTAAGAGGCACCCCTGTCCTTTGATGTCACCCTGGAGGCCCAGAGTAACTCTTCTGGAAGCCCCATCACGTCCATGCCCGACAGTGTCCATTGTTCCCTTTTCCCAGAGCCAAGAGCTGGGTAGAGCTGCAAGGACACCGCCTGCACAGGATGCCCGGGGCTGGGCATTACCTGCTGCAATGACAACATCTGGCTGGAAGGCAGAGAGCTGATGGACCATTGCTACGTCCCAGTCCAGCTGGGCCACTGTCACCCTGGGGCTGTCTAAGTTGCCAGTGATGTCTGCCTCTAATGAGAGGCCATTGAGAAGGACATTCCCTCGGAGCTGCTCGAGGACCCGGCTGTGAGGGTCGCTGAAGATGTATGCCCGGGGGCGGCACATCTTGCAGATGGCAAGGCCTGTGAGGCCGGCACCACTGCCAAGCTCTAGGACAGTCCTGGCGGGAGGAAAGGGGACCGTGTTTTCGACTGCACCAGGGTAAGCCTGCCTCGGTGCCCTGCCCTGTGCCCCGAGGTCACCTGTTAATCAAGGCTGCCGGGTTCTCGATGGCCCATTCTGCAAGGTAGAGGGCGGCATCCCATGTGACCAGGCCTGTGGTACCGTGGGAGATGATGGCTGTGCTCTTGGAGAGTGTGACCGAGCCTCCTGAGGACTGCACCAAGAGAGGGCGAGAGAGTCAGTCCAGCGATCAGAAGGCAAGTGGCTTAGAAGACAAGTAGCCATCCACCACATGGCTGAATAAACCATGACAGGACCAATCGCCACTCAGCAATGAGAAGCAGCTAACTGTTGACATACCAACAGTTGCACGGGCCTCAAGGGTGTCACGCGGCATGAAAGACACTCATCTCAGGCCACACAGGATTCCATCTATTGAACATTCCTGAGACAACGGAATTCTGGCGATGGAGCACAGGTCAGTGGTGGCCAGGGGCCAGGTGTGGCTATGAAGAGGTGGCTGCCTTGTGATGATTCAATATGCTATGTTTTTCCTTTGTGGTTTTCTGTATCTATGTTTTATCTCATTTTTTTTTTTTTTTGAGCTCTGTCACCCAGGCTGGAGTCAGTGGCACGATCTTGGCTTACTGCAACATCTGCCTCCTGGGTTCAAGCAATTCTCCTGCCTCACCTGCCCAGGTAGCTGTGACTACAGGCGTGTGCCACCATGTCTAGCTAATTTTTGTACTTTTTTTTGAGACACAGATTCACTCTCGTTGCCGAGGCCGGAGTGCAATAGCACGATCTCGGCTCACTACAACCTCCACCTCCCGGGTTCAAGAGATTCTCCTGCCTCAGCCTCCCGAGTAACTGGGATTACAGGCGCCCACTACCACACCCCGTTAATTTTTGTATTTTTAGTAAAGATGGATTTTCACCATGTTGGCCAAGCTGGTCTCAAACTCCTGACCTCAGGTGATCCCCTTGCCTCAGCCTCCCAATGTGCTGGGATTACAGACATGAGCCACCACGCCTGGCCTAATTTTTGTATTTTTAGTAGAGACAGGGTTTCACCATATTGGCCAGGCTGGTCTCGAACTCCTGACCTCAGATCCACCTGCCTTGGCCTCCCAAAGTGCTGGGATTACAGGCATGAGAGACCATGTCCAGCCCTGTCAAGTATTCTTTGAGGACTGGGCACCAGGTCCTTGTGAAGCAGGTAGTGTGTGTCACCTATTGGACAAATGCCCAACAACCCCACGAGACATGCTGTTGTTGAAGTGCTTGATTTACAGACAGGGAAACTGAGGCTAAAGAAGGTTAATGGACCTCATGTCTAAGACTGCAGAATGGGTGAGTCAGGATTTGAACCCACACCCACGTTTTCACTTTGTCTGTGCAGGAAGGGTATCTGGGCTGTGAGGGGGAGGAGGGTGCCTTTCTCATACCAGCAAATAGCTCCGGTGGCCCTGGGTGGACTCCTTGGCCATCAGAGTCTCCGCGAGCACCTCGTACAGTTTGTCCAAAGGCTCCGTGTGGACAGCCTCGTGCTGGGGGCAGACAGAGTGAGAGCTTGTTTGCTTTCGTTCTAATCTGTAAAAATGGCCAGATGATTTTCACCAAGTTTGGAGGGGAGATTTGGGATGGAATGGTATAATACCGGCCAGCTGGTATATAAAATACTCACTTCGTTGGGCGTGGTGGTGTGTGTCGAATAGTTCCAGCTACTCTAAAGGCTGACGTGGGAGGACTGCTTGAGCCCAGGAGTTCGAGGACAGCCTGGGCAACAGAGATCTTGTCTCTAAAAAAAAAATTATTCCACTTGGTAGGGAAACCTGGATGGGAGGGCTTTCAACAAGAGGTGTTGAGAGGGTAGGGTTAGGTGTAGTCTAGGGCAGGAGACAAGGATTCCGTGAGAGCTGCCACATGACCATGACAGAGAGCTCTGTGTTTGGATCAAACACAGAGAGGAGGAAAACAAAAGGTGCTTTTAAGTGAGCCCAGGCAGAACTGTGAGTGCGGCCCATGCTGCAGGCTGTGGCTGTCAGCAGGCTGCTTCTCCACAGCTGGCCCAGTCCTAGGATTCACAGGGCAGCAGCAGGGTACACTGGGTGACTGCTGCCCTCTCGTGGTGGCACAGGGCAGACCTGCTGGTGACCAGAGATGCACCCTTTTGGGGAGAACTAGGGAGAAAGCAGGTATTGGAGAAGCAGGGGATTGTTTATTTGTTAAAAGTGTGGCCCTTTCACTCAGCAGGTCTGCTACTGCCTACTAAGGAATGGCCTCTCGACATCCTCATGTCAAACCCTGCATGTTCGGGCCCATCTTTAAAATCCATCCTAGGCCAGGTGCGGTGGCTCATGCCTGTAATCCCAGCACTTTGGGAGGCCGAGGCAGACGGATCACCTGAGGTCAGGAGTTCGAGATGAGCCTGGCCAACATGGTGAAACTCTGTCTCTACTAAAAATACAAAAACTAACCAGACATGGTGGCATGTGCCTGTAGTCCCAGCTTCTTAGCAGGCTAGGCACGAGAACTGCTTGAACCCAGGAGGCAGAGGTTTCAGTGAGCCGAGATTGTGCCACAGTAATCCAGCCTGGGCAACACAGTGAGACTCTGTCTCAAAAAAAATATATAAATAAATAAATAAATAAATAAATAAATAAATAAATAAGTAAAAAATAAAATCCATCCTATATCAGTCAGGAAAGAGCTCATTCCAGCAGGATCAATGCAGAGAATTCACCAGAGGAACTAGTTCCAAAGGTATGGCAAGAGCTAAAACTTCCAACAGGGGCCCGTGGGGCAACCCAGAGACGGACAAGAGCAGGAAACTCCAAACCCTTTGGTGGGCAGGACAGAGGGTGTGGGTGATGGTTCCAGTGCTGTGGGCTGGTCCAGCCTGGTAGGAATGAGAATCCATATGCTAGGAGCTGAGGCCCCAGAGAAGCAGCTGCTGTGGAAACCCCAGAGGGCAGACTCAGGGAGAGATGCTGGCCTCCCCTTATTCCCACCCTGCACTGTCTCCCATGGGTCACACTCAGCTGCAGCCAGTTGCCTGGGGAGGGCCCTGCCATGCTGGGGTTTGCAAAGCAGGCCCAGGGCCTGGGAAGGACGGAGTGTGCAGCACGCCGGTGGCTATGCTGTCCAGCTACTGGGCGGACACTGCCTATAACTGACCTTTTTGATGAGTTCTGAGAGAAAGAACCAGGCATACTTGACTGACGGCGGGTGCTTCACACACACAGGATGCCTCACAGTCTACGGCAAAGGACAGAACGTTGGTTGCTTGAGAGCCCGTCTTAAGTCTCCTATGAGCTTCAAGCCAACACAGCAGAGGGCAAACTCCAGGCTACCCGATCCCTCAGCAAAGATGCAGATGGACACAGCGTTCTGGCCCCATGCATCTGAAGTTTGTCTTAAGATATAAGCCGTTTCCTAAAAATGCTTCCACTGCAGTGGCACAGGCTATGGCAGCATTTCTAATGCCCATTCTGAGCAGGAACACAGGGCATGTGGGCCCAAACCACCTCCCTCCCAGGGGAGCCAGTGTGAACCAGGGTTTGCAGTAAGGTCAGTCGCCAACTATCTGGCTTTATGGAAGAGGCGGGAAGGCCCACTCAGCAACTGCTCTCTGGGAGCGTGTGTCCCTGGGGACAGGATGGAGGGGAGGGGAAGCTCAGGGTGACTCCAACTAAAGCCGAGAGAAGCCAAGTGCAGGATGAGCAAGTTCCAGGCAGTGGGAACAGCCTGTGCAAGCTCTGAGGTGGCCACGGGCTGGCACTTGGAACGGAGGGCAGAGGGACTGGTGCAGCAGGAGTGGGGACGGCGGGAAAACAGGAGCCTGGAGGGAGAGGGAGGAGACCGTCCGCAGCGCCTGCTGGCTGGGAGGGATGCAGATTCTGCCCAAGGGCAGCAAAGTACCCCAGGCAATACACAGGCTCTTCATGCTGGTGCTGGTTTTTCATTTGTTCTGACCCAGAGTCTCGCTCTGTTGCCCAGGCTGGAGTGCAGTGGCCCGATCTTGGCTCACTGCAGCCTCCACCTCCTGGGTTCAAGCGATTCTCCTGCCTCAGCCTCCCGAGTAGCTGGGACTATAGGCGTGCACCACCACACCCAGCTAATTTTTTTTTATTTTTAGTAGAGATGGGTTTTTGCCATGTTGGCTAGGCTGGTCTTGAACTCCTGACCTTAGGTGATCCGTCCACCTCAGCCTCCCAAAGACCTGGGATTACAGGTGTGAGCCAGTACAACCAGCCTTGTGCTGGGTTTTAAAGCAGCTCTCCCTACATCTCATGCTTCACCACCTATGAGAGTGAGGCTCAGGGTGAAACTCGGAGCAAGGTGCGAGATAACTTCAGGTATCTCCATGCTCGAAGCCCTGACCTACTGTATTGCCCCGAAAGTCTTCCCTGCTGTGGCTGCATCTTTTCCATGTGGATAATCTTGGTTCATCTCTAGCACAGGAATTCTTCACCGGGGCTCCTAGGATGGGCTGGGTGGGTGGGCGTGGAGGATGTCTGCCTCCCCTGAGTTTGTATGGAAAATGTATTCTGGTGCACTTCTTTCTGGGAGGGAGTCTATTGCTTTGTCTTTTCAGAAGGGCTCATGGCCCTTTGAAGGTGAAGACCCAGGATGCAGGGTGATCTGCACTTGGCCCTCAATGCCAAGGTCAGCCTGTGGCTGGGCCAGGTGGTGATCCTGGCTCTCACTTGCATGCAGATGCACTTGAGTCCAAACCCCACCCTGGGCAAAGCAAGGGCCCATTTAGGTCTAGAAGAGACAGGAGTGGGCGGGACAGGCCTCATGAATGCAAAAAAGAAAGTCTCTGAGCATCCACCAAATGCTAGAAGCTGTTTTGCACCTGTCATCTCTGTTTTTGCTGTGGATGGTTTAAAAAACATTCCCTAGATTTCCCCCCTCTTGCAGAATTTTGTATATTCTGATGTCTTTTCTAAGTCTTACATAGAAAACGAAACCGTAGGAGCTGTCGGAGGTGCTGACACCCTCCTGAAGTGCTGACTCAATGGTTTTGTTCTTTGAAGAGGGCTGTTTTTAAAGGGTACAAGCACACCTGTGCTGCTTCTCTCAGGTCTTCCGGAGAGATTCAGGAGGCAGGATCATGAGTCCCAGGGACTCTGGGATTCTTACCTTCTGCAAAATATCCCGCAGCAGCTCAGAATATGATGAGTCTCTTAACTTTGCCTCTAAGCTCTGTGTGGATGGGAGAGAGAGAAATCTCAAGGGCCCATTCACAGGAACATTAAACACGCAATAGAATGTGTTGGCAAAGCTCTATGTGATCCCTCCCTGGGGACGTGGAGCCAGTTGGAAGTGGAAGCCACAGCGGCTGAAAGCCTGACCTTCAGATGTCGCAGGGTGCACCTGGATGAGTCACAGGAAGAAGGCTGACTCTTGGTCGCATTAGTCCTGGCTACTCAGCTGCCACCCAGGTCATGGGCCAGCTCCCTGGTTACACTGGTCAGCCAGGAATTACCAGGGCAGCCATGGCACCAAGGTTTGATGGGCTTGCCATCTGAGTTTAAGTGGAAATGCAGAATGTGCCCATACCAGCCTGGGTTACATTGTCCTCTTACAGGGGCCTCAAGCCCAGCAGTGAGCTTTGGCTCCCGAGTTAGGCAGACTGTCTCGGCTGGTATGTGACACATGGCAAGGCACTTCATTGCTTCAGAGCTCCTTCTATGCCATAAAAGGCCCTACAAGGCCTGCTGCTAATCCCCCTCTCTGGCCTGTTCTCCCTCACCACTGGCCCACCCTGCTCACTCCACTCCAGCCACACTGGCTGCCTTGCTGTTGTTCCTCAACCACAGCTGGCTTATTTCCACAACAGGGCCTTTGCATATCTTGTTCCCCAAACCCTTCCCATGGCTGGCTGCTTCACCACTCAGGTCCCAGTTCAAATGCCACCTCTTTGGGGAAGGCTTCCCTGATTCCCTGACTTTGGTGACACTTCTCCCCAGTTGCTCCATTCACCATTTCCCTGTTTTATTGGCTTTAAAGCCACTCTCATCTGGTCTTTTCTTGTTTATTCATTTATTCTCTGGCTCTCCCATGCAAGCAGAGCCTCATCTATCATGGGTACTGCCGATCCATGGTGCCTGGCTCACGGAAGGCATTTATTAAACATTTTGAGACTGAAGAAAACACTAGCTAACACCGACATGCATTTACCATGAGCCAGGCACTGATCCGCAGGCATTTGTACTCAACGCTGAGAACAACCCTAAGAGGTAGGTATCATTATATCCCCCATTTTATTAATAAGAAAACAATAGCACAGAGAGATACAGTCACTTGCCCAAGGTCACACAGGGCCAGGGGTTGGGCCAGGATTCGAAGCAGGCAGGCTGTCTCCTGGGTCTGAACTCTCAACTACTTCACCCTAATCAAACAATCCCTCTGGTCAAATGTGAGTGATAATAATAGTACCCACCTGGTGGGTGTTGAGGGTGAGCCCAAGTTAGCATTCAGTGTGGGCATGTGAACAATTATAGTCAATATTGAATGGAGACCTATGATGCTTTTATGAAGGTTTCTATTTTGGGTTAAAAATGCACACATTTCTCCTGACCAGAAATGATCTCTGAGTGCTAAATATTTTATGTCAATGGAATAACACAAATGATTAAGCAACACCCCATAAAATGGGGCAGACCCAGGGAGGAATATATATCCCAACTGACTCATCCAGTGAGCTCAATGCACATGAATTACAAATGGAACGGGGTGCATTAAGCCCCTCTGCTGGCAGAAGGGAGGCTGCTGCCTGCCATGTGCCTGTGCTGAGAATGGCAGGTCCCCAGGGAGAGGAGAGGCCACCCCCTTCTCTGTCTCTTCCATCACAGGCGTGAAAGCCTCAGCGCATGAGCCGATTCTGTGCAGTGCTCGACATACAGATGAGAACACTGAGGCACGAGGGACAGCCTGTGACCTGGTCACCGCGCTCAGGAGGAGGTGGTTACCTGCGGGCCTGAGGGCGCTGACTTTTTAGAATGGGCGAGTGCAGCTGTGTCCCAGTGACCAGAACGATTACTGCCTTTAAAAAGTCGTGAAAATGATCGTGAACCGTACCCCACACCGAGCGCGCGTCTACCCCCTAAGGCGGTGGAGACGCCCCCAGCTTCCGCCGCCAGCTCGCGGGGCAGAAGGGGTGCGAGCGACTCTGGCCAGGCCCCAGGGACGGGGACCGGGTCTCGCGGCCCTGACCGAGGAGAGCCCAGGAACTCACGTGGCCGGAGCGCCGGGGGTTTCAGCACGGAGACCCATCCCGTCTGCCCCTGGACTCCCGCGACCCCCGCGGGCCTCTCCGCTCGCCCCGCCGCCCACCTGCCAGGGGAAGGAGCGCAGTGTGCGCACCGCCAGGAAGCGGCGCTCAAAACCCTGCAGCAAGAGTTCGGTCCCCGCGTTCTCCTCGGGCGCCATAACGTGGGCGAGGCCGCAGCCGTTGCCGGGAGACCTGGAGGAAGCCGGGCCTGGACTGAAGAGGGGGCGGGCCGAGGGCAGAGCGCGGGGGCAGAGAGGGGGCGGGGCCTGGGGATAGGGTCAGGAGGTGCGTCCTGGGGGCGGACTCTAGGGCGGGGCCAAGATGAGCGTTAGGAGGGCGGGGCCTGGGGTAGGGCCAGGATAAGCGACATCGGGGCAGGTCCTGGGTAGAGTCCAGGTTGGCGGTTCCTGGGGCAGGGCCAGGATAGGGCGATCCTGGAAGCTGGGCTTCGGAAGCGTCCAGGTTGGTGGCGTCCTGGAGGCGGTGCCTTGCGTGGGGGCAGGATAAGAGTCCTGGAGGCGGGCATTAGGGCGCGGATAAACGCCATTGGATTCAGGAGGCGGGACCCAGAGCAGAGCCCAGGAGACAGGTCTTAGGGCGGGGCTAAGGCCAGGCCCAGAGAAGGGCTCAGGAGGCGGGGCAGGGGCGGGGCGTTGACTATGTCCTAGCACATGGCCAGGCGGTGCGCGGACTCTGGGAGGCGAAGCTTAGGACGGGCCCACTTGGGGAGGGGCCCAGTGCCCGGGAGGCGGGGCGGAGTCCGGGCTGCAGGCTGCGCTCAGGAGGCGGGCCCTGGGAGGCGGAGCTTAGGGAGGGGCCGGTGTTGGGAGGGACCCAGGGACTGGGAGGCCGGTCGGGGCTGGGCTCAGGGGCCGAGACCTAGCTGGGCTTGGGGCGGGGCCGAGACGGAGCGAGGGGTCCAGGGTGTGGGAAACGGGGAGGGGTTTGAGGAGGGGATCGGAATGTGGCTCAAGTTCGGGAGGCGTTACCTGCGGAGGGTTTGAGGCAGGCCCAGGAGCGAGCCCATGGTCTTCCGACGCGGGGCCAGGGGCGGGCCCCAGGATCCGGAGCTTCGTGCGGGGCCGAGTCCAGGTTTGGGGCCCGGGAGGCGGGGCCAGTTAGGGCGAGGGTCCCTGGGATCGTCGGGTCAGGCCTTGGGCTAACGTAGGCACTCTCGCAGTTCCTCCGCCTTCAGGAAGGTCTTTTCAGCAGGGGCCTTACGGGTGCATGCTTCGGTCCTGGAGGCCTTATCCTAGCCTCCTCTCCATCAGCGCCACCCGTCTGGGGCCCGAAAGGAGGGAGCTTTCCCTCTGTCCCCCAGCCTTTGGACTGTCAGCAAACAAGCCATTCGTTCATCAAATACTTTTTAAGCGCCTACCATGTGCCTGACAAGGGAGATGTAACGGTGAGAAAAACTAGGTGTGGTCCAGGCCCTTCAGGGGCTCAGGTGCTCGTGGAAGAAGTGGACATTGAAGTACTTATCACACAAATGAGGATAAAAGTACGATAGCGATATCTACCACGAAGGTGAGCAGACAGAGCTAGCGGGGCTTGCAGGAGGAGTTTTGATCTTGCAGGGACAGGAAGGAGGAGTTAACTCCTGCGGGGTGGGATTGGGGGTGGTGGTGATATAGACGTGGGGACAGAGTGGAAAACAACAAAAATATAATTATTTTAGTTCAAAGTTATTGTGTCTTGAGTTGAAAGGCAGGGCAGTTAGCAACACAGCTTAGATTTCAGTACTGCCCCTGAAATCTGAACTGTGTTCAAAGTCTAAAACGTTTACCTTAGCAAATTCCTCATAAAACTCCATTTGGAAGAGTCCCGAGAGCTAATTTGTTAAGTATACTTGCAAAAGGTAGATGAGGAGACAGATAAAATCTTATTACCTCTTTCAGATGAGAGGCACTTGAGCCCTGCTCAGCTATGAGAATAAGAGAGGGGAATTAATTCTAATTGAATACACTTGTTCTCTTATAGCTGTTGTTCCCCACCAGAACCAAATGAGCGCAAGATCTGACAAAGAAAAAAAAAGGTTCATCTTTTATTCCTCCAAACACTTTCATTTAAATCAAGAGGATGGGATGTGGTTATTGCTGTGTTTTTAGACAGAATCAACGGTTTCTGGGTCTGAGATGTTGCATACACCTTCTCAGTCCCTGTATCCTGAGATGGAGTCACCTGAGAATCCACAGCAAGTCCTAACCAGGGATGGGTCTGGGTGATTAAGGAAGGTTGGCTTCAGAACTGGGCCAGGGGCACTGCTTTGCTTTTGCTGTTTTGATCAGCTCTCTGCCTGAAGGAGACAAGAAAAACCAACGGGAACAGGTTAGTTATACTGATAAATCCTGGGCTTATTTTATTAACTCACATAATAGCTATTGTCTTTCCTCCAAGGAGCAAAAGGGCATATACGGTCAATGCCATAGTAAGTAACACTGTATTATGTTATACTAAAATATTAATAAATCTAGGTTGGTTCAGTCTTTCCTGAGTCCACAGATTGGAAGCAGATTGAGGAAGGACGCTAGTGGACCACAGAGCTGAGCCATGCACACAGAAGAAATCTTTTTTTCTTTTTTTCTGGAGACGGAGTTTTGCTCTCTAGTTGCCCAGGCTGGAGTGCAATGGCGCGATCTCGGCTCACTGCAACCTCCACCTCCCAGGTTCAAGCGATTCTCCTGCCTCAGCCTCCCGAGGAGCTGGGATTACAGGCGTGAGCCACCCTGCCGGGCCACTTTTGTATTTTTAGTAAAGACAGGGTTTGAACACCTTGGCCAGGCTGGTCTCAAATTCCTGACCTCAGGTGATCCACCCACCTCTGCCTCCCAAAGTGCTGGGATTACAGGCATGAGCCACCGCGCCTGGCCAGAAGAAATCTTTATCTTGGTGTGCAGTGTCTGGTGAGGGACAAATGTCATCTCTCTTGGATCTGAATCTGGAAGGATCAAGGCACTGAAGGGATTTTTTTGTTTCAGACAGTATCCCTCTGTCGCCAGGCTGGAGTGCAGTGGCGCAATCTCAGCTCACGGCAACCTCTGCCTCCCGGGCTCAAGGGATCCTCCTGCCTCAGCCTCTCGAGTAGCTGGGACTACAGGCACGCGTCACCAGGCCCAGCTAATTTTTGTATTTTTAGTAGAGACAGGGTTTTACCACGGTGGCCAGGATGGTCTCAATCTCTTGACATCATGATCCACCTGCCTTGGCCTCCCAAAGGGCTGGGATTACAGGCGTGAGCCACCACGCCCGGCCTCACTGAAGGGATTTTTTTAATGTCACGTGGCTCTCACAGGTGCGGTGTGTTTGGGTGCAAGTGAAGATTACGACTGATGCTTAAAAACAAATGTAAAATTCCAGGTGGTGTTGCTATGGGGAGCAGCTTTAGGACAATCTGAGTGGTTTCAGTTGCAAGAGTGTGCGTGTACGTGCAAGTGCTACAGTCAAGATTCAACTGCTGGCTTTGAGGGCCTCTTTAAGAACAGTAATGATAACCTAAGGCAGTTTAACAGTATGGAATGGTTACCTTTTAGAAGTTAAGCTATGGGCATGGAAGTTCAATCAGTGCATTGAAGTTTTTCCTTTATCTCTCCTATGGTTAATGGTTTCTGCAGAAAAGGACCAATTGATTTCTTTCTAAAACGTTGCTTCAGGGTGTAGAGACCTTTATAGGTCATGTTTCAACTTACAGAAAATTTTTATAGTTCAAATATAAATTAAGTTCAATGTGGAATTTGTAATAGAATTTCAGGTGAAGTAAAATTTCCACTTAGGCTGTTTGCAGTGCCCAGCAGGCCCCATGATATCGAGATGGAAGTTCTGTTAAAGGAGGAGATTGATCAGGGATGGGCAGAATAAGGAATATGGGCAGCTCAGGCTAATGATACAATGATTGAGATGTAGAAAGAGGGTCAGGCACGGGATAACGCCTGTAATCCCACTGCCTTGGGAGGCCAAGACAAGAGAATCGATTGAGGTCAGACCAGCCTGGTCAACAGAGTGAGACCTAACCTGTACAAAAAAAAAAAAAAAAAAAAAAATTAGTTGGGCATGATGGTGTGCACCTGTATTCTCAGCCACTTGGAAGGCTGAGGTCAGGGGATCCCTTGAGCCCAAGAGTTTGAGGCTGCAGTGAGCTATAATCACATAACTGTACTCCAGCCTGGGTGACAGGGTGAGGCCCTGACTCAAAAAAAAAATTGAGTCAGGGAAAAAATTTGAAATCTTAATCCTCAGTACCCAGGAATGTGACCTTATTTGGAAATAGGGTCTTTCTAGATGTAATCAAGTGACAATGAGTCATCCTGGATTGGGGGCTGCTGGTGAGGGGGCAGATACAATGACTGGTGTCCTTATAAAAGAAGAGAATGAGGGCCGGGCGTGGTGGCTCATGCCTGTAATCTCAGCACACTTTGGGAGGGTGAGGTGGGGGGATCACTTGAAGTCAGGAGTTCGAGACCAGCCTGGCCAATAATAACAATAAAAAAGCCTTTTTAGATTCCAAGCCACTGAAAGAAAACTGTCCCTTAGTTAATGTCATGCTTATTGGATCCATGAAGTCTTTGAAAATTTAAACTACAAGGACACTGCTCTCTGTGGTGGTGGAGAGAATACCAAGGATTTAAAGGTCTTTAAGAAAGAGAATGTAGAAAGCGTACCCATTGGAAACAGCACGATGATGATAATCGTACTGACAGTAATAATAAGCTCAAATATATAGAGCTTACTATGTATCATGAATTGTTCTGAATGCTTTATAAATATATGTTACCTCCTTTACCCTCATGACAGCCCAGTAAAGGCGCCATTCTCCATTTTACAGCTGGGGAAACTGAGTTACAGAGCTTGTCTGCACTGAGTCATCAGGAGCAAATGCTAGATCAGGTAATTGAACCCAAGCAATCTGGTTCCAGAGCCAAATAGATGTATTTTTTATGTTATACAAACATATACATATATTTTTAGGGGAAGGGTGGGTGTAGGATGGGATGAGGATTCTGGGTAATTGCTTGGTAAATACCAAATACCTTTCTTGTCTGTCCTTCTTTTCAAATGATAAAGTAATGTCAGTTGCAACACTTTTTTTTTTTTTTTGAGAGAAGGTCTAGCTGGAGTACAGTGATGCAGTCACAGCCCACTGCAGCCTCAAATTCCTGGGCTCAAGCAATCCACCCACATCAGCTTCCCAAGTAGTTGGGACTAGAGGCCCACAATACCATGCCCAGCTAATTATTTTAATTTTTGTAGAGATGGCAGGTGGCGGTGAGGGGCGGGCGGTTTTGCTATGTTGCCCAGGCTGGTCTCAAACTCTTGACCTCAAGTGAACCTCCTGCCTCAGCCCCACAAAGCTCTGAAATTATAGGCATGAGCCACTGTGGCTGGCTACAATACTATTTATTTATATTTTAGACCAACAGGTATTCTACCATATAAGAAATATGATGTTCTCTGTACATTGAAGAGTTGGTCTAATATTTGGCCTGGTGGATGGAGAAATTGCCTGTCTGCTCCGCTCTGGTTGAAGAAACCAGTCTGACTGTCTCTGAGGCTATGGAGCAGTCCATGAAGAATGAAAGCCCTTGGCCAGGCACATTGGCTCACACCTGTAATACCAGCGCTTTGGGAGGCTGAGGCAGGTGGATCACTTGAAGTCACGAGTTTGACACCAGCATGGCCAACATGGTGAAACGCTGTCTCTACAGAAAATAGAAAAATTAGCTGGGCCTGGTGACACGTGCCTGTAATCCCAGCTACTCAGGAGGCTGAGGCAGGAGAATCACTTGAACCTGGGAGGCAGAGGTTGCAGTGGGGAGCTGAGATCACACCACTGCATTCCAGCCTGGGCGACAGAGCGAGACTCTCTCAAAAAAAAAAAAAAAAAAAAAAAAAAAAAAAAAAAAAAAAAAAAAGAATGAATGTCCTCATGATGGCCTCAAGCACATTGGTCCCTGAAGAGAGCCAAGGAAGGCCCACTTTACTCTGCACTGCAAAGCAGGCAGGTGGACAGGATGAGAAGTGGATTCAGTGACAGGCATTGACCCAAAGGATTTTCTGCCTAATGGTCGGTTCAGCAGAAGATTAAACTGAGCACAGCATCCTGTTCCCTCAAACTGTCTGGTTGGTCAGTGGGGAATGTTCTTGTCTCGTTAAATGTCCTCATGCTACTGTCAAGATATCCTGTTACAAAACATCATAAACCAGGTTTACAAATAGGCCAGGTGACTGTGGAATTTCTCCTTGGCAAGGCCTTAGCTATGGGCATGCGATTGGTGTGCAGTAATCACAGTGTTCCGGGCCACTTGAGGGATAAAATATACCTTAGGTGATAAACTGTTGTATTTTAATGTGAATATTTCCACCAACACTAAACAGTAACCCCATGAGTTTTCTCATACCTGTTACACTGTGGAGTTGCAACAAGCTAACAAGCAAGTTGCAAACAGAATTATCGCATTTGGCTCTTATTCACAGCCAGGGTTCTTCAAGCTGTACCTGGGACAGTCTTCCCTCACATGAGGTTTATAGCATCATTTATTTCATTATTTATTTATTTTTTGAGACGGAGTTTCGCTCTGTCGCCCAGGCTGGAGTGCAATGGCGCGATCTTGGCTCACTGCAACCTCTGCCCCCCCGGGGTTCACGCGATTCTCCCGCCTAAGCCTCCCGAGTAGCTGGGATTATAGGCACCCGCCACCACGCCCGGCTAATTTTTGTATTTTTAGTAGAGATGGAGTTTTACCATGTTGACCGGGCTGGTCTCAAACTCCTGACTTCAGGTGATCCACCCGCCTCAGCCTCCCAAAGTGTTGGGATTACTGGCATAAGCCACAGCGCCCGGCTATAGCATCATTTAAACTTTGTTTCTGCCATGAATTGTTAGTTGGTAGTTAACAAAAAATAGACCACCTCATTTATGTCTCACAGTTAGCATTGGTTTTTGTGTTTTCTTTAGGCTTGTTTTTTAATTGTTTTTAAAATTGTGAAACAGGGTCTTGTTCTGTTGCTGAGGCCAGAGTGCAGTGACACAATCTTGGCTCGCTGCAGCCTCAACCTCCTGGGCCCAAGCAATCCTCTCACTTTAGCCTCCTGAGTAGCTGGGACTGCAAACAGGAGCCACCACCCCTGGCTAATTTTTAATTATTAATTTTTTTTTTTTTTTTGAAATGGAGTTTCGCTCTGTCGCCCAGCAGGTTGGAGTGCAGTGGCGTAATCTCGTCTCACTGCAACCTCCACCTCTCGGGTTCAAACCATTCTTCTGCCTCAGCCTCGGCACCCACCACCATGCCTGGCTAATTTTTGAAAAATATTTTTATTAGCGACAGGGTTTCACCATGTTGGCCAGCCTGGTCTTGAACTCCTGACCTCAAGTGATCTACCTACCTCAGCCTCCCAAAGTGCTGGGATTACAGGCGTGAGCCACCACGCCAAGCCTAATTTTTAAATTTTTTTTAGAGACCAGGTTTTGCCATGTTGTCTAGGCTGGTCTTGAACTCCTGGGCTCAAGTGATCCTCCTGCCTTGGCCTCTCAGAGTTCTGGGATTACAGGCATGGCCCTTATGCCTGGCCCTTAAAGCTGCTTTTTAATAACAGCTTTATTGAAAGATAATTCACATACCATACAATTTGCCCATTTAAAGTGTATCATTTGGCCGGGCATGGTGGCTCACACTTGTAATCCCAGCACTTTGGGAGGCTGAGGTGGGAGGATAGCTTGAACCCAAGAGTTTGAGATGAACCCGAGCAACATGACAAAACTCTGTCTTGACCAAAAATACAAAAAAATTAGCTGGGCATGGTGGTGTGTGTCTGTAGTCCCAGCTACTGAGGAGGATGAAGTGGGAGGATGGTTTGAGCCTGGGAGGTGGAGAGTGCAGTGAGTAGAGATTGCACCACTGCACTCCAGCCTGGGCAACAGAGCCAGACCCTCTCTCTAAATAAATAAATAAAGTGCATAATTCAGTGGTTTTTAATATATTCTCAGAGTTTTGCAGCCATCATCACCATCAATTTTAGAAATTTTAATTACCCCAGAAGAAACCCTGTATCCATTAGCAGTCACCCCTTATTTCCCCCTGACTGTCCCCACCCCTGGCTCCTGGCAACCATTAATCTACTTTCTGTTTCTTTGGATTTTCATATTCTGGGCATATATATATATATATATATATATATATATATATATATATATGTGTATAATATATATATAATCATCTAATATTTGTCTGGCTTCTCTCACTTAGCCTAATGGTTTCAAGGTGTATCCAGGTTGTAGCATGAATCAGCCCTTCATTCCATATTGTGGCTGATTAATGTTCCATCACACGGGTGGACTGTACTTGTTTGCTTATTCATCTGTTGTTGATGGGCATTTGCGTTGTTGCCACCTTTTGATAATTATGAATAGTTTTGCTACGAGCATCTGTGTGTGTCTTTGTATGAACAGACCTGCATATTTTTTGATATGGGCAAATGAGAACCAGCGGCAGGGGGCCTCTGTGGTGACGTTTTTGGTGATCTTCGTGTACTCTGTATAATGATCAGCCACTCAGGCTTGGGGGCAGCACTTAACCTTACATTCTTTCTTTTTTTAAAGATAGGGTCTCTCTCTCTGCCACCCAGGCCAGAGTGCAGTTGACGCAGGGCAGGGGAGCCCCGAAGTGGAGCATAGTGTGTCCGGAACTGGTGGCTTCTTGGTCTCACTGACTTCAAGAAAGAAGCCGCGGACCCTCGCGGTGAGTGTCACAGTTCTTAAAGGCTGCGTGTCCAGAGTTTGTTCCTTCTGATGCTCGGATGTGTTCAGAGTTTCTTCCTTCTGGTGGTTTTGTGGTCTCGCTGGCTTCAGGAGTGAAGCTGCAGACCTTCAAGGTGAGTGTTACAACTCTTAAGGTGGGGCGTCTGGAGTTGTTTGTTCCTCCCGGTGGGTTCATAGTCTCGCTGGCTTCAGGAGTGAAGCTGCAGACCTTCGAGGTGAGTGTTACAGCTCATAAAGGCAGTGTGGACCCAAAGAGTGAGCAGCAGCAAGATTTATTGCAAAGAGCAAAAGAACAAAGCTTCCACAGTGTGGAAACGGACCCCAATGGGTTGCCACTGCTGGCTGGGGCAGCCTGCTTTTACTCCCTTCTCTGGCCCCACCCACATCCTGCTGATTGGTCCATTTTACAGTGAGCCGATTGGTCTGTTTTGACAGGGTGCTGATTGGTACATTTACAATCCCTGAGCTAGACACAAAAGGTCACCAAATCCCTACTAGATTAGCTAGATACAGAGTGTCGACTGGTGCATTCACAAACCCTGAGCTAGACACAGGGTGCTGATTGGTGTGTTTACAAACCTTGAGCTAGATACAGAGTGACAATTTGTGTATTTACAATCCCTTAGCTAGACATAAAGGTTCTCAAAGTCCCCACCAGACTCAGGAGCCCAGCTGGCTTCAGCAAGTGGGTCCCACATGGGGGCCGCAGGTGAGCTGCCTGCCAGTCCCGTGCCCTGTGCTGGCACTCCTCAGCCCTTGTGTGGTCGAAGGGACTGGGTGCCCTGGAGCAGGGGGCTGTGGTCGTCGGGGAGGCTCGGTACTCATCGGGGAGGCTCAGGTCGCGCAGGAGCCCACGGCGGGTTGGGTGGAGTCTCAGGCATGGCGGGCTGCATGTCCCGAGCCCTGCCCTGCAGGGAAGCAGCTAAGGCCCAGTGAGAAATTGAGCAAAGCAGCTGCTGGCCCAGGTGCTAAGCCCCTCACTGCCCGGGTCCATCGGGGCCGGTGAGCCACTCCGAGTGCAGGGCCCAGTGGGCCCATACCCACCCGGAACTCGCACTGGCCCACAAGCGCCGTGCCCAGTCCAAGTTCCTGCCCGCGCCTCTCCCTCTACACCTCCCCGCAAACTGAGGGAGCCGGCTCCAGCCTCCACCAGCCCAGGAAGGGGCTCCCACAGTGCAGCGGTGCACTGAAGGGCTCCTCAAGTGCCACCAAAGTGGGAGCCCAGGCAGAGGAGGCGCCGAGAGTGAGCGCGAGGGCTGCTAGCATGCTGTCACCTCTCAATAGCACTTGAGGGTTCTTGTCTTTACCCAGGAAAGAATTCAAGGGCAAGCCGGAGGTTTAGAAGAAAACAGCTTTATTGAAGAGGCAGCATTACAGCCCTGTGACTGCTCCTGTAGGGCAGGGCTACCCTGGTGGCAGAGAGTAGCGGCAGAGAGTTTGCAATCACATTTATACTCACTTTTAATTGCATGCAGATTAAAGGGCAGTTTATGCAGGAATTTCTAGAAAATGGGTAGTAACTTTTGAGTCATTGGGTCATTGCCATGGAAAGGGGCAGTAACTCCCTGGTGTTGCCTTGGCAATAGTAAACTCACATGGCACACTGGTGGGCATGTCTGATGGAAAGCTTCTTCTGCCCCAGCCCTGTTTTAGGTAGTCCTTAATTTGGTGTGGTGTCCAAGCCCTGCCTGTGTCGTCAAGTCCTGCCTCCTATCTCACAGTGGCGTGATCATGGCTCACTGCAGACTCAACACCCCCGGGCTCGAGCAGTTCTCCCACCTCAGCCTCCTGAGTTGCTGGGACCACAGGCACGTGCCACTACGCCCAGCTACATTTTTTGCATTTTTCGTAGAGATGTTGTTTCACTGTGTTGCCTAGGCTGGTCTCAAACTCCTGGGCTCAAGCAATGTACCAACGTTAGCCTTCTAAAGTGCTGGGATTACAGGTGTGAGCCACTGCACCCAGCCCAACCTTACATTTTTAATCTCAAGTCACTTCTCTCTATGTTTTGATTTCTTCTTTAAAATGGCGGAACTAAGAGCATCTATTTTATAGGGTTGTTGGGACGACAAAAATGAAAGAACTGCTGTTCAATGTTTAGTGAAGCGCTGTGCACAGTTTTGAATAATGAAGTTGGTGTTTATTTTTTATTATTTGTTTATTTATTTTTTAGAGACGGGGTCTTGCTCTGTTGCTCAAGCTGGAGTGCAGTAGTCCAATCACAGCTTAGTGCAGGATTGACCTCCTGGGTTCAAGAAATCCTGCCACCTCAGCCTCCTGAGTAGCTGGGACTACAGGCATGTATCGCCATGTCTGGCTATTTATTTATTTGTTAGTTTTTTGTAGAGATGACGTCTCCCTTTGTTGCTTGGGCTGGTCTTGAACTCCTGGCCTTAAGCAATCCTCCTGTCTTGGCCTCCCAAAACACTGAGATTACAGGTGTGAACCACCATGGCCAGCCTTATTTTTATTTTTAAATCAGCCTTATCAAGTTGAATTGGTCATTAATCTTGTATAACGGTAACTTGGCGCAGCATTGGTTGGGCGGGGGGTGGGGAACCTTTAGGACCCTGTGGGCTACAACTCATAGTGTGTGCACTTATTTTGTTTTGTTTTGTTTTGTTATGTTATGTTATGTTATGTTATATTATATTATATTATATTATATTATATTATATTATATTATATTATATTATATTATATTTTTTTGAGATAGGGTCTCACTCTATTGCCCAGACTGGAGTGCAGTAGCATGATCTTGGCTCACTGCAACCTCTGCCTCCCAGGTTCAAGCGATTCTCCTGCCTCAGCCTCCAGAGCAGCTGGAACTACAGATGCGCGCCACCACGCCCGGCTAATTTTTGTATTTTTAGTAGAGCTGGGGTGTCACCATGTTGGCCAGGCTGGTCTCAAACTCCTGACCTCAGGTTATACACTTGCCTCAGCCTCCCAAAGTGCTAGGATTATAGGCGTGAACCACCGTGCCTGGCTGTGCACTAATGTTTGATTTTTGCAGAACCACCCTTCCCTAATGGTTGTCTCCTAGATCTAAGGTGACTTTATTCATTTTAGAATGAACTTACCCCATTGATACTGTAACCAGAGTTGGCATACATCACGATTGGCAGAACCCGGTCATGTTTAGCGATATGGAAGTGTTCTGGAAACTCCTCCTTCTTGTAGACGTGGAGGTGACGGTGCGCATTCTTCAGTGCCTGGTAAAGGGCTTCCTCTTGCCCCAACTTGGGCAGGGGCATCCCAAAGCCACCGTAGCGCACAATATCAAACTTGACCAGGTCCCTGAACTTGACGTAGTTGGACAAGGGGATCTTGTTGACATTGGGTCTCTTCTTTACGGTGGTCATCCCACGGTCTCATGTAATGATGACGCTGAGGTGCTCTGCAGGCTGTGCTTCTCAGTGGCTCCCACCAGATACCCGATGGTCCTGTCGATTTGCTGAATCATCAACTTCCTTTTCTCTGCCTCTGGCCCGAATCGATGTCCCACGTTATCTGGCTCTCTGTAGCACAGAGTCACAAAATCAAAGTCTTCCTTGGTGAACCAGTTCATGACGGTATCGATGTTCTCCTTCCGCTCTGTCTCGTTGCTGCTTGGGTGAGTGTAGGAATCCACCAGGGACCACTTGACAGCCTCACCCTCATATTTAGCACCTCCCCTGGAATAGTGGAATGATGCCGCTCTGTTCCCCTGTAAGTACAAGAAGAAAATTCCATCAGGGCCATTTGTCATACCTTTCTCACAATCAGCAAAGCTCGAGTTGTCTACATCTGTGCCCCTGTCCAAAGGTGTAGGAAATATGTGGTCTTTGGAGTCAGACAGGGTGGAGTTAGATTCTGGGCTTCCCCAGGATCTCATAGCATCTACAACACTGTTAGTTACAAGATGTACTATTATTTTATGGGCTACTGAGCAGAAAAATGCTGCCAATGAGACTGTGACATTCCAGTGATTGTAAGGTGTATTACAACTACAGAGATGGCAATATGAAAAATAGTTCCTTAGAATAGAAGGAGACGGTAATTTCTGAGTTGGTGGTGGTGAATTTGTGCATGTGTGTTTTTTATATATATACACATATATATATACACACATATATATACACATATGTACATGTATATATGTATGTGTGTATATATACACATATATACATGTATATATGTATATACACACATACATATATACATACACATGTATATATGTGTACATATACTCACATACATATATACATACACATGTATATGTGTGTGTACACATACATATATACATACACATGTATATGTGTGTGTACACACACATACACATGTATATGTGTGTGTGTACACACACATACATACACATGTATATGTGTGTGTGTACACACGCATACATACACATGTATATGTGTGTGTGTACACACGCATATATACATACACATGTATATGTGTGTGTACACACGCATATATACATACACATGTATATGTGTGTGTGTGTACACACGCATATATACATACACATGTATATGTGTGTGTGTACACACGCATATATACATACACATGTATATGTGTGTGTGTGTACACACGCATATATACATACACATGTATATGTGTGTGTGTACACACGCATATATACATACACATGTATATGTGTGTGTGTACACACACGCATATATACATACACATGTATATGTGTGTGTGTACACACGCATATATACATACACATGTATATGTGTGTGTGTACACACGCATATATACATACACATGTATATGTGTGTGTACACACGCATATATACATACACATGTATATGTGTGTGTGTACACACGCATATATACATACACATGTATGTGTGTGTGTGTACACACGCATATATACATACACATGCATGTGTGTGTGTGTACACACGCATATATACATACACATGTATGTGTGTGTGTGTACACACGCATATATACATACACATGTATATGTGTGTGTGTACACATACACATATATGTATACATTGTGGTGCAGGGGTACAATCATAGCTCATTGCACCCTTGAACTTCGGGGCTTAAGTGATCGTGCTACCTCAGCCTCTTGAGCAGCTGGGGCAACAGACATGTGACACCACACCAATATTTTTTTTTGTTGTTTTTGAGACACGGTCTCACTCTGTCACTTAGGTTGGAGTGCAGTGGCACAATCTCAGCTCACTGCAACCTCTGACTCCTAGGTTCAAGCAATTCTCGTGCCTCAGCCTCCCAAGTAGCTGGGATTATAGACATGTGCCACTATGCCCAGCTAAGTTTTGTATTTTTAGTTGAGATAGAGTTGTGTCGTGTTGGCCAGGCTGGTTTCGAATCCCTGGGCTGAAGTGATCCACTTGCCTTGGCCTCCCAAAGTGCTGGGATTACATGTGTGAGCCACCGCGCCTAGCCCTAATTTTTTTTTTTTTTTTTAATATTTGTAGAGATGAGGTCTCGCTAATTTGCCCAGGCTGGTCCTGAACTCTTGGGTTCAACTAATTCTCCTGCCTCAGCCTCTCAAAGTGCTGGGATTACAGGCATGAGACACCGTTCCCGGCTGGTGGTGAGTTTCTCAGCGTCTCAGTGTTTCTACATCTAGAATGCCAAAAAGTAGATGGCATCTTTGTGAGGATTAAGCAGGCTAGCTTTTTATTTTTTTATTTTTATTTTTATTTTTTTGGAAACAGAATTTCTCTCTTATCACCCATGCTGGAGCGCACTGGCGTGATCTTGGCTCACTGAAACCTCTGCCTCCTGGATTCAAGTGGTTCTCCTGCCTCAGCCTTCCAAGTAGCAGGGATTACAAAGCCAGCTAGCTTTAAGATACGGTGTTGGGCATAACGTTTTGGCATGGAGCAGGCACTCTTTTCTTTGCCCCCAGGTGGGACTAAGCCACCACAAGCCTTCCCTGGTGTGTGCAGTGGGTGATGAATGCTTGCCTGCTCAGCACCCACTTCCTGGTGGGCTGGGTCACATTACTATGACTCCCCCTTGAGCTTCAGTCCGCGCCTGGTTGGAGATTATTGACTCAACCCGGGGATCCAGAGGTGGGATGTAGCTCTGGCCTGGCCAGAGGACCGAGGATGCTGCATGCCATGGCTACAGCTACTGGTTCAGCTTTGGGCTCATGTCCTAATCAGAGCCAATGAGATGTAATCTTGGGATATCTGCTGGGCTGTTGGGAAGGGGACAGGCTGCCCTGCACATCCCCATTCCTGATGCTGAGGGATCTGAGAAAATCACTTGTAAAATTTGGGGGTGTTTGGAAGAAGGGGAGATTGATGTCTCTTTCTCTCTACAGACATCTGATCAGCTACAGAGCTTGACTAACCTACCCAGAGGCAGAATGATATGGTGGTTAAAAGTGTGCTCTGGGCCGAGATTTTGCCACTGCACTTCAGCCTGGGTGACAGAGTGAGACTCCATCTCAAAAAAAAAAAAAAAAAAAAAAAATCTGCTCTGGGCTGGACGCGGGGGCTCACAACTGTAATATCAGCACTTTGGGAGGCTGAGGCAGGAAGATCGCTTGAAGTCAGGAGTTTGGAATCAGACCCTATCTCTAGAAAAATGTTTTTTAAAAATTAGCTGGGTTGGTGGTGAATGCCTCTAGTCCCAGCTACTCGGGAAGCTGAGGCGGGAAGACTGCTGGAGCTTGGGAGTTCAAGCCTGCACTGAGCTATGATCAGGCCACTGCACTCCAATTTGAGGGACAGAGAGAGACCCCATCTCTCTGAACAACAAAAATGTGTGCTCTGGTGCCACACGGCCTGGTTAGATCCTTTGTCCACCACTTAGATGCATGTTATATAAATGTTCTCCTCAGTTTCCTCGTCTGTAACTTGGGGATGGTAATGCTGCCCCAAGAAGTGGTTATGGGGACTAAATGCATGTGGGCATATTGGTTAGTATTCAACCAGCTTGATTTTTCCTGGAGAGGGAGAAAGAGCATGCAGTGAGGTGGCATGGTCAGGTGCATTGGGACAAGGATTATTTCCTCTGGCTTCTGCCTCCTGGGAGGTATAAGGAGGGATCTGAAATCTGTCTGCAGACCCCAGAGTTGGGGACTGCAGAGGGAAATTGAGATCAGGGACTCTAGTCTGGCAGAAATGAGTGCTGCATGGGGCATTGGGTTCCTTCCATCAGAGGCATGGGGTGTGTTGCAGACAGTCATGAAATGTGGCTGAATCTTGCAAGGGACCCTCGGTCCTATGGTTGCTGCTTGAGACAAAGACCCCTGTCAGTGGAACCTGGTGACATTCACCCTTCTGTGTCAGGCTGCAGACAGCAGGAGATGGCAGCAGATTACACCCAACAGGAAAAGGGCCATTGCCACCCCACAGGTTGCCATAGAAGGAGATGACATCTCTCCCTCTCCTCCTCCAGCAGTGTCAGCTGGGGAAGTGGTGGGTGGATGTGCACAAAAGAGTAGACCACAGAGCATGCTCCTTCTCCTCCGGTCTGCTGGGGCCCCAAGAGAGTCTGCAGCCCTTGGCCAAGGACCGGCTGACACAGGAGAACAAAAGACCTTAGGCTGGGATAACATGGTGGTGCAGTTCATCCTCTGGAGCTCCCTGTGAGATCAGACTGGAGCCAGTCTCCAGCTGAGACCACATCTCACTTAGCTCCTTCCCTGCCATATCCTGTTTTCCTTACTCCTATCTCCTGAGACTTCTTCCTGAATGAATTACATGCACTCAATCCCTGCCTCAGTCTCTGCTTTTAGGGAACTTGACCTAAGACAGAAATCTTAGTACTAAATACTTTGCAAGGCCTCAGAAGCTCTGCTATCCACAAGCAGGTGAGATATTACCTTCCCTACCACCTGGCAGTCATAGTCTATGATGCGATTCAGCTTTATGGAAGTGCTTCTCTAAAGAACTTCCCCCAATTTAAGACGATCTTAATTTGCTTACTTGTTTACTGTCCATTTAGCTGCTCTAAAATGTGAGCTCCAAATCAGGGGCCGTGTCTGGTTGGTTACTCATTTCCTGAGACCTGGAATGGGCCTAGCTCAGAGCAGGTGCTCACTATTGATGGAATGCATGTTGAAAGAATGCATGAATCTCATGTCTTTTTGTGGGTGAAAAACTCATCCTATTCTCACCCTGATTAACTTTCTTTCTTTCTTTCTTTCTTTTTTTTTTCAAAATGGAGCCATGATCTGTCACCCAGGCTGGAGTGCAATGGTGTGATCTCAGCTAGCTGAAACCTCTGCCTTCTGGATTAAACCAATTCTCCTGCCTCAGCCTCCTGGGTAGCTGGGATTACAGGTGTATACCACAACGCCCGGCTAATTTTTTGTATTTTTAATAGAGACAGTGTTTCACCATGTTGGCCAGGCTGGTCTCGAACTCCTGACCTCGTGATCTGCCCTCTTTGGCCTCCCAAAGTCCTGGGATTACAGGCATGAGCCACCATACCCAGCCACTCTTGATTAACTTAATGGAAATATTTACAGAGATTCTTTCTCTTCTGGGTTCTAACGTCTTATCTGTAACCTCTGCAGGTAATACATTTTCCTTCCTGATGATAGCATTTCTATGGTTGCTTTCACTTGCAAATCCTCTAATACTTATTTATTCCATTTCTGATTGGCATTAGACATAATTCTCAATTTTTAGTGACAGCACTTCTTTTAATTTACATATAAATCGACTTTGTCTTGAAATGTGACATTGACTAGAAGGATGAAACTTCTAACATGCTGTAGAACATAGTTTGACTGGCTAATTTATTATTTAGAAGAAGCTAATATTGCCATTATGAGGGACTTAGGTGACTCTGAAGAACCAGTTTCATTTGTAATATTTGCAATGTTAAATCACAGACATTGCCAACGTGAAATAGTTTCCATATGCTGTGTTCTCAATACACACCTTTTCCAAAGATATCCCAAGCTGTAGTCTTAGAAGACTGTGATTTTTCTTATTTGTTCTCACAGGAATTTGGGGAGCTATGCTGGATCTCCATAAAATGAGCTCCAGAAAGACACGTGTGCACACACACACACTCACACATGTACCACACCGCACTTGACTCTGTTTATTTGGGACCCATGATTATCAGAAATGCTATTTTTAACAAATACTTCTGAGAAATAATCTGAACACTTAATTGGATGCAAAAGAGTGGCTATTTACTATTCTACCCTTTAATTAGCATAATCAGTGTTTCCAGCAGCAAAAGCAATTGGAAAATCGCTTGTTTTGTTAGGTTCATTATTCTCCCTTAGCATAGTGTGGCATCAGCATGGCTATTATTCTTAAATTGCCTCTTTAAAACAAGAGCTGGTGCTTCTTACAGGCAATTCCTAACTCTTGGGTTTTGTAGAGGGTCCAAAACTCTTTAGAACCTATAATTCAAGGAAAGGCTCCACTTTGGTTTTGCATTTTGTCTGGTCTCTTTGGGTGACAGAATTTATGTCACAAGGTGCACATGTTTTGGGGAGGCTCATGGACAGCCCATCGCTCTTGTGCTTTGGTAGGAAATATGTGCAGTTATGGGGAAGGAGTTAGTTACTCATCTAGGGAACAATTGGGTAGAAAGAGATGGACTCCCTGTATTTGAAATTCAGAACTCAAGCTTGGCTCTAAGTGTTTCCTTGCTTTGCTGTGCTCCACGGGAGTCACTGAGCAGAAGGAAGCGAGTTGCCTGAGATTCCTCAAAGCCCGCAGCCCTTTTGGAGGTTACATTGTTATTCTCAGAGCCTTTATGATACATAATAAAGACCTAGCTTGGACCAACATTAGGATGAGTTATCTTGCTATTAACATTCTTTCAGGTAGAAGTTGCTTTTAGGTAGAAGTTGGTCCCATCTTGCTCACAATCCTCCAAAGCTTGGAAGTTACTTTCCAGGAGACTTAGCTTGCACTGAGAGCCGCCCTCCCACCCTCTCTCCAAATTTCCTCTTGGGAGTAGCCTAACAAGGTGCTGTCACAGGCCCTTGCCAGCCACGATGACCCCACCCAGACCATCCCTCTGCTGTTTCACTCTTTGATATTCTCTGGAGCTCTCTGGGGAGCGGTGAGACCTGCTGTCTGGTTTGTACGGTTTGCCCAGGTCTTACAGTCATGGCTGGCTGCCTCTCTCTGAGAACTGGGACTCCTGAACTTGGTGAAATACCTCAGCCATTGATCGTGTTAAATTATCGGTGGCACTCATTTAAAATCCGAGTCTGCTCCAGATGGACTCTCTCTCTTTCTGCCCTGACTATGAGAGAGAGAGATCGTGAGAGACAGAGACCATGAGAAAGACCGTGAGAGAGAGACACAGAGCTAGAGAGAGAGACCGTGCCCTGACCTGCTGGACAGTGGAGATGCTTGTGGGCTGTGAGCAAGGGATGCAAAGGCTGCCGGGAATCCCATTTTTCCAGCATCATCTGCCAAGGCACATCAGTTCCTGGGTGTCTTGATGGGTTCTGGCAGCATTACTGTCATTGAAGGAAAACATTTTAGCCATATTAAAGGTGAATGCAGCAAGCTCCACACAGGCTGCCTGGAAGGGACGCGGGACAAGGGTAGGTTTTCCCTGTGATGGACAGGAGACAGGCGGCCCTCCCACAGCCCTGCCTGGCAAAGCACATGTGTCCCCAAAAGGCACTGGGGGCAGCTGGAGTGCTGTGCGGAGGCGGGCTCACCCGGGCCCTGGGTTCGCTCTGATTGCAGCGGTTTCCCGCCAGCTCCTTGGAGAGCTGGCAGATGACCCAGCCCCACAGCAGGAGCTGTGAATGGCAGAACGAGATACAACAATTTGATATCCACTTGCCAGATGAGCCGGGTGTCGTCAGTCGCCTGGCTCTGCGCCAACCTCTTTTTGCACAAACACTTATGAATTCAGCCAGGAGGAAAAGCACTCTGATTATGAATTGAGCAGAAGGAAACAAAGTTCTGCGAATAAACACCAATGAGACAAAAAAAGACGAATAAGAAAAATGACAGAAAAGGAGAACCTTCCCAGAAGCCTCCTGCCAGTGAACAGCCACCGTAGCAAGAGCTTGGAGGCCCTGGGTTTTGAACTGTGAGATAAGGAAGATGATGAAAACCTCCCTAGCAGCCAGGCAAGCACAAGATTCCTGTAAAATCCAGGTCTAAGTGTTTTAACCACAGAAGTAATATTATGTCATAGGTGAGAGCTGTGAGTTGCTGAACCCAAAGTGAGTTCAAATCCGAGCTCTGCCTCCTGCTACCTGTGTGACTTTGAGAAGTTCCAGCACTGCTTTGTGCCTCAGTTTTGTCATCTGTTAAATGGGCATAATCACAGCTTGTGCCTCAGAGTTGTTGTAAATTAATACATGTAAAGCACTGAAATCAGCCTGGTATACAGTAAGTGTTATGAACGTTATTTTCTTGGAAGGACAGAACTTATTTTCATGGTCTAAGCCTGAAAGTCTAAAAAATGTGAGAGAAGAGGAAAGAATCTAGAGTCTCACCATGAGGGAGAAAAGTCAACTTGAAGCAGGACAGGGTCATTGACAATTTCCTGTGATTCTACAGCTGCCTTGTACACTATGGTAGCTCCTATCCACTTACTGTTTAGATTTTGTGATTTAGAAATGAATTAAGGGCAGGCATGGTGGCACACCTGTAATGCCAGCATTTTGGGAGGCCAAGTTGGGCAGATCACCTGAGGTCAGGCGTTCAAGATCAGCCTGGCCAACATGGTGAAATCTCGTATCTACAAAAATACAAAAATTAGCCGGGCATGATGGCGGGTTCCTGTAATCCTGGCTACTCAAGAGGCTGAAGCAGGAGAATTGCTTGAACCTGGGAGATGGAAGTTGCAGTGAGATGAGATTGCACCACTGCACTCCAGCCTGGAGGATAGAGTGAGACTCTGTCTGAAAAAAAAAAAAAAAAAATTAAGAGAAAATTGAAAATTCAGTTCTTCATTCTCACCAGCCACATTTCAAGGGCTCAACAGCCCATGTGGGCGGCTAGCAGCTCCCATGTTGGACAGTGCAGAGTAGAGCAAGCCCACCATTGCAGAATGTTTGATTGGACCATGACTGAATAGTCTATTGCAGTGGTCCCCAATTTTTTTTTAGCACCAAGGACCAGTTTCCGTGTACTTGTTGGGGGAAGTTTCAGGATGATTCAAGTGCATTACATTTATTGTGTACTTTATTTCTATTGTTATGAACATTATAATATATAATGAAATCATTATACCACTCACCATAATGTAGAATCAGTGAGAGCCCTGAGCTTGTTTTCCTGCAACTAGATAATCCCATCTCCGGGTGGTGGGAGACAGTGACAGATCATCAGGCATTAGATTCTCATAAGGAGCACACAACCTAGATCCCTTCCACATGCAGATCACAATAGGGTTGGTGCTCCTATCAGAATCTAATGCCACTGCTGATCTGACAGGAGACAGAGCTCAGGCGGTAACGCTAGCCATGGGGAGCAGCTGTAAATACAGATGAAGCTTCACTCATTAGCTCACTGCTCACCTCCTTCTGTGCAGCCCAGTTCCTAACAGGCCACAGACTGCTACTGGTCTGTGGTCTGGGGGATGGGGACCTCTGGTCTATTGGATAACACTAGCTTTGAGGGTACTGATCAGCCAAAGAAGCACTGAGATGATTTGTCCTCCATTAATAAGAATGATGGACTTTTTTTTTTTTTTTTGAGACAGAGTTTTGCTCTTGTTGCCCATGCTGGAGTGCCTTGGCACCATCTCGGCTCACTGCAACCTCTGCCTCCCAGGTTCAAGAGATTCTCATGCCTCAGCCTCCCAAGTAGTTGAGATTACAGGTGCCTGCCACCATGCCTGGCTAATTTTTGTATTTTTAGTAGAGTCGGGGTTTTGCCATGTTGACCAGGCTGGTCTTGAATTCCTGACCTAAGTGATCCACCTGCCTCAGTCTCCCGAAGTGCTGGGATTACAGGCGTGAGACACCGTGCCTGGCCAGATGGACTTTTTTGGAGCATTTAGTTCCAAGCACCTTCCCTGCATTTTCTCAGTTAATCCTCCCAGTGACTCTTTGAAGCAGGGACTATGACAATCGTCATTTCACAGATGGAGCAACTGAGGCACAGAGAGGAAGTCAATGGCCACGGTCGCCCAGCTGAGGAAGGATGGAGCCGGCTGAGATCCTGTTCTGGGGATCTAACTCTGCAGCCTGCATTCTGGGCTGCTGTATTCTCCCTTGTTGCTATCTGACGAGCACAGCATGGGCTCAGAGTACAGACAGGAGGAACCAGCTAATAAGGAGAGGTCTAGGGTGAAGGCTGGTGCCTTGGGGAAGAAGAGAGAGGTCTCATTCTAAAGGGATGGCATTGGAAGTTCATAGTGATAAAGCAAAGCCAACAGGTTTTGGGGCTGAGAGTTAAACACACAGCTCTGGTTTCTGCCTCTTCACAGTGGTGATGAAAGAGCACTGAGAGCCTCTCGAGCTAAAGTTGTCATCATTGCTCTTCATAGTCTGAAGGTGCATGAAATGGTCAACTTTCTTCCAAAGGGCTTTTATGCCTAAGTCTGTGGTTAGTGTATAAACAGATATTTACTGAAGTCCTGCTGGGTGCAGACACTGTGGCCAGCCCTGAGGCTACAGTCAAGATGAAGCCAGTCTCTGTCCTCATGGAGACCTGTCTATTGATAAGAAAAGAGAAAGCTCACTGAGCATTGACCCTGTGCCCACTGCTTTTGATGCATCTCTCATTTAATCCTTCTATCAAATCTGTGAAATAAACACATCACCATCATCCTATTTCACATTTAGGGAAACATATGCTTAGAGAGGGTAAGTAACTTGGTCAAGGTCACACAGCTTCGATCTCTCATCCCACAGGCGCAGGAATGGGAGGCAGCAGCTGGGGAAGCCAGGGTCTCTGGCAGTCCTTGTCTCTGGGCGGTGATCCAGAGAGAGAGAGAACACGATTGTCTCAGCACTGGGTCTTCTGAGTCATCTTGAAGGAGCAATTCCAGAGCGTCTCGGTGTTAAACATCATGTTGTGAATGACTCAGTGATCTCTGACCCAGAGACCTTGGGGATAAAGGAGGGGAGGTATGGAGAACCTCTTTGAATGGATGTTACCGGGGTGTCAGTGTTCTTTGAGGCCACAGGCCATGTGTCACCAAATTGAAGGGGTGGCCTGCCCCTCCACACCTGTGGGTATTTCTAGTCGGGTGGGATGAGAGACGGAGAAAAGAAATAAGACACAGAGACAAAGTACAGGGAAACAACAGTGGATCCAGGGGACCGGCACTCAGCACACCAGGATTTGCACGGGCACTGGCCTCTGAGTTCCCTCAGTTTTTATTGATTATGATTTTCATTATTTCAGCAAAAAGGAATGTAATAGGAGAGCAGGGTGATAATAAGGAGAAGGTCAACAAAAAACATGTGAGCAAAAGAATCTATATCATAATTAAGTTCAAGGGAAGGTACTATGACTGGACTTGCACGTAGGCCAGATTTATGTTTCTCTCCACCCAAACATCTCAGTGGAGTAAAGAATAACAAGGCAGCGTTACTGCAACATGTCTCACCTCCCGCCACAGGGCAGCTTTTCTCCTAGCTCAGACTTGAACAAATGTACAATCGGGTTTACACCGAGACATTCAGTTCCCAGGGGCAAGCAGGAGATAGTGGCCTTCCTCCATCTCAACTGCAAGAGGCTTTCCTCTTTTCCTAATCCGCCTCAGCACAGACCCTTTACGGGTGTCAGGCTGGGGGACAGTCAGGTCTTTCTCATCCCACGAGGCCATATTTCAGACTATCACATGGGGAGAAACCTTGGACAATACCCTGCTTTCAAGGGCAGGGCTCCCTGCGGCTTTCCACGGTGCATTGTTCCCGTGGTTTATTGTGACTAGAGAATGGCAATGACTTTTACCAAGTATACTGCTTGTAAATATTTGGTTAACAAGGCACGTCCTGCACAGCCCTAGATCCCTCAAACCTTGATTTTATACAACACATGTTTTTGTGAACTCCAAGTTGGGGCAAAGTGACTGGGGCAAAGTGGCTGGGGCAAAGCTACAAATGAACAACATCTCAGCAAAGCAATTGTTAGAGTACAGGTCTTTTTCAAAATGGAGTCTCTTATGTCTTCCCTTTCTACATAGACACAGTGACAGTCTGATCTCTCTCTTTTCCCTACATTTCCCGCTTTTCTTTTTGACAAAACCGCCATGGTCATCATGGTCCCTTCTCGCTGGTCGCTGTCTCTCCGGAGCTGCTGGATACACCTGTAGACTAACAATAGAGAGGACAGACATACAAGAATTAATACAAAATTTGCAATAGTGGAATTTCCAATGGTTTTAACCCAAGTGACAGGGTTAAGATTTGTGAGGCTATCAACAGCTTTTACCATTGCCTCCGTTTCTGACACCAGATTTAACTGGGCTTTTGATGTTTCAAAAATTTGTTCTTTCAATTTAGAAATATCTAAGGTAAGATTATCTTCTCTTCCTTGTAGATGGCGTCTAACCATGTCCCAGTGCTGTTCAGATTCATTATAGGCTCGAGGTGTAATACAAAAATCTGATGTATTCCAGTCACACTGTAACTGAAAAAGATATTCTAAGCTCATGAGCCTATCTCCCATCCAAATAACAGTTTGTCTAAGATCATTAATTTGATTTGCCAATTTTTGACCCATTTGAGTCTAAGAATTCCACAATTTTGAGGAATTCTTTTGCCAATTATTCACATATTCTGCAGTTTGAACAGAGGAGTGTAAAGCAATTCCAGCAGCCACAGCAGTAGCTGTGACTGCAATAAGACCCATAATCACTGCAATCAAAGTAAAAATGAATCTTTTAAATCTAATTAGAACTCCTTTTAATACTTAAGTTATGTACGGATGGAGAAGCCTCCCACGGTCGATCCATGGACACAGGGATCCACACGCCTTCTCTTGCCCTTACTAACAGAATAGCATTCTGCCAATCAAAAGTTGAATCAATGCAAGTAAACAATCTACAATTTTCACTGGTTGTAGTTTGGGAATCTGGTTTAATAGCTATGTTTTCTACAACTAGCATATAAGGAGGTTTTACACAACTTTGCAAAGGAATTTTCAGATTGGAATTTAGGTTAATAATTAATATGGCTTATGATTTCTTGTTCCCATAACTTGATTTCCAGACCAAATTCTAATGTGGTACGAGGCCACAGTGAGCTTCCATAATTCTGGGTGTTCAGGACCAAAAACAGGACTAACTAACTTTGGTCGGGGTGATGAAATCCTCTTTTCACCCCATTTCCATGGATAGGGTGATTCTAGCCTTCTATAAACCTGGTCTAGCCTTTTAGTTAAATCACTATCACAGGCCGGATTAGTGGGCCAGACACATGGAGCCTGTGAACATGAGTGGGTCTGGCCCATACAGTCATAATATAATTGGCCTTGAGGGGCCTAGTCTATAATAGTTTCATATTTATTGTTTTGTAGTACCACTGCAGTATCAGCCACACATTCTTCCCAAACTAAGACTACTGGGTCTTTTGATTCTTTTGGAATTTCCTTGGGGCATGGTTTCCCTTTAGGCCTAAATTTTAATGATCTTTGATAGGAAGAATTCTGTAAATTATTCATTTGTGACCTGAGCGACATTCCTCTTATCATATGATAAGTAAATTTACTGGTGGCACTGACAGTAGGTACTTCTATCAACCAAGTTTGGATTGTAGGCATTAAGCATCCTGGTGCTTTTCCCAGGCAAATAGGAGGATAATGATACCCAATGGAAATGTTTATCATCATTCCTTCTTCTTCAGGTTGGGCAGGGCCACGGTCATCTGTGGGGCCTGGTACCCATGCACTGTTATTAACATATACTTCAATAGGATTATCTATCCAAGTGACTGCTCGAATTAAGGGTGGGAAAATCACATAGGCCCAGTAATTATAGTTAGCTGTAGCGGCTCCTGAAGACATAGGGAGACTTATCACCGCTGATAAAATCATTAAATCTGCAAGTAGCATATTCTCTGGAGTTTGTGTTACCCTTGTGTTTTCCAGGCTTTTTTCAGCTAACTGTGTCAGCTTCTTTAGCTGGGCCCAGGTCGGCGGCCCCACTTTCTTGGTGGATGGCAACTTCAACTGTTCTTCTGATATCACTATTTTGTTCACCCTGCGAGTCGATGATGTTCGATTGCGGGTTCTCTGTCTCTGCGGAGGTGCCTTCCCTTGCACCTCTGATGGGTTCATTGTAGAACTTCAAATGTCTAGTGGGTAACCAAACAGGAAGCTGATTTTCTCCTGGTGGAACACAAGCAAAACCTCACCCCCATGTTATCACCTTACCTATTTCCCATGTTTTATTTTTGTTGTCTTTCCACCAAATCAGTTTTCCCTCATGTGGGCTGTTCTTTTTACCAGTAAAATGTTGTTCTGCAGAAGTAGTGGTCTGATTTCTATATATATTTAAAAAATTTAAAGTATAGAGTGCTAGATTAAGTTGCACCTGGGGAGTATTATACTCCTTACTTTTTCCTTTTTTTGTTTAACCAATTGAGCTTAGAGTGTTCTATTAGTTCTTTCAATTATGGCCTGTCCTTGGAAATTAAGGATTCCTGTTGTATGTGTAATTTTCCACTGATTTAAGGATTTTTGAAATGCTTTGCTACAGTATCCTGGCCCATTATCTGTTTCAATTTTTTCTGGAAATCCCATGACTGCAAAACAAGATAATAAATGTCTTTTAACATGGGAAGTACTTTCTCCTGTCTGGCAGGTTGCCCATATGAAATGTGATTAAGTATCAACTGTCACATGGACAAATGACAATTTTGCAAATGAAGGTACATGTGTGACGTCCATTTGCCATAATGCATCAGGACATAAACCTCTAGGATTAACTCCTGCCTCTTGAGCGGGCAGGTGTAAGACTTGACACTGAGCACAATGTTGTACAACATTTTTTGCTTGTTTCCATGCGATATCAAATTTGTTTTTTAATCCTGTTGCATTTACATGAGTGAGGGCCTGAAGTTCTTGTGCTTCCATGAAGGCAGATGATACTAGCAAGTCAGCTTGTTCATTTGCCTTAGTTAAAGGCCCTGGTAAATTAGTATGTGCTCGGATATGAGCAATATAAAATGGGAAATTTCTTTTGCTTACAGTTTGTTGTAACAATTTAAGCAGCTGATTTAACTGATCATCCATACTATATTTGATTGATTAGGGCTGTCTCAACATCCTTTGTAGCCTGTACTAAATATGCAGAATCTGAAACAATGTTAATAGGCTGATTAAAATCTTGTAACACTGAAATGACAGCAACCAATTCTGCTCTTGGAGCTGAGTGATATTGAGTTTCAATGACTTGTTCTTTTGGCCCAGTGTAAGCCACTATTCCGTTGCTGGAACCATCAGTAAACACCGTCAGAGCATTTTCTAGAGGTTTTTGTCTGGTAATTTTAGGTAAAATCCAAGTAGTCAATTTCAAAAACTGGAAGATTTTTGCTTTTGGGTAATGATTATCAATAATTCCCACAAAATCAGCAAGACCAATCTGCCCTGCACCAGAATTGATAAAGACTTGTCTAACCTGTTCCTTGTTTAAAGAAACAATGATTTTATCTGGGTCATTTCCACACAATTTTACTATTCATAGTCTTGCCTGACCAATTAATGTAGCCATTTGATCTAAGTACAATGTAAAAGTCTTAACTGTACTGTGAGGAAGGAATGACCACTCCACAAGATCTGTATTTTGAACAATAATGCCTGTTGGAGAATGTGCAGTAGCAAAAATTAAAAGTTGGAGTGGGGCTAAGTGATCTATTCTATTTACTTTTGCTGACTGAAATTTTTCTTCAACTAATTCTATTTCTTTAGTTTCCTCTGGAGTTAATATTCTTTTACTATTTAAGTCTGGATCCCCTCTCAAGATAGAGAACAAATTTGACATGGCATAAGTAGGGATGTCTAGAGTTGGCCGAATCCAATTAATATCTCCTAGCAATTTTTGAAGTCATTTAATGTTCTTAATGTGTCTTTTCTTATTTCTACTTTTTGTGGTTTAATTTTTCTCTCCTCTACCTGCATTCCCAAATAATGGAAAGGAGTGGAGGTCTGAATCTTATCAGATGCTATTGTCAGGCCTGCATTTGCAACCTCTGTCTGCAGAAATGTGTAACAGTCAATTAATTTGTCTCTTGTTTCTGCAGCACACAAAATATCATCAACATAATGAATGATATAACAGTCTGAAAACTTGTCTCTAACTGGTTGAAGAACTTGAGCTACAAAAGTCTGACAAATAGTTGGACTATTAAGCATTCCCTGAGGCAACACTTTCCACTGAAATCTAGTGGCTGGTTCTTTATTATTTATGGCTGGTATAGTGAAAGCCAATTTTTCAAAATCCTGTTTTGCCAGAGGAATGGTAAAAAAGCAATACTTCAGATCAATTATAATTAAAGGCCAATATTCGGGGATCATGGCTGGAGAGGGCAGCCCAGGTTGGAGAGGCCCCATGGGTTGAATTACTGCATTAACGGCTCTTAAATCAGTTAGCATGCGCCATCTGCCTGATTTTTTCTGAATTACAAACACAGGAGAATTCCAAGGCGAAAATGAATGCTCAATATGTCCCTTTTCTAATTGTTATTTTGCCAATAAGTGTAAGGCCTCCAGCTTTTGTTTTGGTAGTGGCCACTGATTTACCCATACAGGCTTTTCTGTTTTCCAAGTTAATGAAATGGGTTTTGGAGGCTCTACAGTGGCCACCCCTAAAAAGGATACCCTAGTCCTTTTCTTTCTGGATTTCCCTTAGCCTCAATTGGAACTTTAATGCTTTCTCCATTTTTCCCTAGTCCTTTGCCAGGGAGCTATCCCATTTTAGTCATGATTTTTTGACTTGTGGGGCTGTATAGAGAGACTGGAATAGTAATCTCTGCATGCCACTGTTCTAATAAGTCTCGGCCCCATAAATTAATTGGAACAGAAGTAATCATAGGCTGAACTGTACTCTCTTGATTATCAGGTCCTAGACAATGTAAAATCCTGGCACTTTGATACACTTCTGAGGCAGTGCCCACACCAACAAGTCCTGTAACAGGCTTTTGTTTAGGCCAATTTTTTGGCCATTGATTTAAGGCAATGATAGAAACATCAGACCCAGTATCCACTAATCCTTCAAACTGTTTTCCCTGAATAGTAACTGTACACACAGGTCTATTCTCTGAGAGCTGACTAGCCCAATAAAAAGCTTTTCCAGCATTGTTGGTACTTGCAAACCCTCCTGTTCTTTCTGTTTTGCTATCCCCAATTTTAATATAAGGCAAGAGCAGTAATTGAGCAATTCTATCACCTGGATTGGCACTCCAGGGAACAGTACAGCTGATCACTAACTGAATTTCCCCTTTATAATCTGAGTCAATTACCCCAGTATGAATTTGAACTCCTTTCAAATTTAGACTAGATCTTCCTAAAATAAGGCCTACCATCCCTTGTGGCAGCGGGCCATATACCCCTGTAGGAATTTTGCAGGGGCTCTCCACGGAGTAAAGAAATCATTTGAGTAGAACATAAATCTACTGCAGCACTGCCTGCTGTGGCAGAGGATAATTGTCGTATTGTAATTGGCTGATTTCCTGAAATGGTGGTATTTACTGTGGGGGTTGTTGTCCCTGAAAACCCTGAGGAACAAATGGCTGAATCGGGAATGCCCCACTTTGTTGCGGGGCCTGGGGCTGGCCCCTCTTGCCCTTTCCCGACAATGGTTGTCCATTTTTATCAAATTTAGAACGACATGCCTTAGCCCAATGTTTTCCTTTTCCACATCTTGGACACAGGCCAGGTGGCTCTATTTTTTTTTTTTTCTTCTTCTTCTTTTTTTTTTTTTTTTTTTTTTTTTTGCTGTTTATTTAAGCCTGGGCAATTCTTTTTTAGATGACCGATTTGACCACAATTATAACATTTTCCCCCAAATGTTTTAACTTGTCCTCCTAAAGCAACCCCTGTAATTGCTTAAGCCGATAGCATTGCCTTATGCATAGCTCCCCCAATCCCATCACAAACCTTCACATATTCTGTAATTACATCAACTCCTGCTGAAACATTTCCTCTTAATGGCTTTATGGCTGATTGACACTCTGAATTTGCGTTTTGATAAGCCATTATTTCTACAATAACTTTTCGGGCGTTACCTGCAATGGATTTTTGAGCTGCATCTTGCAACCTTGCCACAAAGTCTGGATATGGCTCTTTAGATCCTTGTCTGATTGAACTAAAAGAAGGGCATGAGGTTCCTGGGTCCTGAATGTTTTCCCAGGCCCTGAGGCAAATAGCCCTTATAGTTGTTCAATAGCCTCATTTTCATTACTGATTGTTGGTTAATAGTGTCCCAGTTTGGACCTCTTCCTAGCAATTGGTCTTCATCTATATAAGCAACAGGATTAGTAGCCTGATTTTTTCGTACCTGTTCTTGTACCCCATCAATCCACCAGGTTTTAAACTGGAGATACTGAGAGGGTGAAAGGGAAGATTTAGCCAGAATTTCCCAATCATAAGAAATAAGTCTATTTCCATGAGCAATGGAATTTAATAATGTTCTCATATAAGGAGAGTTAGGTCCATATTGTTTAACTCCTGCTTGACTGCCTTTCCCGGCCGGCATCTGTTGTAACATTACCGGATATTGCCATGCCTCAAGATCTCCCTGTTTTCTGGCTGTAGCAATGGTCTCATGCAGTGCACTATCTTGTCCACTAGGTGGTACCGTAAGATCAAACGCCATCGCCGTGGGTTGTTGATATAGTGCCTTGCTATTTGGCACAGGACGCACCGCCTGAGATCCATACTGAACCTCTGGAGACGGCGGATACTGAAATGCGGCTGGCGGCTGGTGTTGATAAACTACCGATGGTTGGGTTTTATTTTCTACTGGCTGGTATTGCGGATACTGTGCCTGGATTGGCATTTGAGATTGTGACATCACAGGCATCTGAACCGCGGGAGAAGGAGTTGGTGGCCATCGTGTTCTAAACTCTGATGGTCCAAATAATTCTGGACCTCCTTCCCCCAATTTTGATGATTCAGGATATATTACCTCCTGTAATTGATTATAGTCAACATTCTGCATTGACCAAGTCAGTACAGGCTCTACTGCATTTTTACAATGTGAACTTTCCATTCCTTTCTTAAACTCTGTTCCTGCCTCTTCTTCACAATCTATTACACAGCTTTCAGGGGCATCAAAGACTGAAACCCTATCTTCTTCTATTTGAAATTGTTCTAAAGTTGCTTTAATAGTGGCCCAATCATTCCATACTGTAAGTGGGATGATTTTACCTTCCCTAATTGCTTGTTTTAGTTCTTTGCCAATTTTTTCCCAATCTTTTAAATCTAAAGTTCCCTTTTCTGGAAACCTTGGGCAGAATTGTTCTATTGTTTGAAATAGCGTAACTAGATTTTCTGTAGAAGCTTTAACTCCCCCTCTTCTTAAGAGAATTTTAATGAAGCTGAGATAAGAAGCATATTTACTTTCAGTTTGCCCCATTGTTATCCTGGATTCCTCCCAGCACACAAGCTAACCGCAAGGCTGACTGTGGACGTACTCGGGAATCTCTCATCGGCTGTCCTCAATGCTCACGTTCTTAGCGTACCTTCACCCTAGAGAAGGGCCCCACGCTGGGCTCCAGATGAAGGGGTGGTCTGCCCCTCCACACCTGTGGGTATTTCTAGTCAGGTGGGATGAGAGACGGAGAAAAGAAATAAGACACAGAGACAAAGTATAGAGAAACATCAGTGGGTCCAGGGGACCAGCACTTAGCACACCAAGGACATGCACAGGCACCGGCCTCTGAGTTCCCTCAGTTTTTATTGATTATGATTTTCATTATTTCAGCAAAAAGGAATATACTAGGAAAGCAGGGTGATAATAAGGAGGTCAACAAAAAACATGTGAGCAAAAGAATCTATATCATAATTAAGTTCAAGGGAAGGTACTATGACTGGACGTGTACGTAAGCCAGATTTATGTTTCTCTCCACCCAAAAATCTCAGTGGAGTAAAGAATAACAAGGCAGCATTGCTGCAAACATGTCTTGCCTCCCATCACAGGGCAGCTTTTCTCCGATCTCAGACTTAAACAAATGTACAATCGGGTTTTACACCGAGACTTTGAGTTCCCAGGGGCAGGCAGGAGACAGTGGCCTTCCTCCATCTCAACTGCAAGAGGCTTTCCTCTTTTACTAATTCACCTCACCACAGACCCTTTATGGGTATCGGGCTGGGGAACAGTCAGGTCTTTCTCATCCCACGAGGCCATATTTCAGATTATCACATGGGGAGAAACCTTGGACAATACCCTGCTTTCAAGGGCAGAGGTCCCTGCGGCTTTCCACAGTGTATTGTGCCCCTGGTTTATTGAGACTAGAGAATGGCAATGACTTTTACCAAGTATACTGCTTGTAAACATTTGGTTAACAAGGCACGTCCTGCACAGCCCTAGATCCCTCAAACCTTGATTTTATACAACACATGTTTTTGTGAACTCCAAGTTGGGTCAAAGTGGTTGGGGCAAAGTGGCTGGGGCAAAGCTACAAATGAACAACATCTCTGCAAAGCAATTGTTTTAAGTACAGATCTTTTTCAAAATGGAGTCTCTTATGTCTTCCCTTTCGACATAGACACAGTGACAGTCGGATCTCTCTTTCTTTTCCCTACACAAATAAAGAGCCCAGTGCCTTTTCTCATTGCTCAAGAGATTGAAGGGGTAGGAAGAAAAGATGTTAAGTTATAAACATGTTTCAGTTTTGGTACCACTTGAGCCAATTTATGTTTTGAAGAGGAAAGGGTCTTGCCTACAAAGTCAGTCCCTGGGTTTTCCTTCTGCTTATGGAATCCAGGCAATGGGCAAAGAGAAAAAGAAAACTAAGGAATCAGCCAGATGCAGTGGCTCATGCTTGTAATCTTGGCCCTTTGGGAGGTTGAGGCAGGCGGACTTCTTGAGTCCAGGAGTTCAAGACCAGCCTGGCCCACATAGCGAGACCCCGTTTCTACAAAAAATACAAAAAGGTGCTGAGCATGGTGGCATGCACCTGTAGTTCCAGTTACTTGGGAGGCTGAGGTGGGAGAACTACTTCAGCCCAGGAGGTTGAGGCTGCAGTGAGCCATGATTGTGCCACTATACTCCAGCCTGGGTGACAGAGTGAGGTCCTGTCTCAAAAGAAAACAAAAAAGATAAGAAAAAGAAAACTAGGGAATCTGGACAGAATAAGTTTATATATATAATAAAGAACTGAGATAGAACTGGGTTGACTGAATAATTATTTGAGTTGCTTTTGAGTGAATTTTTCCTATTGGAGTCTACCTTTGTTTTTTTGTGTGTGCGCGTTTTTTGTTTTTTGTTTTTTTTTTTTTTGTTTGTTTAGTTTTGTCTTTGTGTTTTTTTTGAGACTGGTCTCTGTTGCCCAGTCTGCTGGAGTGCAGTGGCACGATCTCAGCTCACTGCAACCTCTGCCTCCTGGGTTCCAGCAATTCTTCTGCCTCAGCCTCCCTAGAAGCTGGGACTACTGGGCATGTACCACCAAGCCCAGCTAATTTTTGTATTTTTAGTAGAGATGGGGTTTCACCATGTTGGCCGGGCCTGGTCTTGAACTCCTGGGCTCAAGTGATCCACCTGCCTCAGCCTCCCAAAGTGCTGGGATTACAGGTGTGAGCCCCTGCGCCCAGCTAGAGTCTACCATTCTTTGAATTCACTGCAGTGCAAAGACTGGAACATGTGGAACTCCAGGTGTATATGGGTTATGTAGAGATGCTAGGGGCAGATTAAGGAAGGAAAGATATGAGAAGCCTGCAGAGCATGCTTTCCCAGACTGTATGGGCCCTGGGAAAGGAGAAGTGGACAGAAAGGGAGCACTAGGTACCCTGGAAGAGAAGATTCATCCAAGTCATCAGGGAAGTTACTAATGCAAGGGAAAAAATTTAGAGACAGGGCCAAACACGCTTCTTCCAAGTCCTTTCTGTCTGCTCAGTCACCTCTATGCTTATTTTTCTTCTTTCCTCTAAGTAGTGTCATGCGTTTTCTTCCTATTCCTAGTCGCTCCTAGTCAACTAACTCCTCTCTTTACCATCTTTTCATCAGAACTTGAAACCTCCTCTCCTTCATGTATTAGTGATCATGTTCCTCCATAATACTGCTAGAAACAAGAATTGAAACCTGGAAAACCTGCATTTGAGAACCAGATCTCCCTCTGCTAGCTATTTGAGAAGTTATTTTGTTCCATTCTTTTTGTTGTTGTCGAAACAGGGTCTCACTCTGTCGCCCAGGCTAGAGTGCAGTGGTTCAATCTTGGCTCACTGCAGCCTCAATCTCCTGGGCTCAATCAATCCTTCCACATCAGCCTCCTGAGTAGCTGAGACTACAGGTGTGTGCCACCACAGCTGGCTAATTTTTAATGCTTTTTTTTTGTTTACTTATTTTTTTTTTTTTGTAGAGATGGTGTCTTGCTATGTTGTGTAGGCTGGTCTCAAACACATGGGCTCAAGCGATCCTCCTGCCTTGGCCTCTCAGATGAAATGGGAAAAGTTCTGTTGTCCCCCTCGAAGGGCATGCGATGCGGGTGTGGTTCGTTTATTCAGTGCCCCACTGCTCAAACCTCTAGGAGAGCATGCAGACAGGCAGGGAGACCCATGGCAGTGTCCAGGGGTGAATGTTTATAGTTGAAGCCCCAGTGGGCGTGTGTTACAGGGTGCTCTTTTAGTTTAGCCGTCTGTAGGTAGCTTGTGTTAGTCGGCTCAATTAGACCCCTGCCTTATTGCAAGGAGAGAGGGCTCTCTTTGTCCCGGGGTTCTTGCCTTGGTGTACCAGAAGTGGTGTGATCTCAGCTCACTGCAAGCTCCTACTCCTGGGTTCACGCCATTCTCCTGCCTCAGCCTTCCAAGTAGCTGGGACTACAGGCACCCGCCACCACGCCTGGCTAATTTTTTTGTATTTTTAGTAGAGATGGGGTTTCACTGTGTTAGCCAGGATGGTCTGGATCTCCTGACCTCGTGATCTGCCCGCCTCGGCCTCCCAAAGTTCTGGGATTACAGGCGTGAGAGTGCAAGGTTTTATTGAGTGGAAGTATCTCTCAGCAGATGGGCGTGCCAGAAGGGAGATGGTTTACCCCTGGAGTTGGATGAGTGGCCGGACTCTTCTCCGAATGTCCCAGCCAAACTCTGCGTTGTTCTGCAGTCAGTGGCCTGCGGTGTGACGGTGCCCATTGGTGCGTTCCTGTTGAAGTCCAGCACCCTTGTGTTCCTCTGCTGATGTGCTCCTCTCAAAGTCCAGCTGCCTGTGTCTGCCTGCTAGGGTCTCAGGGTTTTTATAGGCACAGAATGGGGGTGTGGCAGCCAGGGTGGTCTTGGGAAATGCAACATCTGGGCAGGAAAACAAAAATGCCAGTCCTCACCTAGGTCCGTGGACACAGGCCCTGGGGTGGAACCCTAGCCAGGGACCACACCCTCCTCTACCCAGTACTTCCCTTCCTCACTTCCATATCATTTAAAGGGACCACATTCTTCCCTTCTGAGCACTTCCCTTCTGTATCACAAAGTTTTGGGATTATAGGCATGAGGCACTGGTCCCAGCCAATTCCGTTCTTTTAATGCAAACTAGAAAATAGGTGTTCAGAAAGGCCTGCCCTATCCACCTCAGGGAGTTGCTATGAAGATCAAATTAGACCATGTGCAACAGAAGTTTAGAAAAGATTCCAAAAGCACTGTGCAATGGGAATGTATTTTTAAACTCCACTGAGTGGACTTAAAACTATGGTTTTCTTTCTTTCTTTCTTTCTTTTTGGTTGAGACAGAGTTTCACTCTTGTTGCCTAGGCTGGAGTGCAGTGATGCCATCTTGGCTTACTGCAACCTCTGCCTCCCAGGTTCAAGTGATTCTCTGCCTCAGCCACCCGAGTAGCTGGGATTGCAGGCGCCCACCACCGTGCCTGGCTAATTTCTTTCTTTCTTTGTTTTTGTCTTTTTAGTAGAGATGGGGTTTCACAGTGTTGGCCAGGCTGGTCTCAAACTCCTGAGCTTAGTTGATCCACCCACCTTGGCCTCCCAGAGTGCTGGGATTAAGGCTTTAGCCACCGCACCCAACGTGTGTTTCTTATTCAAGCAAGAAAACAAATGCCTCTCCCCAGCGCTCACTAAACAAATCCCTCTGTTATTTTTTTTTTCCATAGGATTCTTATCCTTCTTGCCCCACTGCAAACAATCTATTTTCTTTTGGCCCTTCCGTCTGTCTGTGAAAGGGTCAGGCTTTCTAGCTAACCCTTAATCAAATATTTTTGATGACCACAGTCAAGACAGTACTTATTATTTTTTTGGGGGGACGGAGTTTTGCTCTTGTTGCCCAGGCTGGAGGGCAATGGCGCAGTCTCAGTTCACTGCAACCTCTGCCTCCAGGGTTCAAGTGATTCTCTTACCTCAGCCTCCCAAGTAGCTGGGATTACAGGTGCACAACACCACACCCAGCTAATTTTTGTATTTTTAGTAGAGATGGGGTTTCTCCATGTTGGTCCGGCTGGTCTCGAACTCCTGACCTCAGGTGATCTACACACCTCAGCCTCCCAAAGTGCTGGGATTACAGGGGTGAGCAACCCTGACTGGCCAGGACAGTGCTTATTAATTCCTGAGATGCATCCAGGAGCACATGACCTGGCTGTGACTGTTCTAACAGAGTTCCCCAAATGGGTGGCTCAGGACAACAGAAAGTCATTCTCTCCAGTTCCAGAAGCTTGATGTGTGAAACCCGCAGGGCCATGCTCCCTCTGAAGGCTCTAGGGGTGAATCCTTCCTTGCCTCTTCTGGCTTCTGGTGGTTGCTGGCATTCTTTGGCTTGTGTCCACATCATTCCATTCTCTTCCTTCATTCTCATGTGGCCTTCTCCCCTGTGTGTCTCTGTCTCTTCTTCTCTTCCCATGAGGATGCCATTATTACTCGATTTAAGGTTCACGCTATTCCAATATGACCTCTTTGTAATTAGATCTGCAGTGACCCTATTTTCTTTTCTTTTTTTTGTGATGGAGTCTTGCTCTGTTGCCCAGGCTGGAGTTCAGTGACACAATCTCAGCTCGCTTCAACTCTGCCTCCTGGGTTCAAGTGATTCTTCAGCCTCAGCCTCTGAAGTAGCTGGGATTACAGGTGCACGCCACCATGCCTAGCTAATTTTTATGTTTTTAGTAGAGACAGGGTTTGCCATGCTAGCCAGGCTGGTCTCGAACTCCTGACCTCAAGTGATCCTCCTGCCTCAGCCTCCCAAAGTGCTAAGATTACAAGCATGAGCCACCATGCCCTGCCCCTATTTTCTAATAAGGTCACATTCTGGGATTCCTGGTGAATGTGAATTTTTGGAAGACAGTATTCAGTCTAGCAAAAGGCAGAACATCCTCATTTTCTTCCCTACCTCAGAAATAAAGAAGTTAACTTCAACCCCTCTGAGAGAGAGAGGCTTCCTGAGCTTCCAACAATCAATTATCCAAATATTAGTCACAGAAGGGCACTAAGGGTTGTGCACAGCACGTGGCCAGCCCATTCTCTGAGTCTGTCAAGTTTAAGGTGAACGCTAATCCTGAATGAGTCTTAAAATGTACTTGGCATATCCTGTTCATTGTAAAATGTTCTCACATTGTGATGGCTGGGGCTTCCCTCTCAGGTGTAATCTGCGAAGTCAGACGTGACACAGCCTGGGTGAGGTGGGCCAAGCCGGGAACTGGGTTAGGAGGGAAGCTGGGGAATGATCTCCAAGGTCTCAGATCCCAAACTGGCTTTAGCCAGATTCACCCAGAGGGATCTCATAAAAAATGCACATTCCGGGGCCCACCCCAGACCTAATGAATCAGAATTACCTGGGAAGGAGCCTGGGGAGCTCTGTTTTCAGAAGCAGCCCAGCCGAATCCTACGGTCAGACAGGGCTAGGAATCGAAACTCAGTCTAGCGCGGTAGTTCCCAAACTCGTCTGTGCTTCAAAAAATACAGATGCTGATGTCCAGACATGGTGGCTCATGCCTATAATCCCAGCAGTTTGGGACGGTGAGGCGGGAGTATCACTTGAGCCCAGGAGTTTGAGACTAGCCTGGAGAACATAAGGAGATACTGTCTCTATAAAAAATTTAAAAATTAGCCGGGCGTGGTGGTGCCCGCCTGTGATCCCAGCTACCGTGGAGGTTGAAGTGGGAGGGTTTCTTGAGCCCAGGAGTTGGAGCCTGTAGTGAGCTATGATTGTGCCACTGCACTCCAGCCTGGGTAACAGAGCAAGGCCCTGTCTCAAAAACAAAACAAAACAAAAAACGGAGTCTATGTCCCATTCCAGAGGTTGAGGTTTAATTGTTCTTGGGTGTGGCCTGGGTTTTGGAAGATTTAAAAAAAAAATCTCAGGTGACCCTAAAGTGTAGATGAGTTTGGAAACCACACATTTAAGGCACACTTGAATGGGGGAGCAGTGAGGTGGCACGGGCTAGCCGGCCAGAACCCAGGGGTGGGCCAGTAGGAACCAGCATTGCAGAGGCCATTAAGGCTGGGAAGCATAGTGTCTGGGGCCCATAACAATGCTTCGTCATGAATGCTTTAGACCTAAGACAATTGGCTCCTAAATGTGAAAACTGCAAGGCTGAAATGAATGCATGTTTAATGCCTTACAACATTGTCAAGTGATCAGCTGCAACTCCTTTCTGAGGGCATGATGCCTGAGATATGCCTGTAATGCGGGTTGATTTTAATTAATTTAATATGGTGTGGAGTGGGGCCTTCAAAAGTAAAGACGTCAGTTCTAAGTTGGTTGCAGGGTTCTGGGCAAAGGTCTTAAAACCCCATGGTGAGCAGATGGCCAATCCTGAACACCCCAATTTTAAAACAGGGCTTTTTTTCCAAGAGACTTTTTGAAAATAGCTCCTATTTTGAGGGGAGGAACCCTGGCAGGAGAGAGCCAGAGTTAAGCCCAGCTGAGAGGGGGTTGGTAGGCAGGGGTCTGCCTGATCCTCACTGAAGCTTGATACTCAGGGTGAGCTTCCTAAACCAGTGCAGATTTGCCGGCCCACTGAGCCTCCCAGATGAGAACCTGCATTTCAACAAGGTCCTTGATGCAGCAAAGTTTGAGATATACTGGGCTAGAACACCCAGGGGACACAAAGGTTCTCTGAAAACTAAGGAAAATAGGCAGGGTGTGGTGGCTCATGCCTGTAATCCTTGTATTTTGGGATGCCAAGGCGGGCGGATCACCTGAGGTCAGGAGTTTGAGACCAGCCTGGATCAACATGGTGAAACACCATCTCTACAAAAAATACAAAAATTAGCTGGGTGCGGCCGGGCACAGTGGCTCATGCCTGTAATCCCAGCACTTTGGGAGTCCGACGCGGGCAGATCACGAGGTCAGGAGATCGAGACCATCCTGGCTAACACGATGAAACCCTGTCTTTACTAAAAACACAAAAAAATTAGCCGGGCGTGGTGGCAGGTTCCTGTAGTCCCAACTACTCGGGAGGCTGAGGGAGGAGAATGGCATGAACCTCGAGGAGGAGCTTGCAGTGAGCCGAGATTGCACCACTGCACTCCAGCCTGGGCAACAGAGCCAGACTCTGTCTCAAAAAAAAAAAAAAAAATTATCTGGGTGAAGTGGCAGGTACCTGTAGTCCCAGCTACTTGGGGGGCTGAGACAGGAGAATAGATTGAACCTGGGAGGCAGAAGTTGCAGTGGCCCGAGATCGCACCACTGCACTCCAGTCTGGTGGCAGAGTGAGACTCCATCTAAAAACATAAAAAAAAAATACACAAATAAATAAAAAATAAAAATAAATACTGGGCTAGAAGACCCAGGAGACCCGAAGATTCTCTCAAAACTAAGGAAAATAATCTAGGTCACAAATATATTCTCTTCCTCCTTCTCCCCATTGCCCCCCTCCACCAGTAATCTTTATAGACTCAAATCGAGTTGATGTTCTATAATCAATTCTAGTCACTTTTATTTGTATTTATTTATTTTAGAGATGGGGGTCTCACTATGTTGCTCAGGCTGGTCTCAAATTCCTGGGCTTAAGTGATCCACCCACCTAGGTCTCCCAAAGTGCTGGGATTACAGGCATCAGCCACTGCACCCGGCTGTCACTTTTATTTTTGATGTTCAAATTATAAGCTAATACTTGTGAGACCATAGATTCTTTTTATGCACTCAATACACTTTCTTGTTTACCTTATATTTGTATTATGGAAAAGTTCTGTTTTTTCCACTTGTTTATATTTGATAATGAAGCCCTCTGTGCCTATCACCAGCCTCAGCCGCCATCATCTCATTACCAAGCTGGGTTATTTTGAAACAAATATCTTCTAATATTTAGCCGGTGTTCAAATTTCCCTAACCATCCTAAAGGAATGTTTAGAACAGTTGTTTCATTGGAAACAAGGTCAAAACAAATACATTTTACATTTTTAGGCCAGTCTTGAAAGTAAGTGTAAAACCATGTGTGGGGTAGGAGGTGGGACTAGACTCTCAAGGTGGGGCCTGGATACCAGACCCAGTTGAGGACTAGCTAAGACAGATTCCACAGTGAATAACACCAGGAGGTGGGAATATTAAGGTCCATTGTGAAGGATGGCTACCACAATTTTTTGATCAACTAGTTATCAACCCTGACTGAAGCTGAGAGAGATTTGTTTTTGCTTTTTTTTCTTTTTTTTCAGAGACAGGGTCTTGCTACGTTGCCCAGGCTGGACTCAAACTCCTGGGCTCAGGTGATTCTTCTGCCTTAGCCTCCTGAGTGGCTGAGACTACAGGTGTGTGCCACTGTGCCCAGCAAGATTTTAAAAAATACGTATGCCCGGACACCACTCTAAACCAACTAAATGAGAATCAGATATCGTGAAGTCACTAATCATTTTGCTCCTGGGTCTTTATGACAGTTTTGCTCCTGGGAAACTCCTGGGAATGTGGTAGAGAGAGAGAAAGAGATGGGAAAATAAGATTTTAAGAAGTGTTGCTATGCATTTTGAAAATAATTTTTATTTGGTGTTTGTCTTGAGGGAAGGCGGTAAACATTTCAATTGCCTTTAAGTGTGCTTGGATGCTGGAACGATGGTTCTTTGAATGCAGCGTCAAACTGGCATTGGGTCACATGGCAGCTAGCATTAACCTTTATGCCACATTTATAAAACATGAATGTCATGAGCCCACTCTCAGAGACCTTATAATTTGGAGGGTTAGGTCAGATCCACAAATCTCTTCTATCTCATGGCAAAGGAAACCTGGCGTGTAGCAGGAGATGGTGTGATAACAATAACATATTGCATGATCAGTATTTGTATTCTTCTTAGCAATATTAAACTTTTTGACCTCCTCCATTGTGTCATCAATTTGCTTAATACAGTTTCTGCCTCAGCGTCTGTTTTTAGGCCTGGCATAAGCTGTTTGAAACCCAGGCACATACCCCACCCATCATCTTTGGCCTAGTTAACACCTCCCCTCCCTGCGTGGTGGTTTGGAGAACCTGCTTGTTCCTCATCCCACTGATCCCAAACCCAGGACACCCCACAGCTGCTGACCAGGATTAAACCTAAGGGAGATTTAATGCCGTTAAATCAGAAGAAATTCTGATTCTCAGGGACTGACATTCATTCACTTAAATACTTGCAGAGTCGGCCAGGTGTGGTGGCTCACACCTGTAATCCCAGCACTTTGGGCAGCCGAGGTGGGTGGATCACGAGGTCAAGATTTCGAGACCAGCCTGGCCAACATGGTGAAACCCCGTCTGTACTAAAAATACAAAAATTAACTGGTATAGCTGTGCGTGCCTGTAATCCCAGCTACTCAGGAGGCTGAGGCAGGGGATTTGCTTGAACCTGGGAGGTGGAGGTTGCAGTGAGCCAAGATTATCCCATTGCACTCCAGCCTGGGCAGCAGAGCGAGACTCTGTCTCAAAAAACAAAAAACCCAAAAACTTGCAGAGTGAATTTAGGAAACCATGTAGTCTACAGTTTGATGCAATGTCTTCCTTTTCCTCTTTCTCAAATATTTTGAGCCAGGTACTATCCTAGATTGTCTTGTGATATTTACAATCTAGGAGAAGGCAGGAGAGAGAACTAAGAACAGAGAGCATGTTCTGAGATGTCTGCTGTGTTTGCAGGTACCTTCCCTCAATTTCCCTACTCACTGGCCATGCTGGAAAGCAGGTCTTGGAGCCATATTTGTACCATGGTACTTCCCCTCCCTATACTCAATTGGTTGGCCAGAAGCCCAATTGTCATTCTCTCTCTCTCTCTCCCTCTCCCTCTCTTCCTCCCTCCCTCCCTCCCTCTCCAAGATATCCAGTAACTGATTGATCAGCTGGCGGTGGGCTCTGCTGGCTGCCAGGGTGGGCCACCAGCAAAAAGGGAAAATTGGTTGTGAGTGAGAAGAAGAGATAAGAAAGTCCACAGGGCTGATAAGAAAGACCATGGGCTTCCAGGTGCGGTGGTTCACGCCTGTAATCCCAGCACTTTGGGAAGCCAGGATGGCCGGATCACGAGGTCAGGAGATCGAGACCATCCTGGCTCACACGGTGAAAGCCCATCTCTACTAAAAATACAAAAATTAGCTGGGTGTGGTGGCGGGTGCCTGTAGCCCCAGCTAATTGGGAGGCTGAGGTGGGAGAATGGCGTTAACCCCAGGAGGTGCAGCTTGCAGTGAACTGAGATTGCACCACTGCACTCCAGCCTGGGCGACAGAGCGAGACTCCGTCTCAAAAAAAAAAAAAAAAAAAGAAGAAAAAAAGAAAAAAAAGAAAGAGACCATGGGCTTCTGAGAGCAAGAAAGAGGAATTTTGGTTTCTGTAACTGCAGTTTCCATTCTCTCATGGCCTCTCATTTGTTTCTTGTGCCCATGAGTTTGCCTGTTAGAGATAAGGTGTGTTTCTTGTCCTCAAGCTCATGCAAATGGGTTTCTGTTTCTTACAATCATTGTTCCCAGATATGGATGGTGACTGATGCTCTACTAAATGCTGAAAAAAGGCAGAGTGGAAGCACAGAAAAGCGGGCTTCTCTGAGGAGGTGACGTTAGAGCCCAGTTGGAAGGCAGGAGTAAATGTGCACCATGATTTTTTAGGATTAAAACGAAGTATGTCACTGCTTGGGCACATGTAGATAGAGGTGATTTAACGGTAAAGTGTCCCAGTTGTACCCATTGTCAGTTAGCTCACCACAGGGATTATGTAGCCCTGAGTTTGCTTAGTGCTTATTTATTTTAGGATGTTGTTTATCCAAACCTCTTAAATGATACGTGTTTGGAACAAGTAACAGCATCGTTCATTGATGTTGTGGACAAACCACTATTTTGTTACTCAAGACTGGGTAATTTATAAAGAAAAAGAGGTTTAATGGGCTCACAGTTCCATGTGGCTGAAGAAGTCTCGAAATCATGGTGGAAGGCAAAAGGAATGTCTTACATGGTGGCAGACAAGAGTGATGAGAGCTATTTTGCTCATTGTTCGCTGGCCATAGAATTTACTTCTATATTGTGAACTGAGAGCCAGGCACACAAGACGGTTACAGGTCTGTCTTTTGTTTTTGATGATGATGATGATGATGATGATGATGATGAAATGGCTGACATGGTTGATGACTTGCTTTTTCTCATCATCTCAGACCTAGATTTTTGGCTGGACTATTGGCTTGGGATAGATGAAAATCATTCCTTGTATCCCCTTATCTTAAAGTCAAGACTGAACCAGCCTCCAGACTCAAGCTTTCATGGGACTTCAGATACCATGACGAATGGGTGTCCCTGCAATATTGTCATGGCTGTCAAAAGTGTTATTGGAGCTGGGCAAGTGGGTGCTCTCCTGTCATTCCATCCTCCTTAGATTTCCCATTCAACACCAATCTTATTTCCTTTTTTTTTTTATTTTGACAGTCTCGCTCTGTCTTCTAGGCTGGAGTGCAGTGGTGGGATCTCGGCTCACTACAGTGTCCACCTCCCAGGTTTAAGTGATTCTTGTGCCTCAGCCTCCCAAGTAGCTGGGATTGCAGGTGCACACCATCAAGCCTGGCTCATTTTTTTTTTTTTTTCTTTTTGTACTTTTAGTAGAGAAAGGGTTTCGCCATGTTGGCCAAGCTGCTCTTGAACTCCTGACCTCAAGTGATCCACCTACCTCGGCCTCCCAAAGTGCTGGGATTACAGGTGTGAGTCACCGTATCTGGCCCCATTTCCTCTTATACCATAAGTCATTGCCTGCAGATGTGTTTTCTCCATTAGTTTGCAAAAGCTTCCTGAGAGTAGGTCTGTGCCTCATTTATTCTGGAATCTCCCTGGCACAAAGCACAGGGCTTTATCTTCAGTAGGCATCCAACAAATGTTTCATTTCATTCAACAGCTCCTCTTACCACTGCCTCCACCTTATTTGCAGGTGGCTAAGTACAATCGGAACAAGTAGGTATCATAAGATTTAGTCCAGAGTCAATTTGAGAAGAAATTACTTTAGTGATATGAAAATAAACCATGCTATTGAGTCAGAATACTTCTGAGAATATCCCCTGTCCAAGCATTTGCTGAATTTCTATGTACTAATTTTCAGGTGGAACAGTATGCTTGCAGAGGGTCCATTTGGACATAGATACACTTTCATACATTCATGTCTTTAACAAGAATTTGTGTCCCTACTGTGTTTGTTCACTAACTCCTTTGAACCTACCACATAAGCTATATCTGTATTTTCCTTGTAATTTGGGAGGTCCAGTGCTTCATTACGCTCATATGCCTGAAACTAATGAAGAAAATAGCTCGTTAACCAGCTAGTATAAAAGTAGCCACCAAATCAAGTCAGTCACCTGCCTTAAATTAGCCCAGTACTCCCATCTTGAGTGGAGAAGCCCATTCTGAATCACAGTCAAGACATTGATGGAAAAACAACTCCCTCTGGGGATCAAAACCACGCTCACTCCAAATCCTCCTCCCCAGAGTTCTACTCATTGCTCACCCACTGAACCCAGAACTAACCAGAAGTGCTTGAAATGAGGACGGGTAGCTCCATGTACCAATCGGAATTTAAAACTCTATCAATTCCTGCTATAGAAATGAGGCTTCTCCCCAGGACCAGCATTCCACGAAGGCAGCCCTTTTCTAGATGGAGAAAACAGAACCTGAAGACACCCGTTTCCCTAAACTGCTCTCGCTCATGTGTAAGTACAAATGAAAAATGGTGAGGCTGCTTCTGTTGGCATTGCTTTTTAATTATGGCCATCAATAAATCATTTTGTCCTTGAACAAGACTTGAGAATGACCCGAAGGCAGAGGCACAATTCCTTAGGAATTAGGCCAACAGAGAATGGGCTATCTCTCTTCCCACCCCTTCTCTTACTCTGCTGTCAGAAACAGAAACGTTCTCTGTGAGTAGCTGGGAGTAGACGGCCACACTTGAGTTCCATCTCGGGGTTCTGTTAACACAGTTTTACCCCATCCTGCCTCGATGGCCACTGCCACACAAGCTGCATCTGTTCTTTCTTCTGCGCCTTTTGTTACTTCGTTGTTTTTCCTCTTTCTAGTGTAGTGAGCTGAATGGTGGCTTTGCACAATATATATCCAGATCCTTGTGCCTAGAATCTGTGGAGGTGGCATTATTTGGAAAAAGGGTCTTTGCAGATGTAATTAAGTTAAGGATCTCGAGATTATCCTGGAGTAATTTAGGTAGGCTGTACATCTAAAGACAAGTGTCCTTATAAGAGGACACTTTTGTCCCGGCGCAGTGGCTCATGCCTGTAATCCCAGCACTTTGGGAGGTCGAGGCGGGTGGATCACCATAGGTCAGGAGTTTGAGACCAGCCTGACCAACATGGAGAAACCCCATCTCTACTAAAAATACAAAATTAGCCGGGCATGTTGGCGCATGCCTGCAATCCCAGCTACTGGGGAAGCTGAGGCAAGAGAGTTGCTTGAACCCAGGAGGAGGAGGTGGCAGTGAGCTGAGGTCATGCCATTGCACTCCAGCCTGGGCAACAAGAGTGAAACTCCATCTCAAAAAAAAAAAAAAAAAAAGGACACCCTTTTTCTGGCGCGTCCGTGTGAAGAGACCACAAAACAGGCTTTTTGTGAGCAATAAAGCTGTTTATTTCACCTGGATGCAGGTGGGCTGAGCCCAAAAAGAGAGTCAGCGAAGGGAGATAGGGGTGGGGCCATTTTATAGGATTTGGGTAGGTAAAGGAAAAAGGGGGGTTCTCTGGCAGGCAGGAGTGGGGGTCACAAGGTGCTCAGTAGGGGAGCTTTTGAGCCAGGATGAGCAAGGAGAAGGAATTTCACAAGATAATGTCATCAGTTAAGGCAGGAACAGGACATTTTCATTTATTTTGCGGTGGAATGTCATCAATTAAGGCAGGAACCGGCCATCTGGATGTGTACATGCAGGTCACAGGGGATATGATGGCTTAGCTTGGGCTCAGAGGCCTGACGTTCCTGTCTTCTTATATTCATAAGAAAAATAAAATGAAATAGTGGTAAAGTATTGGGATGGTGAAAATTTTTGGGGGGTGTTATGGAGAGACAATGGGCGATGTTTCTCAGGGCTGCTTCCAGTGGGATTGGGGTGGCATGGGAACCTAGAGTAGGAGAGATTAAGCTGAAAGAAGATTTTGTGGTAAGGGGTGATATTGTGGGGTTGTTAGAAGAAACATTTTTCATTTAAAATTATTGGTGATGGCCTGGATACAGTTTTGTATGAATTGAAAAACTAAACAGAATAAGAGAAGGAGAAAAACAGGTATTAAAGGACTAAGAATTGGGAGGACCTAGGACATCTAATTAGAGAGTGCCTAAGGAGGTTCAGCATAGCCTTGCCAGCAAAGATTATTTAAGAGTTAAGAGTGGTGGTTTGGGGATAGCACCAGGAGATGTCAGCTGTGATGGCTTGGAGAAACAGTGTAAACCACCAGTATAAACAAGAGCAGGGCATATATGAGTAGTTGAGAATGGTGAATAGGAGTATGGCTAGACAGAAGATAGTAGGGATGACAAGTTTTTTGGGGCACAGTCCAAGTTGGTCTTGTGTCTGGAATGAGACTGGAGCCTAACAAAAAGGAGTGTCTATACAGGAGATCCAAGGGGTATCGGGGGACCTGCCCCGATAATCACGTAGGTTCTTCTCTATTTTCCTAAGCATTGACTGGCTTGAGAAATAAAAGGACAGAGTACAAAAGAGAGAAATTTTAAAGCTGGGCGTCCGGGGGAGACATCACACATTGGTAGGATCCATGATGCCCCACAAGCCACAAAAACCAGCAAGTTTTTATTAGGGAGTTTCAAAAGGGGAGGAAGTATACGAATAGGTGTGGGTGACAGACATCAAGTACTTAACAGGGTAATAGAATATCACAAGGCAAGTGGAGACAGGGCGAGATCACAGGACCACAGGACCGAAGTGAAATTTAAATTGCTAATGAAGTTTTGGCACCATTGTCATTGATAACATCTTATCAGGAGACAGGGTTTTGAGATCAACCGGTCTGACCAAAGTTTATTAGGCGGGAATTTCCTCTTCCTAATAAGCCTGGGAGCGCTATGGGAGACTGCAGTTTATTTCACCTCTGCAATCTCGACCTTAAGAGACAGGTAAGCCCCGGGGGGCCAGTTCAGAGACCTACCCCTAGGTGCGCATTCTCTTTCTCAGGGACGTTCCATGCTGAGAAAGGAATTCAGTGATATTTCTCCCATTTGCTTTTGAAAGAAGAGAAATATGGCTCTGTTCTGCCGGGCTCACCAGCGGTCAGAGTTTAAGGTTATCTCTCTTATTCCCTGAACGACTGCGGTTATCCTGTTCTTTTTTCAGGATGTCCACATTTCATATTGCTCAAACACACATGCTGTACAATTTGTGTACTTAACGCAATTATTACAGGGTCCTGAGACGATATACATCCTTCTCGGCTGACAGGATTAAGAGATTAAAGCAAAGACAGGCATAGGAAATCACAAGGATATCGATTGGGGAAGTGATAAGTGTCCATGAAATCTTTACAATTTATGTTTAGAGATTGCAGTAAAGGCAGGCATAAGAAATTACAAAAGTATTAATTTGGGGAACTAATAAATGTCCATAAAATCTTCACAATCCACGTTCTTCTGCCATGGCTTCAGCCTGTCCCTCCGTTTGGGGTCCCTGACTTCCTGCAACAAATGGGCTGTACCTTGTAGCATTCCAAGGACAGGCCGGAATTCTGAGAAGGGAAAGTGGTAAAAGTATTGTCCAGTCGTTTTTAAGTTGGTGGCTGAGCTTGGTAAGGTGTGTTTTTAAAAGAGCATCAGTCTGTTCTACCTTTCCTGAAGATTGAGGACTGTAAGGGATATAAAGGTTTCACTGAATACTAAGAGCCTGAAAAAATGCTTGGCTGACTTGATTACTAAAGGCAGGTCTGCTATCGGACTGTATAGAGGTGGGAAGGCCAAACTGAGGAATTATGTCTGACAGAAGAGAAGAAATGACCGTGGTGGCCTTCTTAGACCCTGTGGGAAAGGCCTCTACTTATCCAGTGAAAGTGTCTACCTAGACCAAGAGGTATTTTAGTTTCCTGACTCGGGGCACGTTGAGTAAAGCTAATTTGCCAGTCCTGGGTGGGGGCAAATCCCTGAGCTTGATGTGTAGGGAAGGGAGGGGGCCTGAAGAATCCCTGAGGAGTAGTAGAATAGCTGATGGAACACTGAGAAGTTATTTCCTTGAGGATAGATTTCCACGATGGAAAGGAAATGAGAGGTTCTAAGAGGCGGGCTAGTGGCTTGTACTATAGCATACCCTGCTTTTGCTGGTGTGTGGCAATTAGGCCTGGTGGAACTGCCATCAATAAACTAAGTGTGGTAAGGGTGAGAAACAGGGAAGAAGGAAATGTGGGGAAATGGGGTGAACGTCAGGTGGATCAGAGAGATGCAGTCATGAGGGTCAGGTGTGGTATCAGGAATAATGGGGGAGGCCGGATTGAAGTCTGGGCCAGGAACAATGGTAATTGTGGGAGACTCAACAAAGAGTGAGTACAGCAGAAGGAGCCGGGGAGCAGAATGTATATGTGGCAGGTGTGAGGAAGACAATAGATTTTGGAAATTATGAGAGCTGTAGAGAGTGAGTTGAGCATAGTTTCTGATTTTAAGGGCCTTTAAAAGTCTTAGGGTGGCAGCAGCTGCTGCACGGAGACACAACGGCCAACCTAAAACAGTAAGGTCAAGTTGTTTGGACAAAAAGGCTACAGGACGCCATCCTGGTCCTTGTGTAAGAATTTCAACTGCACAGCGCTGCACTTCGGCTGTGTGTAATGAAAAGGGTTGGGATGAGTCACGGAGAGCTAGTGTAGCAGGACGAGTTCCAGACAAAACTCCTCAGACACCAGATTAAAGAAGGAAGAGGTTTTTTTATTCGGCCAGGAGCGTCGGCAGACTCGTGTCTTAAGAGCCGAGCTCCCTGAAAAAGAAATTCCTAGCCCTTTTAAGGGCTGACAACTCTAAGGGTTCTACGTGAAAAAGTCATAATAGATCAAGTAAGCTTGAGGAACGTGACTGGGGGCTACATACATCAGCTAACAGAACAAAAAGTTTTTACAGTGCTTTCTCATACAATGTCTGGGATTTACCGATAACAACAGTAGTTTTGGTCAGGGGTTAATATTATTGTTACTTTAACCACCAGGGCCAGGTGGTGGCGCCAAAGTCGTCTAGGTATTTATTTTACTTCTGTTTTTTCCAGCTTTTTGCTTTCTCCCTTTTTCGCTGTCTTATAAACTAGGGAAAAGGGGAGGTTGGGGAGAAACTGGGAAGGACAACAGGAGAAGTGGTGGTCTCATACCATATTTCCCCCCTTTGAGCATTTTCACTTTTTAGTGGGAGTTCTCACTCTCATCTTTACTTTTTGAGTCTCTTTGTGAGATAGAGCGATAGTGATTTATATAACACACGTGTGCTGAAGTTTTCTGATGAACCAAAGTAGCAACAAAATCTTTTATCATTTGAAAAAGCAAGAGTAATACACAGGGGAGCAGCAAGTAAGTTCCTATCACTAGCAATACACCTACAATGAGGGTTTTAAATCCTCCTATAGCTGGAAACCATTTTTCAAATAAAGACTCAGGATTAAACTCGTGCCAAACCTCTACAGGCACATGTGCAACCTTTGTCATGTCCCTGACTATGTTTTTAACCACCTGTCCTTGATCATTTATTTGTAGGCAGCAGTTGGTTAAGTTAAATTTTCCACAAACTCCTTCAGCTACTAGCAAGTAGTCTAAGGCCAGTCTTTTCTGATAGATAGCATTCCTCATTTGGGTTTCTTGCAAAGCTAAAACAGTCAAAGCTCTGCCAGTTTCATTAGTAATTATTTCTTAGACGGACTGCAACCGTATGATCCAGTTGAGCATGTAGATGGGGGTTTGGTATCCCCATGAGCCATCTTGTGCCCCTGTGGCAGGCCCATAATACTGAATGATCCTTTCAGGGGGCCACTCATTATCTTTCCAGTTTCCTATAACTATGCCTTTATTTTCTCAGGAGGCATAGACAGGGAAACCTAGGAGCTCACCCATTTTTATGGGTAATAAGAGAAAGGACGGCTTAATAGTGCCAATAACACAACTGTCTGCCCATTTATTAGGTAACCGAATGTAGGCTCTGTGCCTACGTATCAGGTATAGTCCAGTGGGAACCGTCCAGTCCTAATGAGATTCTGCATGAGCCTAAGCAGTTTTTAATTTAGAAAATTTACTAAATGGATTCTTTTCAGTGTGGGTTAGGCCCTACTAAGTAATTGTCTTTGTTGTGCTGTTATACAACTTCTGTCCTATACAATTAAGCTTTCCTACAGGGATGATAAAGTCTTTCCCTTCTCTAGCTATACAGTATTGTCTAATAATTGAGGTTTTAGGACCTAGAAGTTGCTAGCTTGGGCCTTCTGAACTGGAATTATATCAGGAGCTGGATCAGTAGACACCAACTCTCGGGCTTCCGAAGGCCATCTGTCTCCGATAGTGGTTCCTCCGCATACATAACAAGAAGTAACATTAAGGGAATTAGCTACATTTTCTGCTAATTGGAGAAACAAATTTTTTGTCTTTTTCAGAAGTTCTGGTGTTGGCAGATTCAGCTCCTCATAAAACGTTTGAAATACTGTTTTGGGAGAGCACTTGTGGACCTCCCCTCTAATTAAAATGGCAACTTGAGGGTTTAACCCTGTCCTATTGATCCCCAGGGTTACACGTTCTCCCTTTTTCCAAAGGGGATCTAGGGGATTGGTAATTATTAGTTCTAGTGGGTTACAGTGACCGGCGGCCCAGGAGGGGTTGGCTTCTCCCTTCTGAAGATAAACCGAGTCATTTTTGTTCTTTTTTTAAGTAGCCTAAATAACACATGGCCAATAGGCACAATTTTTACAAACCCCTGACTCATGACAAACATATTTATTTTCTACTCTTTAGCTCCTTTCTCAGTTAAGAGAACCACATCCTATTTCTAGCTTTTTACTATTAATGGCTGCACAAGCATCAAATCTTAAAGTTATTTGCTTGGGGATTTCTTTTTCTTCTGTTCTAGTTATTATTTTACTTGTATCACCTAGCAAAAGGCCAGTTCTTATTTCAAAAACGGTGGTTGCAGCGGGCTCAGATGGGTTATAACACGCATCAGGTCGGTCATTTCTCGGGCTACATACCTTGTACTGAGTGGCATTATACAAACAAGTTTCTTTTAATGTTTCCATACATTCATAATAACTATAGAACAGAAAGATTGTTTTAATTTGCTGTCCTACTTCGGTGACCTGATAAATACACTGGGAACAGTCCCCATTTTGAGTAAGGTTAGTTGAAGCCCTTACTGTATAAGTCCAAAATTTAAGAAAAATGAATCTAACGATGAGCTTCCTCATGCTTCGGCCATGCGTGGACCAGTCAGCTTCCGGGTGTGACTGGAGCAGGGCTTGTCGTCTTCTTCAGGGTCACTCTGCAAGGGTTGTCTGGGCTTGGTCTTGCCTCCCAGGTTTCCGGCGCTGCAGGTTTTACACAGCTGTGGTGGTTCCAGACTGGGATTCCTTCTACCTTCACAGCGGTGGGAGTGCTCAGGACGACAGTCTGGGGTCCTTTCCACAGTGGACACAAAGAGGCTACTTTCCAGTCCTTGATCCACACTCGATCACCTGGGGAGAAAGGGTGAACTGGGGAGAATAAACTAACAGGGCATCTCTCATTTACCCAGGCTGAGATTGTCTGTGTAATTTTTCCTAAAGCCTGTAGCTGTCGCTGTAACTCAATTTCACCTAACTCTCAGGGAGTGCCTGGAAGTCCCCGCAATATAGGAGGGGGCCTATGATATAATATTTCATAAGGGGAATATCCTGTTCTTTTAGAAGTGGTACATCTAATTTTAAATAATACCATAGGGAGAGCCTGTATCCATTTTAATCCTGTTTCCTGACATACTTTCCCTAAACTATTTTTGATAGTTCAATTCATTCGCTCCACCTTTCCAGAACTCTGAGGCCAGGAGGCAGCATGCAGTTTCCGTGTGATCCCCAATACCTTTGCCGCCTTCTGTACTAAGTCAGCCACAAACGCCGGCCCATTATCTGAACTGATCCATAAGGGCAGTCCAAATCTAGGAATAAGATCTCGAAGAAGCACACGAGTTACTTCATGAGCTTTCTCAGTTCGTGTTGGATAAGCTTCCACCTACCCAGGGTAGGTACGCCCAAGAACTAGTAAATACTTGTTACCTCTACACTTTGGCATCTCTGTGAAGTCCATCTGGAGCTCTTCAAAGGGGGCTGCTCCATAAGCTTGTATGCCGGGTGGAACGGCTGGACCCTGCCTCGCATTATGCTGTCGGCAGGTAACACACCACTGCGTCACCGTTTCGGCAAGTGCTGACAAATGCGAGATGTAGAAATACCAGCCTAACAACTTTTCAAGTGATTCCTAACCTAGATGGGTGGTTTCACGCACAGCCAGTACAACTGCAGCTCCTAGCAGCTGTGGCACAGCTACTCTCCCATCCGGTAACCGAATTCATCCTTCCTCCATCACTTGTCCTCTCTCTGCCTGGAGAAAGTCCTTTTCTTCTTTAGAATAAGTAGGTACAAGATCAGGTGCTTGAGGGAGCAGGGGGGTTGTGATTGATGCCCAGAAGGGGGCAGATGCTGCTTTTCGAGCCTCTAAGTCAGCGCAGGAATTCCCTAAACCCACCAAGGTGGAAGCTCGCTTGTGTCCTCTGCAATGCATAACTGCCACCTTGTGGGGTCTCCATACGGCTTTTAATAATTGCAAGATTTATTGTTGATATTTTATGTCTTTTCCCCCAGAGTTCAATAAGCCCTTTTCTTTATATAATGTTCCCTGCATTTGAAGGGTTGAAAAGGCATATTGAGAGTGAGTGTAAATGTTGACATTCTTAGCTTCACTGAGTTCTAAGGCCCGAATGAAAGCAATGAGTTCAGCTTTCTGAGCTGAAGTGCCCTGGGGAAACGATCTGGCTTCAGCAACAGTGTCCAGAGTTACCACCGCATAGCTTGCACATCTCTCTCCCTGTGGGTTGATGAAGCTGCTCCCAGCCACGTGTAGTTCCTAGTCTACTGATGCCTAAGGCTGTTCCTGGAGGTTAGGTCTGCTAGAGTAAACTGAGTCCAACACTTCTACACAGTCATGCTCGACAGGGCTCTCTGATACTGGGAGCAAGGTAGCGGGGTGTAGGGTGTTACAAACCTCAATGGTTATGCGGGGATTTTCACAGAGCAAACTTTGGTACCTAGTGAGTCTAGCATTCATTAGCCAATGATGTCCTTTAGTATTCATGAAAGTCACCACAGCATGGGGGGCCTTTACGTTCAGGTTTTGTCCAAGAGTCAGCTTATCTGCTTCTTGTACTAGCAGGGCAGTTGCTGCCAAGGCCCTCAAACAAGGGGCATCCTTTAGAAACCCCGTCTAGTTGTTTAGAGAGGTAGGCCACCGGCCTTGGCCAGGGCCCCACAGTTTGGGTTAAAACACCAACTGCCATCTTTTCTCTTTCTGACACATACAATGGAAAAGGCTTTATTAGATCGGGTAGCCCCAGGGCTGGGGCTGACATAAGTCTTTCCTTTAACTCATGAAAGGCTTGCTGTTGCTGGCATCCCCATTCAGAAAGTTCCCGGTCCCCCCACTTTGTGACCTCATACAAAGGCTTGGCTAATACTGCAAAGTTTGGGATTTACAGTCTGCAAAACCCCACAGCCCTTAAAAATGCTCTCACCTGCCTTCTGGTCTTAGGCTCCGGTAGATTGCAAATGACCTACTTTCTTTCTGATCCTAGGCTGCTCTCCCCCTGTCGGATAGTAAATCCTAAGTAACGTACCTGCTGTCGGCAGATCTGAGCTTTTTTCTTGGACACCTTATACCCACAGTCCTCCAGGTGCCGCAGTAGAGCATCTGTTCCCTTGGCGCACCCGACTGCCGTGGGGTGTCCCAGCAAAAGATCATCAACCTACTGGAGCAACACGCAGTCTAGGTCTCTGGTGGGAAACTTCTGGAGGTCTCGAGGCAATGTCTCCCCGAAGATAGTGGGGGAGTTCTTGAACCCTTGGGGAAGCCGGGTCCAAGTGTACTGAGTAGTGACACCTGACTCCGGATCTTCCCACTGAAAGGCAAACAGCTTCTGGCTCTCAGGGGCTAATCTGATGCTAAAGAAAGCATCTTTCAGGTCCAAGCAGGTGAAGCAGCTGTCCTCAGCTGGCAGCAACCCCAGCAATGTGTACGGGTTAGGTACTGCTGGATGTAAAGTCACTGTAGCCTGATGAAGCAAGCGCAAATCCTGTACCGGCCTGTAGTCCTTGGTCCTAGGCTTGGGAACAGGCAGGAGGGGAGTGTTCCATGGAGACTGACAAGGAACTCTAATTCCAAAAGTTCTTAGGTGCTTGAGATGGACCTGGATACCTTCAAGAGCTTCTCTGGGGACCGGCTCCTGTTTTTGCCTAAATGGCTGGGCCCTAGGCTTAACTTCTATAAGTACGGGGGCTTGGTTGACTGCCAACCCTGGAGGGTTGTCTTCCACCCGTACTCTTGGCCACCGCTTAGCCAGAGCTGGTCTTATCTCTTGGCCCGACTCAGTTAAGAAAAGTCTCCATTCCTCCTCTCGGGGGACGGTAAGGGTCATAATGACTCCCGTTCCGGGTAACTTTAGCAGCGAAGAGCCATGCTCTGTAAAAGAGATAGTGGCTCTCTGTTTGCTAAGCAAGTCCCTTCCCAATAAGGGCAAGGGACAGTCAGGCGTGGACAAAAACTGATGAATCACTTTATGTCCTCCTACAGTACAAGTCCAGGGCAAGCAGAAACTTGCTTTGCTGAAACCCCTGTGGCTCCGATGATGTCAATAATCTTTTTGTATAAGGGGGCGACCGTGGCGGTTACTACCGAATGTTTAGCACCAGTATCTACAAGAAAATCAATGTCTTTACCCCTAACTGTCATCCTGAACATAGGCTCTTTCGGGGTCCTTGAGCCCGGTCCCCCTCAGTCCAATAACCCTTCTGCCAGGTTGAGCAGGGCCCCTTACTCCTTGTCTGGAGCCTCTTGCTCCGAGTCACCTTGTTTTCTTTTTAGCTGAGGGCATTTGCTCTTCCAATGTCCTATTTCTTTACAATAAACACACTGATTACGCTGCAACCTTTGACAGCCAGGCTGAGTTTCTTTTCCGGGGCCCCCCTTCCCTTGCCTCTTTTGGGGGACCCCTCTGTTTGCTGCCGCTAACAGGTCGGCGTTTCGCTGGGCCTGACGTTCCTTCTCTCTGCAGTTTTCCTTATGGCTTACTGCATCCCTGTTTACAAACACCTGGTTAGCTACTTCTAATAACTGTGATGTGTTCATCCCTGCAAACCCAGCCTGTTTCTGCAGTTTTCTTCTAATGTCTTCTGCGCTTTGACTAACTAAAGCCATGTTAATCATGCATTGATTTTCAGGGCTATCGGGATCAAAGGGTGTATACATACCATAGGCATCACACAGTCTCTCCTAGAATTGTGCTGGACTTTCTTCTTTTCTCTGAATGACCTCAGAGACCTTGTTAACATTTGTGGCCTCCTGGGCTCCCCTCTTTAATCCTTCCAAGGGAGCTTCCCTGTATCGGTTTAGCCTTTGCATATCCTCTCTTTCATTTGGGTCCTTCTGGGGGTCGGTTCCAGTAACTGGGTCCTTACATACTCTTGGGGGTTTTGGTAATCAGCCCGTGCATGTTCCTCTAGCCACTTAGTTGCTGCTTCTAGCACTCTCCATTTTTCATCTGTGTTAAAGAGGAACATGTGCAGCTGGTGACAATCAGTCCAAGTGGGGTTGTGGGTCTGGATATTAGTTTGGAGCAAATCAATTAGAGCTTGTGGCTTTTTGGTATAGGATGGGGTACTATTTTTCCAGTTGAGAAGGTGGGCAGAGGTGAAGGGCTGGTACACAGAAACACGCCTCCCCACCACATGACCATCCTCATCTATCCCTGTATACCGCTGCTCTCTCAGGAGCATTTGGATCCCCGTTTTGGGTCTTAAACGAGCTGCCAAGGGAGGGGTTCCTCCCGAGTCCTCACCTCTTCTTTTGTATACTCTGGGTTGCCTAGGGATATGTTTGTCTTGTGGAGGCCCAAGCACTGTGGACTCAAAAGTGGGGAGCCTTTCTCCCTGGTAAGGGGAGGGCACCACTGGGATCACTGGTGCCATCTCCTGCAATGCATGTTCTGCTGTTGGGTTGAACAGATCTTCAGGTGTTGATTTCCCTCGGCGGGTGGAGCGCGATCCTTCCTTGGCTATCTGTCCCTACGCTACTAGCACTGCTGCTGCCTGCCCTCTTAGCCACTGTGGGGGGTTTAGCATCAGCTGTAACCAAGTGTCTATGTATGGAAACTGGTCTGAGTGTCCTGACTTACCAATTACCTTGTGCCATACCTTAGAAACAAGGGACCTGCCCAGGCTTCCTTCTGATGGCCAACCCACTTCTAAAGCTGGGCAATCTATTTCACACAAAGTTCTAAATTTCCCTGGTGTCGTAGTAACCCTATAGTCTCCATTAAATCCTTTCTTAAAATTTTTCATCATAGTTCCTAGCAGAGTAGGCTTACTTTGTGTCTGACCCACGTTTCCTCGAGACAAAACACCAAGCTCACACCACACGCACACCACAGAACAAAGAATGAGTAAAAAGGGCACACACACACTTTTTCAGTTTTCACCAAACCAGAATCAAAACCAAAATCGGAGTATCCAGAAATCCAAGCCAGGTCAAACCAAAACCAAAGTATCAAGCAATTCAATTCAAGTCAAAAACAAAAACCAAAGTGCCAGTACAGGCACGCCGTGGGTGATCAGGCCACACTTCCACTCAAATAGAGTGGGCAAGTTCCAAAGACCAGTCTTACCAAGTTTCAAATGTCCAGACTCCAAGTGCCTGTTCCTTCCCGGTGTTCACCCACTATGTTGATCCTCCACCGGGGCCTACCACACACTGCTCTGACGAGGCATTCCACCGGGTCAATTGCCTACCCAGGAGAGCTCTCAGGATCCGCGTCGCTCAAACTGGCAGGAGTCCCCCGCAGGGATGCTCCACAGGGCAGGCCTAAGCCGCCTAAAGGGCTGCCTCAACTGCCGTCAATTACCTCGCTTCCCGGTCAGGGAACCAAGACTAGGGTGGGGGCAGTCTTTAAAGCTGTCTTCAAGGAACAGAAAGAGGAGTGGGGAAAGGATTTAGGATCTATGGGGTCAGCTAGGTTTCCTTTTGTGAGTTTATATAATGGTTTTGTTAGGATGGCAAAACCAGATATCTAAAGGTGAAAGTGTCCAACCATGCCCAGGAAGGAAAGGAGTTGTTGTTTTGTAGAAGGGGTTGGGGTTTGAGAGATGAGTCACACACGATCGGCAGAGAGAGCACGTGTGTTTTTATGAGAATTATGCTGAGATAGGTAACAGATAAGGGAGAAATTTGGGCTTGACTGAAGTAATGGGGGCTGTCTGTGAAGCTTTGCGACAGTACAGCCCAGGTAATTTGCTGAGCTTGATGGGTGTCAGGGTCAGTCCAAGTGAAAGCGAAGAGTGACTGGGATGAAGGGTGCAAAGGAATAGTAAAGAAAGCATGTTTGAGATTCAGAACAGAATAATGGGTTGTGGAGGGAGGAACTGAGGATAGGAGAGTATATGTGTTTGGCACCTTGGGGTGGATAGGCAAAACAATTTGGTTGATAAGGCACAGATCTTGAACTAACTTGTAAGGCTTGTCTGGTTTTAGGACAGGTAAAATGGGGGAATTGTAAGGAGAGTTTATAGGCTTTAAAAGGCCATGCTGTAGCAGGTGAGTGATAACAGGCTTTAATCCTTTCAAAGCATGCTGTGGGATGGGATATTGGCATTGAGAGGGGTAAGAGTGATTAGGTTTTAATGAGATGGTAAGGGGTGCATGATAGGTTGCCAAGGAGGGAATAGAGGTATCTTCTACTTGTGGGTTAAGGTGGGTGGCAATGAGATGTGGCTGTAGTCCAGGAATAGTCAGGGAAGCAGATAATTTAGTTAAAGTGTCTCGGCCTAATAAGGGAACTGGGCAGGTGGGGACAACTAAAAAGGAGTGCTTAAAAGAGTATTGTCTAAGTTGGCACCAGAGTTGGGGAGTTTTAAGAGGTTTAGAAGCCTGGCTGTCAATACTCACAACAGTTATGGAGGGAAGGGAAACAGGCCCTTGAAAAGAAGGTAATGTGGAGTGGTTAGCCTCCGTATTGATTAAGAAGGGGATGGACTTCTCCTCCACTGTGAGAGTTACCTAGAGCGTCTGTGATGGTCCTGTAGGCTTCCGAGGTGATCTATCAGGCAGTGTCAGTCTTCAGCTGCTAAGCCAAGAAGATCTGGGAAGGAATCAGTCAGAGAGCCTTGGGCTGGGGTTCCAGGGGCTCTAGGAGTGTCTGCCAGGCGAGTTGAACAGTCCGATTTCTAGTTGGGTCTCGCACAGATGGGACATGGCTCAGGAGGAATCCCGGGCTGCAGGCATTCCTTGGTCTGGTGGCCAGATTTCTGGCACTTGTAGCAAGCTCCTGGGGTAGGTGGTTCTGGAGGAATGCCTGGCCACTGCGCTTTAGGCGTTTGGAAGTTCTTGTGTGCTGGAGATTTGGCTGGGCTTTGTCTCACAGTGGAGGCAAGGAATTGCAACTGAGAAATATGTTGCTGCTAGGCTGCCTCTACTCCATTATTGTACACCTTGAAGTTGAGGTTAATTAAGTCCTGTTGTGGGGTTTGAGGGCCGGAATTTAATTTTGGAGTTTTATTTAATGTCGGGAGCAGATTGGGTAATAAAATGTATATTGAGAATAAGACGGCCTTTTGACGTTTTAGGGTCTAGGGCTGTAAAGCATCTCAGGGTTGCTGCCAAACGAGCCATGAACTGGGGTGGATTTTTATATTTGATGAAAAAGAGGCTAAATGCTATCTGATTTGGGATAAAGAAAAAGGAGCATTAACCTTGACTATGTCTTTAGCTCCAGGCACCTGTTTAAGAGTAAATTGCTGGGCAGGTGGGGGAGGGCTAGTCACGGAATTAAACTGTAAGCCAGACCCAGTGTGAGGAGGGGAGGTGATAAAAGGATTATAGGGTGGAGAAGTGGAGGCTGAGGAAGAATTGGGACCTAGCTCAGGCTGGCCAGGATGGGAGAGGTCAGATGGGTCTGTAGAAAAGGAAGATTAGAAAGACTCAGCGACACTTGGGGTTGGGACTGAGGAGACAGGTGGGAGGGAAAGGAGGAAGATTTCGGATGAGTTGCACTGGGAACAGAGACTAGGGAGGGACCAATGTGTAAAAGAATGCCTGGACATCAGGCATCTCAGATCATTTGCCCATCTTATGACAAGAAGTATCTAGATCTTGTAGGATGGAAAAATTGAAAGTGCCATTCTCTGGCTATTTGGAACCACTGCTGAGTTTGTATTGGGGTCAAGTAACATTGTAGAAGAAAATAAGGCATTTAGGTTTTAGGTCAGGTGTGAGTTGAAGAGGTTTTAGGTTTTGAAGAACACAGCTTAAGGGAGAAGAAAGGGGAATGGAAGGCGGAAGCTTGCCCATAGTGAAGGAGGCAAGCCTAGAGAAAAGAGAGTAGAGACATGGAGAGAAGGGGTGGGGGGTTCTTGCCTTCCAGAATAGAGGGAAAGGGTTGGGGGCACAGAAATAAAGGGTTGGGGTGCAGAGATAAGAGGTCAGGTTGTGGAAATAAGGGATCGGGACACAGAGATGAGGTCAGGGCATGGAAATAAGGGATCGGGGTGCAGAGATAAGAGGTCGGGGTTCCTGTCCCTCCCCCAGAAAAGTGGGACATGCTGCTAAGGGTGAAGGAGAAGGGGTTGAGGGGTTCTTGTCCCTCCCCCAGAAAAGCAGGTCTTGCTGCTAAGGGTGAAGGAACAAGGCAGGCATCCCTGCATGGTCTGACACCTCTGAAACCTCGGTGAATAATCAGAGAGGTGTCCCTGCAATGATTAAACACCAAGGAAAGGCTGCCTTCCCTAGTCCGTGACTGGTGCCAGAGTTTTGGGTCCACAGATAAAACGTGTCCCCTTTGTCTCTACCAGAAAATGAAAGGAATTGAAATTAAGAGAAGGGAGAGATTGAAGTGTGGTGCCAAGATTGGGAGGAGAAAGAGGTGGAGGGATAGTGAGGGAGGTTGGAGAAGAGAGTAAAAAGAAGCCGCTTACCAGATTTGAAATTGGTGAGATGTTTCTTGGGCTGGTCAGTCTGAGAACCTGAAGTCATAGGTGGATCTTTCTCACAGAGCAAAGAGCAGGAGGACAGGGGATTGATCTCCCAAGGGAAGTCCCTCGATCCCAGTCACGGCACCAAATTTCACATGCATCCATGTGAAGAGACCACCAAACAGGCTTTGTGTGAGCAGTAAAGCTGTTTATTTCACCTGGGTACAGGTGGGCTGAGTCCAAAAAGAGAGTCAGTGAAGGGAGATAGGGGTGGGGCAATTTTATAGGATTTGGGTAGGTAAAGGAAAAAGGGGGGTTGTTCTCTGGCAGGCAGGAGTGGGGGCCACAAGGTGCTCAGTAGGGGAGCTTTGGAGCCAGGATGAGCAAGGAGAAGGAATTTCACAAGATAATGTCATCAGTTAAGGCAGGAACCGGCCATCTGGATATGTACATGCAGGTCACAGGAGATAATGATGGCTTAGCTTGGGCTCAGAGGACTGACACTCTTCCTCCAGAGGAGGAGACCCAGACAGAAGAGGAGGAGGCAAGGTGATCACAGAGGCAGAGATTGGATCATGCAGCCACAAGTTGAGGAATTCTAGTAGCCTCTACAAGCTGGAAGACGCAAGGAATGGATTCTCCCCTAGAACCTCTGAAGGAGCATTCTCCTGCTGACATTTGATTGATTTTGGACTTCTGGCCTCCAGACAATTAATTTTTTTTTTTTTCTTTTTTTTTTTCAGACAGAGGCTTACTCTGTTGCCCAGTCTGGAGTGCAGTGGCATGATCTCAGTTCACTGCAACCTCCACCTCCCAGGCTCAAGCCATTCTCTTGCCTCAGCCTCCCAAGAAGTGGGGACTACAGGTGCCTGCCACCATGCATGGCTAATTTTTGTATTTTTAGTAGAGACGAGGTTTTGGCATATTGGCCAGGCTGGTCTCGAATTCCTGGCCTCAAGTGATTCACCCAACTCAGCCTCCCAAAGTCCTGAGATTACTTAGGTGTGAGCCACGGCACCCGGCACAGACATTGTTTGAAGCCACCCATTTCATGGTTCTTTGCTGCAGTGGTTGTGGAATATGAATGCACTCGTGCTGTTGGTTAGACTTTGCTGACCTTGTGTCTGTTATTCCCTGGCAGTTCTACAAGGCCTGGAGCTGATAGGAAAAACCTCCCTTCTTTCCCAAATGGTCCCCAGCTGCCCCGTTCACTGAAGGCCCTGCAGTCAGGAACGGTCAGGACTTCACACCCAGTTGTTGTGGGTGTTTGGCCGACACGACACTTCCTCTTGTGTGATTCATGGACCCGCAGCATTGCGTCACCTGGGAGCTTTTGGTATTGAAGACTCTCAGGGCTCACCCGGAAGGACCTGCTGGGCCAGAATCTACATTTTAACAAGATGCCCAGGTGATTTGCATACACGTTCAGATCTGAGAAGCGCTAGTAGGTGAGGCTTTAAGGTGGTAATTAGATCTTTTCTCCACCTGCAAGAATCTTAGTTTCTTCATGTTAAATCTATTAACTGTGGCAATGGCATGGGGGGTTATAAAACAAAACAAAATCCTTACATCAAGAATGCACCCTGGTGTGTTATGGATGTGGGTGAAATGAAATGTCTGGAATTTGCTTTAAAATATCCTAAAATAGCAAGAAGGAAAAGAAAAGTGGGAACTGGAATGAGATTGGCGAAATGTTGACAAGTTCTTGCAGTGGGATGATGGGTGCATGGGGGTTCATGGTGTAATTCTCTCCCTGATTTTTGTGCATATGGAAAATTTCCATAATGAAAAGTTAGAGGTCAGGCACGGTGGCTCATGCCTGTAATCTCAGCATTTTGGGAGGCTGAGGTGGGTAGATTGCTTTAACCTAGGAGTTCAAGACCATCCTGGACAACATGGTGAAATCCCATCTCTACTAAAAATGCAAAAATTAGGCATGGTAAAAACATGCCTGTAGTCATGTTGAGGTACGAGGTTGAGAACTGAGAATCACTTGAACCAAGGAGGCGGAGGTTGCAGTGAGCGGAGATCCAGTGAGCTGGAGATCACTCCAGCCTGGGTGACAGAGTGAGACTTGGTCTCAAAAAAATTTTTAATTTTCTTTTCTTTTTTTTTTGAGATAGAGTCTTGCTCTTTTGCCTAGGCTGGAGTGTAGTGGCGTGATCTTGGCTCACTTCAAGCTCCACCTCCCGAGTTCACTCCATTCTTCTGCCTCAGCCTCCAGAGTAGCTGGGACTATAGGCACCCAGCACCATGTCCGGCTAATTGTTTGTATTTTTAATAGAGATGGGGTTTCACCGTGTTAGCCAGGATGGTCTCAATCTCCTGAACTCGTGATCTGCCCACCTCGGCCTCCCAAAGTGCTGGGATTACAGCCATGAGCCATCGTGCCTGGCCTTAATTTGTTTTTTTTTTTTCTTTTTTGGGACAGGATCTGTAGCCCAGGCTGGAGTGCAGTGGTGCGATCCCGGCTCACTGCAGCCTCTACCTCCTGGGTTCAAGTGATCCTCCCACCTCAGCCTCCCGAGTAGCTGAGACCACAGGCATGTATTACCACACCTGGCTAATTTTTTCCCTTTTTCTAGAGGCAAGGTCTTGCTACGTTGCCCAGGCTGGTCTTGAACTCCTGAGTTCAAGCAGTCTTCCCGTCTCAGACTGGGAGTAATCCCAAAGTGCTGGGATTACAGGTGTGAGTCACTCTATCCAGCCTCAACTGTTTTTCATGACTCCACTTTTTCTCTCCTCTTGGAAATGTGTAGTCTTTGAGGGAATGTCATTTTGTCTCAATCTCTGGTTTCTTTGCTCAGTGCACCTGTGTTTGGGACTTTGTTGATCTCCAGGCCTTTTTTCAGCAGCGTTGTCCCTGGAGAGCAGGATGGGAGCTGATGGCTTCTCAGCATCTTTTAACTCAGTTTAAAGATGACTATCAACAACATCTAGTCAGCATCTGTTGCTCTAGGCAACTGGGACTTCATTTCCTTTCTCTTTCTCCACCTCTCTAACCTCTTTAAGACTCTGTCTTTGTCATGGGTACAGCATCACCTGTGTGGCCCTTAGGCTCCCTTACTTACATGTGATCTGCATATTATGTCTTTACTTCAGGGCTTTTCAGCCAGGGGGTGATTTTGCCCCCCAGAGAACACGTGGCCATGTCTGGAGACAATTTTGGTGGTTGCGGCTGGAGGAGGTGGTGCTACTGGCAGCTAATGGGTAGAGGCCAGCGATGCTGCTAAGCATCCTACAATGCCCCGGACAACTCCCACTAAGACAAAAGAATGATCCAGCCCCAAATGTCAATAGTGCTGAAAGTGAGAGACCCTGATTCCATCTTAGAGATCATCCAAGCACACTTGGCCAAATTGTTTTTGCTACTGTCCCATGAAGAAAAGGCAGACTCATTACCGATGGCAACATCGATGGGAGTTTTGCTTAGCTCTTCTTTGTGGACTTTGGGATACGGTGTCTTACCATTTGTGCAAGTTGTGCATTGCTTACCTCCAGGGGGCGCCACCCACATATTTATGAAAATGCCACCCCGGGAGTTGCACAGTATATAGTCTATATGGAAATAAGCAGTTGCTCTGGTTTTGGGGTTATCCTGGGGTGCTCTGGAACTGGGAGGAACTTTATTTCTGGCCATTAGAGGCCCTGAGCATGATATTGAGTATCCTTTCAAGAAAGGAGAAATGTTGAACAGAGAGGACCTCATTTTTATAACTCTTGACCATCATCTAGTTACGGAGCATCCACTTTTCACCCCTGGGCCATAACCATTTGACGCATGAAAAATCATCAAATTATAATATCATGGCTTATACTTTTGATAGCTTCTGCCCGGAACATGGCGGTAAGAGCTTCTCATTTTCAATTGATTCATTGGGGGAGAAAATATACACGGCTGTCCTAAGACTTTCTATGACACACAATTTGCTTGACGGGATTTCTTTAGTTTCTGCAGCATAACTTATTCTAACTGGTCCTCAATCACTTTGCAATAAAACCTGAGATTGTGAAGATGTTCATTGTCATTACCAGTGACGGAGCAGTAAGTACAGAGTTCTGGAGAGGGAAGGAATCGAGAGAGTTAAACTAGCAGAATGAGCCGCTCACCCTCAGAATTGCTTTTAGTCTTGGTGAGAACTGAGGGGAATTTTGACAGGGTTCAGGGGGACTGCGGGGAGTGGGGCTGGGAGGTGGCTGTTTGCACATGTGGTCAGCAAATCCAGTGAGGCGGTCCATGTACTGTGGGCAGCCCCATAGATGGAGTTGGGATTGCCCTGGACTGAGTACTGTGTCATCAGTACTCAAGACATCAAGGCCCAGGCTGGTGCAGGAGACACATTGCACTGTGTCAGCCTTTCTTCTATCGCTCCTCTCCAAAGATAGTTCCTGATTTTCCGCTGAGGAGTCACTAGTCCCCAACGGCATGTGTGCCACTGGCCATTCCCCACCCTGATCTGGATCTGGGGCATGTGGTCCCAGCCTGGATGCCAGTGTCCTTCCACCACCCTGGCCACAGTGATTGGGTCTGAGAAGCAGATTAGCCAAAGGAGAGACAATCTTGGAAATTTCATGTTCATGCTTAAGAAAGTAAAATGGAAAGCGGGGGGAGGGTGAGGGGGTCATTCTGATGATATAGTTTTAGGACCTGGATGTAGCCACACCTGTAGCTGTCACCTCTGTGCTATAGTACTGCTTTTTTTTCCCTTCAAATTTAAATACTTTCTAAAGGCAAGGTCTTGCTATGTTGCTTAGGCTGGTTTTGAAAACTCCCTTTTGGGGGGATGCTTTCACTGCTTCACTTCCTTTCTATGAGAGCTCACGGAATCAGAAGACAAAGGAGATGACTTTTTTTTTTTTTTTTTTTTTTTTGAGACAGGGCTTGCTCTATTGCCCAGGCTGGAGTGCAGTGGTGCAATCACAGCTCGCCACAGCCTTGATCTTCTGGACTCAAGCGACCCTCCTGCTTCAGCCTCCTGAGTAGCTGGGACTGTAGGCCGCTACCCCCATGCCCAGCTAATTATTATTATTATTTTTTCTTTAGAAATGAGATCTCACTATGTCACCCAGGCTGGCCTCAAACTCCTGGGCTCAAGTGATCGTCCTGCCTTAGCTTCCCAAACTTACAGGTGTGAGCCCCCACACCAGTCAACGCTGTGGTCTTATGCACCTGGTGTCCCCTATGCCCTGAGCAATGATCCTCCTGCTTCAAACTCCGAAAGTGCTGGGATAACAGATGTGAAGCAGCATGTGTGGCCCACATAGTATTCTTATGGGTTAAATTGAGTCCTCCTCAAAACATGTTGAAATCCTAAATTCTAGTAGCTCAGAATGTGACCTTATTTAGAAATAGAGTTATTGCGGGCCGGGCGTGGTGGCTCATGCCTATAATCCCAGCACTTTGGGAGGTCGAGGCAGGCGGATCACCTGAGGTCAGGAGTTTGAGACCAGCCTGACCAACATGGAGAAACTCCGTCTCTACTAAAAATTCCAAATTAGCTGGGTGTGGTGGCACATACCTGTAATCCCAGCTACTAGGGAGGCTGAGGCAGGACAATCGCCTGAACCCACGAGGCGGAGGTTGCATTGAGCTGAAATCGTGCTATTGCACTCCAGCCTGGGCAAAAAGAGTGAAACTCCGTCTCAAAAGAAAGAAAGAAAGAAAGAAAGAGAGAGAGAGAGAGAAAGAAGAAAAAAAAGAAAGAAAGAAAAGAAAGAAAGAAAAAAGAAAGGAAGAAAGAAAGAAAGAAAAGAAAGAAAAGAAAGAAATAGGGTTATTGCAGACGCTATTGATTAGGATGAAGTCATCTTGGAGTAGGGAGGGCCCTAAGTCAACGACCGGTGTCCTTATAAAAGACGAGAAGACACGCCGAGTCACAGAGACACAGGGAAGGCGTCCATGGATTGGCCGGAAGATTGGACTGATGCGTATGCAAACCAAGAAACACTGAAGACTGCCAGGAGACCACAGGAAGGTAGGAAAAGGCAAGGCAGGACTCCCCGACAAGCGCAGGAGGGAGCGTGGCCCTGCTGGCACTTCCATTTCAGACTGCTGGCCACCAGAGCCACAAGACAATCAGTTTCTCTGGTTTCAAGTCACGCAGCTTTTGGTACTTGGTTGTGGCAGCCCTAGGGAATGAACATAAGTACTTTCTTTTTTTTTTCTTTTTTTGAGACGGAGTCTCGCTCTGTTGCCCAGGCTGGAGTGCAGTGGCGCGATCTCGGCTCACTGCAATCTCCGCCTCCTGGGTTCACGCCATTCTCCTGCCTCAGCCTCCTGAGTAGCTGGGACTACAGGCACCCGCCACCACGCCCAGCTAATTTTTTGTATTTTTAATAGAGACACGGTTTCACCGTGTTAGCCAGGATGGTCTCCATCTCCTGACCTCGTGATCCGCCTGCCTCAGCCTCCCAAAGTGCTGGGATTACAGGCGTGAACCACCACGTCCGGCCGAATACAAGTACTTTTAAATTAACTCTCCTCTTCTCTCCATCTTCTTCTAAATCATCATTTTTGCCTAAGCAACAGCTAGGGTCTAATACAGATGTGACGACTCACTTCAAAGTGGGGGAAGCCCCCATGTGCACCCAAACCTCCTGCTGCCTTGGCCCAGGGTTCAGAGACTGGACCATCATTCTGGAGGCTTGCTGGAGATCTGAGCCAGGGCATCATTCTCTGTTGGCTTTAAACAAAGGCTGGTGCTCGCCCAGGCTCGTGAGCTCCACCGAGGATCTATTTGGAAGGCAGAATTCTGAGATGACCCCTTAGGTTCTTGCCCTGGATAAATGCCAGGTGTAATCTCCTCTCCCCTGGAGTGTAGGCAGGACCCGTGGCTTGCTTCTAATCTATACCTATGGAAAAGTTGAAGGGATTTTGCAGATGTAACTAAGCCCCTAATCCATTCACTTTGAGTTAATCAAAAGAGAGATTATTCAGGGTGGGCCTGACATCTTCAGGTGAGATCTTCAATGAGGGTCTGGAGGAGAGAGACTCCTTCCTCCTGGTTTTTGGTTTTTGTTTGTTTGTTTGTTTTTGACATGGAGTCTCACTCTGTTGCCCAGGCTGGAGTGCAGTGGCACGATCTCGGCTTACTGCAACCTCTGTCTCCTGGGTTCAAGTGATTCTCCTGCCTCAGTCTCCCAAGTAGCTGGGATTACAGGCGTGCACAATCATGACCGGCTAAGTTTTGTATTTTTAGTAGAGATGGGGTTTCACCATATTGGCCAGGCTGGTCTCGAACTCCTGACATCAGGTGATCCACCTGCCTCGGCCTCCGAAAGTGCTGGGATTACAGGCGTGAGCCACCATGCCTGGCTGGTTTTGAAGAAGCAAGCCACATGAGTTCCACAGTTGCATGGAAATAAATTCTGCCAACAACCATGTGAGGTTGGGAGAAGACCCCAAGCCTCATATGAGACACTAATTCCAGCCAACACCTTGATCACAACCTTGTAAGTACCTAAGCAGAGGGCCCAGCTGAACTGCACTCCCAGACTCCTGACCCACAGGAAAGGAGAGGTAATAGATGGATGTTTTAAGCTGCTAAATTTGTGTTGATTTGTTATGCAGCTTAGAAAATGAATACATCATTCCATTTTTAAAAAATCATAAGCTAATCACACCATTCGATTTCTTTTTTTTCTTTTTTCTTTTTTTTTCTTTTTTTTTTTTGAGACAGAGTCTCACTCTATCGCCCAGGCTTGAGTGCAATGGCGCAATCTTGGCTCACTGTAACCTCTGCCTCCCAGGTTCAAGTGATTCCCTTTCCTCAGCCCCCCAAGTAGCTAGGACTACAGGCAAGCACAACCAAACCCAGCTAATTTTTATATTTTTAGTAGAGATGGAGTTTCTCCATTTTGGCCAGGCTGGTCTCGAACTCCTGACCTCAAGTGACCTGCCTGCCTCAGCCTCCCAAAGTGCTGGGGTTGCTGACATGAGCCACCGCACCTGGCCTGACACACCATTCAGTTTTAATGAACTTCCAGGTGCTGTGGCCACGCCCCTCTTGTGTGGCATGCAGGTTGGGAGAGATGGGTTGGAAGATGACTGGATGGGGGCATGGAGCTAGGTGGGAAGAGGAAAAGTGTCTTGAAGGAAGTAAGTCCCTTCAGATAAGGGAGGGAGAAGCTTGATCAATATGCAGACTTTCACAGTCCTTCAGTCCTGGGGATACTGGTGGAGAGACAGGTCTTGCCTTATATTTGAGAGTTACCATCCCAGGCAGAGGCCCTACTTCCACCTTCTTGCAGGTGGGGCTGGGGAGCAAATACTTAGAGGAGAAACGAACACCCTTTGTAAGCATGTGAAAAGTTTCTGGAGTAGAGAGATGATGAAGCAGGATATTGGGAGTCAACAGCCGAAGTTTTTATCTTATTTTTTATTTTGTACTATACCTTAAGTTTTAGGGTACATGTGCACAACGTGCAGGTTTGTTACATATGTATACATGTGCCATGTTGGTGTGCTGTACCCATTAACTCGTCATTTAACATTAGGTATATCTCTTAATGCTATCCCTCCCGCCTCCCCCGCCCCCACAACAGGTCCCAGTGTGTGATGTTCCCCTTCCTGTGTCCATGTGTTCTCATTGTTTAATTCCTACCTATGAGTGAGAACATGCGGTGTTTGGTTTTTTGTCCTTGCAATAGTTTGCAGAGAATGATGGTTTCCAGCTTCATCCATGTCCCTACAAAGGACATGAAATCATTGTTTATGGCTGCATAGTATTCCATGGTGTATATGTGCCATATTTTCTTAATCCTGTCTATCATTGTTGGACATTTGGCTTGGTTCCAAGTCTTTGCTATTGTGAATAGTGCCACTATAAACATACGTGTGCATGTGTCTTTATAGCAGCATGATTTATAATCCTTTGGGTATATACCCAGTAATGGGATGGCTGGGTCAAATGGTATTTCTAGTTCTAGATCCCTGAGGAATTGCCACACTGAATTTCACAATGGGTGAACTAGTTTACAGTCCCACCAACAGCGTAAAAGTGTTCCTATTTCTCCACATCCTCTCCAGCACCTGTTGTTTCCTGACTTGTTAATGATCGCCATTCTAACTGGGGTGAGATGGTATCACATTGTTGTTTTGACTTGCATTTCTCTGGCCAGGGATGATGAGCATTTTTTTCACGTGTCTTTTGGCTACATAAATGTCTTCTTTTGAGAAGTGTCTGTTCATATCCTTTGCCCACTTTTTGATGGGTTGTTTGTTTTTTTCTTGTAAATTTATTGGAGCTCATTGTAGATTCTTGATATTAGCCCTTTGTCAGATGAGTAGATTGCAAAAATTTTCTCCCATTCTGTAGGTTGCCTGTTCACTCTGATGGTAGTTTCTTTTGCTGTGCAGAAGCTCTTTAGTTTAATTAGATCCCATTTGTTAATTTTGGCTTTTCTTGCCATTGCTTTTGGTGTTTTAGACATGAATTCCTTGCCCATGCCTATGTCCTGAATGATATTGCTGAGGTTTTCTTCTAGGGTTTTTATGGTTTTAGGTCTAACATTTAAGTCTAATCCATCTTGAATTAATTTTTGTCTAAGGTGTAAGGAAGGGATCCAGTTTCAGCTTTCTTCATATGGCTAGCCAGTTTTCCCAGCACCATTTATTAAATAGGGAATCCTTTCCCCGTTTCATGTTTTTGTCAGGTTTGTCAAAGATCAGATGGTTGTAGATATGTGGCATTATTCCTGAGGGCTCTGTTCTGTTCCATTGGTCTATATCTCTGTTTTTGTACCAGTACCAGGCTGTTTTGATTACTGTAGCCTTGTAGTATAGTTTGAAGTCAGGTAGTGTGATGCCTCTAGCTTTGTTCTTTTGGCTTAGGATTGACTTGGCAATGCGGGCTCTTTTTTGGTTCCATATGAACTTTAAAGTAGTTTTTTCCAATTCTGTGAAGAAAGTCATTGGTAACTTGATGGGGATGGCATTGAATCTATAAATTACCTTGGCCAATATGGCCATTTTTACGATATTGATTCTTCCTACTCATGAGCATGGAATGTTCTTCCATTTGTTTGTGTCCTCTTTTATTTCGTTGAGCAGTGGTTTATAGTTCTCCTTGAAGAGGTCCTTCATATCCCTTGTAAGTTGGATTCCTAGGTATTTTATTCTCTTTGAAGCAATTGTGAATGGGAGTTCACTCATGATTTGGCTCTCTGTTTGTCTGTATTGGTTTATAAGAATGCTTGTGATTTTTGCAAATTGATTTTGTATCCTGAGACTTTGCTGAAGTTGCCTATCAGCTTAAGGAGATTTTGGGCTGAGACAGTGGGGTTTTCTTGATATACAATCATGTCATCTGCAAACAGGGACAATTTGACTTCCTCTTTTCTTAATTGAATACCCTTTATTTCCTTCTCCTCCCTGATTGCCCTGGCCAGAACTTCCAACACTATGTTGAATAGGAGTGGTGAGAGAGGGCATCCCTGTCTTGTGCCAGTTTTCAAAGGGAATGCTTCCAGTTTTTGCCCATTCAGTATGATATTGGCTGTGGGTTTGTCATAGATAGCTCTTATTATTTTGAGATACGTCCCATCAATACTTAATTTATTGAGAGTTTTCAGCATGAAGGTTGTTGAATTTTGTCACAGGCCTTTTCTGCATGTAATGAGATAATCATATGGTTTTTGTCATTGGTTCTGTTTATATGCTGGATTATGTTTACTGATTTGCAAATGTTGAACCAATCTTGCATCCCAGGGAGGAAGCCCACTTGATCATGGTGGATAAGTTTTTGATGTGCTGCTGGATTCGGTTTGCCAGTATTTTATAGAGGATTTTTGCATCGATGTTCATCAGGGATATTGGTCTAAAATTCTCTTTTTTGGTTGTGTCTCTGCCCGGCTTTGGTATCAAGATGATGCTGGCCTCATAAAATGAGTTAGGTAGGATTCCCTCTTTTTCTATTGTTTGGAATAGTTTCAGAAGGAATGGTACCAGCTCCTCCTTTTACCTCTGGTGGAATTCGTCTGTGATTCCGTCTGGTCATGGACTTTTTTTGGTTGGTAAGCTATTAATTATTGTCTCAATTTCAGAACCTGTTATTGGTCTATTCAGAGATTCAACTTCTTCCTGGTTTAGCCTTGGGAGGGTGTACGTGTCGAGGAATTTATCCATTTCTTCTAGGTTTTCTAGTTTATTTGCATAGAGGTGTTTATACTATCCTCTGATGGTAGTTTGTATTTTTGTGGGATTGGTGGTGATATCCCCTTTATCAATTTTTATTGTGTCTATTGGATTCTTCTCTCTTTTCTTTATTAGTCTTGCTAGTGGTCTATCAATTTTGTTGATCTTTTCAAAAAACCAGCTCCTGGATTCATGGATTTTTTGAAGGGTTTTTTGTGTCTCTATTTCCTTCAGTTCTGCTCTGATCTTAGTTATTTCTTGCCTTCTGCTAGCTTTTGAATGTGTTTGCTCTTTGCTTCTCTAGTTCTTTTAATTGTGATGTTAGGGTGTCAATTTTAGATATTTCCTGTTTTCTCTTGTGGGCATTTAGTGCTATAAATTTCCCTCTACACACTGCTTTGAATGTGTCCGAGAGATTCTGGTATGTTGTGTCTTTGTTCTCGTTGGTTTCAAAGAACACCTTTATTTCTGCCTTCATTTCATTATGTACCCAGTAGTCATTCAGGAGCAGGTTGTTCAGTTTTCATGTAGTTGAGTAGTTTTGAGAGAGTTTCTTAATCCTGAGTTCTAGTTTGATTGCACTGTGGTCTGAGAGACAGTTTGTTATAATTTCTGTTGTTTTACATTTGCTGAAGAGTGCTTCACTTCCAACTATGTGGTCAATTTTGGAAGAAGTGCGATGTGGTGCTGAGAAGACTGTATATTCTGTTGATTTGGGGTGGAGAGTTCTGTAGATGTCTATTAGTTCCGCTTGGTGCAGAGCTGAGTTCAATTCCTGAATATACTTGTTAACTTTCTGTCTTGTTGATCTGTCTAATGTTGACAGTGGGGTGTTAAAGCCTCCTATTATTATTGTGTGGGAGTCTAAGTCTCTTTGTAGGTCTCTAAGGACTTGCTTTTTGAATCTGAGTGCTCATGTATTGGGTGCATATATATTTAGGATAGTTAGCTCTTCTTGTTGAATTGATCCCTTTACCATTATGTAATGGCCTTCTTTGTCTCTTTTGATCTTTGTTGGTTTAAAGTCTGTTTTATCAGAGACTAGGATTGCAACACCTGCCTTTTTTTTGTTTTCCATTTGCTTGGTAGATCTTCCTCCATCCCTTTATTTGAGCCTGTGTGTGTCTGTTTTTTCCCCATCTTTGTGGCTTTATCTACCTTTGGTCTTTGATGATGGTGACGTACAGATGGGGTTTTAAGTGTGGATGTCTTTTCTGTTTGTTAGTTTTCCTTCTAAGAGTCAGGACCCTCAGCTGCAGGTCTGTTGGAGTTTGCCTGGGTGTCAGCAGTTGAGGCTGCAGAACAGCAGATATTGTTGAGCAGCAAATGTTGCTGCCTGATTGTTCCTCTGGAAGTTTTGTCTCAGAGGAGTACCCGGCCATGTGAGGTGTCAGTCTGCCCCTACGGGGGTGTGCCTCCAGTTAGGCAACTCGGGGGTCAGGGACCCACTTGAGGAGGCAATCTGTCCATTCTCAGATCTCCAGCTGTGTGCTGGGAGAACCACTTCTCTCTTCAAAGCTGTCAGACAGGGATATTTAAGTCTGCAGAGGATTCTGCTGCCTTTTGTTTGCCAATGCCCTGCCCCCAGAGGTGGAGTCTACAGAGGCAGACAGGCCTCCTTGAGCTGAGGTGGGCTCCACCCAGTTGGAGCTTCCCAGCTGCTTTGTTTACCTACTGAAGCCTAGGCAATGGCGGGCGCCCCTCCCCCAGCCTTGCTGCCACCTTGCAGTTTGATCTCATACTGCTGTGCTAGCAATGAGTGAGGCTCCATGGGTTTAGGACCCTCTGAGCCAGGCATGGGATATAATCTCCTGGTGTGCCGTTTGCTAAGACCATTGGAAAAGTGCAGTATTAGGGTGTGAGTGACCCGATTTTCCAGGTGCCATCTGTCACCCGTTTCTTTGACTAGGGAAGGGAATTCTCTGACCCCTTGCACTTCCCAGGTGAGGCAATGCCTTGTCCTGCTTGGCTCATGCTCGGTGCACTGCACCAAGTGTCCTGCACCCACTTTCTGACACTCTCCAGTGAGATGAACCAAGTACCTCAGTTGGAAATGCAGAAATCACCTGTCTTCTGGGTCGCTCACGCCAGGAATTGTAGACTGGAGCTGTTCCTATTCGGCCATCTTGGCTCCACTCCTGCTATTATGATTCTTACACAGAGTCCTTTGCTTTCCAGCAGCCTCCTCTTCCTCCTTTTTAGGTTGGAATCCCTCTATTTTAGTGGCCATTGGGATTCTGAAATGACCAGGTCTTTGTCTCAGAGACCTCACACATGCTCTTCCCTCGCCTGGAACACTTTTCCTTCCTCTGGTCCCCTGAGATCTCTTTCAGCTCAACTGCCCCATGCTCAGAGACCCCCTTTCTCCCTCTCTAGTTTGAAACCAGTTTACGCCTGTAGTCTGTGCCTGGAAAACTCGTTTTCCTCCTTGATGCCTCCTGAGTTGTTACAGGATGTATGTGCCTGTTTGGGTGTCTGGTGTCTGTCTCCCCGACTGGACTGTATGCTCCTGGTGAGCTGGAGGGACTGGACTAGCACAGGCCAAGGCCCTGGGGCTTGAGGGAGCAGGGCAGAAGGCACAGGCAAAGGCCTTTGTGATCCGGAAGGAAGTGAAGGAGAGGGAGAGAGATGAGAGAGGCTGGCAGAAGATAGGCCAGGGGCCAGGCTGTGTGGGATCTTTTGGGCCACAGAAAGACATTTGAATTCTTATGTAAGAGAACCAAGACACCATTGGAAGGTATGAGTCACCTCATCTAACTGAGCTCTGTAAATGTCAGTGTTTTATTATTTTTATACAATTATTTAAAAGTGATTTTAGTTATTTACCTTTTTATTTTTATTACTTTTGTTTTTTTTTTGAGACAAAAATCTTGCTCTTTTGCCCAAACTGGAATGCAATGGCATGATCTCAGCTCACTTCAACTACCACCTCCTGGGTTCAAGTGATTCTCCTGTATCAGACTCCAGAGTAGCTGTGGTTATAGGCATCTGCCACCACGCCCAGCTTATTTTTGTATTTTTAGGATAGGTGACGTTTCACCATGTTGGGCAAGCTGGTCTTGAACTCCTGACCTCAGGTGATCCACCCACCTCAGCCACCAAAAGTGCTGGGATTACAGGGGTGAGTCACCATGCTCGGCCTTATTTACTTTTAAAAAAAAGAACAGGCCAGTCACGGTAGCTCATGTCTCCAATCTCAGCACTTTGGGAGGCTGAGGTGGGATGATCACTTGAGGCCAGGAGTTCAAAACCAGCCCAGGCAACATAGTGAGACACCCCCTGCCCCAGTTTCTAAGAAAATGAGAAAATCAGGCATGGTGGCTTGTCTGTATCCCCAGCTACTGAGGAGACTGAGCTAGGGAGGACTGCTTGAGACCAGGAGCTTGAGGCTCCACTGAGCTGTGATTATGCCACGGAGCTACAGCCTGGGCAACAGAGTGAGACCCCGGAGCAACCTCAACCTCCCTAGAGCTGACCGAGCTTTTGCTTCTTATCACAGGGAATGACGGACGCTGGGGATTTGATGGGCATCGGGTGAAATGGGCAGAGTGGCGCTTACCTGTGATGGCAGTGAAGTGGGACGGGGAGGTCATTGTCACAAGGGGCGGCATGAGGTACTTGACCTTGACGCCCTCCCTGGCCAGATGGTCCAGGTTGGGGGTGTTCACATCCTGATCCTAGTCCCAGCGGAAGCCCTGGAAGGAGATCAGCAGCAGTTGTGAGTGCTCTTCTTCCCTGCGAGGGGGTGGCCGCCCAGCAGGACAGGCGGTGGCAGCAGCAGCTGGAGGGCGCCGAGTCATGTCATCCCACAAGCACCTGTCATGCACTCCTCACAGAGTTCATGGGCTTCTCCCTCTTTAGTCCGTTGTTAAACAAAGTCCGCATTAGTAATTCAGCCCAGCTCTGTTGTGGGACAAACAACCTGGAGTGTAGCAAGGTGCTGCATATTTGCAGGACAGTATGAAAGCGTTCTGGAGATGGATGGGGGACATGGCTGTACAATGTGGGGGATGCACTTAATACCACTGAATTTTTCCTTTGAAAATGGCTAAAATAATAGATTTTGTATGTATTTTACCACAGTAAAAAATCAAGCTGGCCGGGCATGGTGGCTTACACCTGTAATCCCAGCACTTTGGGAGGCCAAGGCGGGTAGATCATTTGAGGTCAGGAGTTCAAGACCAGCCTGGCCAACATGGAGAAACCCCATCTCTACTAAAAATGCAAAAATTAGCCAGGCGTGGCGGTACATGTCTGTAATCCCAGCTACTCGGGAGGCTGAGGCAGGAGAATTGCTTGAACCCGGGAGGCGGAGGTTGCAGTGAGCTGAGATTGCTCCACTGCCTTCCAACCTGGACGATGGAACGAGACTGCATCTCCAAAAAAAAAAAAAAAAAAAAAAAAAAATCAAACCACATGAAATATTTTGGACTCTTATACTAATTCCAACACTTTGAAGATCTGGGGAGAACAAACTAGATTGGTGCTTTCCTTGGCTTAGTATGTTCTGTTTTTATAGGGAGAGCAAATTATTGTTCACCAGCACTATTAAAATAGCTACAACAGGATGGGCATGGTGGCTCACACCTGTAATCCCAGCACTTTGGGAAGCTGAGGTGGGAGGATCGCTTGAGCCCAGGAGTTCGAGATGCCAGCCTGGGCAACATGGTGAGACCCTGCCACTACCAAAAAATATAACAACAACAACACAAATAGCTAGGTGTGATTGTGTGCATCTGTAGTCCCAGCTACTTGAGAGGCTGAGGTGGGAGGATCACTTGTGCCCAGGAGGTTGAGGCTGTAGTAAGCCATGATTATGCCACTGTACTCAGCCTGGGTGACAGAGTGAGACCCTGTATGGAAAAAGAAATAAAAAGCTGCAGTGGAGTCATTGATCATGAGGCCAGGCACTGTATACATGTACATCATCTCATTTAATTTTTTCTCTTGTTTAAAATTATTTTTTCCTCTAATCCCCATGTTGATCGACATTTTTTTCAATCCTAGGAATTAGTTGAAAATTTTGCATAAGAATTGAAAATTGCCTGGCCTGATGTCTTACACCTGTTATCCCAGCACTTTGGGAGGCTGAGATGAGAGAATCACTTGAAGCCAGGAGTTTGGGCCAATCTGGGCAATATACTGAGAATGCAACTCTATAAAAAAATTTAAAAAGCTGGGTGTGGTAGCGTTCACCTGTAGTCCCAGCTACTTGGAAGACTAGGTGGGAGGATTGCTTGAGTCCAGGCGGTAAAGGCAGCAGTGAGCTATGACTGTGACATTGCACTGCAGCCTGGGTGACGGAGTGAGACTCTATCTCTAAAATAAATGAATAAAATTGTGGTATAATATATGCAACATTTATCATTTTGTGCATCTGAAAGTGTACAATTCAGGGACATTTTGTACATCTATCATGTTGTGCAATTATCACCACTACCTAGTTTCAGGGCTTTTTCAACACCTCAGTTGGAAGCCTCATATCCATTCAGCAGTCACTCTGCATACTCCCTCCTGCAGCCGTTGGAAACCTCTCATCTACTTTCTATCTCTGTCGATTGGCTTAGTCTGAACATTGCATATAAATGGAATTCTACAATATATGACCTTTCATGTCTGCTTCTTTCACTAACCCTAACGTTCATCCATATCACAACATGGATAAGTTTTATTTTCTTTTTAGACCCTATCTAGAAAGAAAAAAAAAATTTGTAAAACAAAAATAAAAACAAAAAAATATATAGGATGGAGATCAGATGAGTCCTGAAAAGTTTATAATATTTACTATCTAGCACTTTACATAGAAGCTTGCCTACCTCTGAAAGATAGGCAGGTACAGAGATGACATTTATCTTGACACTTATAGAAAGACCTATAAATTGTATAAAGACATCATCATTGGATCTCCAGTAACAAGAACTGGCAAGACATGACAGTGTGTCCAGGTGTTCAGGTGAAGTGTAGGGAAGGTCTTGTCTTGACGAGGTCGGATGTGAGACCCAGATGAGATAACCCCATTTCCCCTGCTGAAATTGCCTGAGAATTTCATTCCAGTTATTTGCGTAGTTTGATTCTTTCGGTGGGGGTGGGGGTGGGTGAGGAGGTGGGTGAGGAGGCCGAAGGTCATATCTCAGCTCTGCAACTCATTATCTATGATGCCTTGGGGCAGGTCCCATAACTCTCCAAGCCTCTGTTATATATTCCATAGGGTTGTGAGGTTCAGATGAAATAATGCATGCTGGCAGGAATGGTTACTGCTCATGGGATTTCCATCTGCTCCCTGTATTCCCCAGACCCCCGTAGTTAGATGGATCCATGCCAGGGTCCAATGCTCTATAAGTGGAAGTCACTGACATCACCTCTAGTCTACAGCTTTTGAGGGCTTGGAAATAACTATCTCATTCTCTCATCTCCTGGTGCAGTAACTAGGGGAGAATCCTTACATTAAGATGGTAGAATTTCCATCATTCTAGGTCTTTGAGTGGCCATATGGAGCACACCATACCCAGCCAACCCATTGTGGACATGGAATGTAAGAAATCAACCTTGGTTGCTAAGCTGCTGAGACTCTGGGGTTAATTTGTTACTGCAGCATAACCTAGTCCATCCTGATGCATGTAGCATGCAAACCACTTATGTTGACCCTTAGTCATGGTCAGTGCTCCACAGATGTTGGTTACTTTTGGTAGGAAGATAGATTGCCTCTGAAAGTTTTGTTAGCTGATCTCATGATGCCAATGTTGCTATTTTGTAATTGGATAAATTGGACTTGGCTCTCTTTCCAGCATGTGGGAGAGAAAGATGACTGAGAGACAATAAGGCACTATTATCTTCAGTTTCTGTCCTTGGATACCCTTGGTGGCAATGAACAATGCATGCCCCTCTGAGAAAGCTGGACCTAAAGGAGAATGGGAGGTGATACCAGAATTGGGAAAGTCCAAGGCCCCAGGCATTCCCTGGTCTGGAGACAACTTTGAGTCCTTGGTGGGAAGATTCTCCAAGGGAACATAAATGCTTCTACTATCTAGTTTGTCTCTTTGAGAATTAAAACTTTTTTTTTTCATTCCAGTAGCTTTTGGGGTACAGTTTGGCTCTTTGAGAATTGCATACTAATTAATTTTAGGGGCCATCTGTACACATCTCTATATTCCTGAAACATGGTAGAAACAGCCAGCAGTCAGGCGACAATCTACGATGACCACTAAAATATCCCCAAAGTGAAACACTAGATGTGATCCACTAGGTTTAGTGGAGGTGGCTGGCTCGAGAGTTGATTATATTTATTATTGTCACTGTGGTGATTATGGCCACAACATTGTCATGCGTGTTGGTCTTCTTTTGGTGAGTTTCAGTTTGGAAGGAATAAATCCATTTTTTTTTTTTTTTGAGTCTTGCTCTGTCACCCAGGCTGGAGTGCAGTGGTGCCATCTCAGCGTGCTGTAAACTCCGCCTTCCAGGTTCAAGTGCTTCTCCTGCCTCTATGGCCAGGCTGGTCTTGAACTCCTGACCTCAGGTGATCCACCTGCCTCAGCCTCCCAAAGTGCTGGGATTACAGGCGTGAGCCACCATGCCCGGCCCCATTATTCATTTAACCAATATCTGTTGAGCACATTGGGTGTGCTGGAGGATGAACTGCAGGGGAGAGAGGAAGCCTCCTCCTGCCACTATGTTTTCAAGTTGTCCTAATACTCCACCATGACACGCAGGCTTGTGGGTCCCAGAGATCCAGAAGCATCTCCCGACCACAACATCCTGACCCAGATTCTACTGAAAAATACGCGAGTCTAGGAGAGCCATCTCTGACACTTCCCTTCTTTTGAACGGCTGATCTGTCAGTCCTGGGGAGCCCTTATGAAAGTGCAGTGTGTTTTGTGAAACTTGAGGTTGATCAAAGAATACCATTAAACTTTGTTAAGAAATCTACATATTGATGACATATGCAGTGGGGTGGAGGTGGGGAAATTCCCAAATACATTTTAGGAATTATCTCAGAAGGAGGTAATAGTCAGAACTCTTGGTTGTCAGTGACAGAAACTCATCTTACTAGTGTGGAGTGGAAAAGGGATCATGTTTTTCTCTGCACTCCCCAACCCCAACCCCAAGCAGATCCTGAAAGAGGGACAGGATTGCAAGTGGATTATTTAGGAGATGATTCCAGGGGACACCAATAGGGGAGTGAGGAATTGATTCATGGAAAGGTAGGAGGCCACACAGGGGGCTTCAATGAGCAGCTTACCACTCTAGGCAACTAGGATTTGACCCCACTGGGGACCTCTGAGAGGTGATGTGGAATACATTTCAAAGTTGTTCCATCCAGGGGGCAAAGATATTGAAGCATTTATAGCCTGGCTCCCATCCGTCACTGGCTGAGGACTGGTCCCAGGGCATCAACTCTCTGGCTTTGCTTTCTTCTTCTTCTTTTTTTTTTTTTTTTTGAGACATAGTCTTGCTCTGTCACCCAGGCTGGACTGCAAAGGCATGATCTCGGCTCACTGCAACATCTGCCTCCCAGGTTCAAACGATTCTCTTGCCTCGGCTTCCTCAGTAGCTGGGATTACAGGCGCCTGCCACCATGCCCGGCTAATTTTTTTTATTTTTTGTAGAGACGGGGTTTTGCCACGTTGGTCAGGCTGGTCTCTAACTCCTGACCTCGTGATCCACCTGCCTCGGCCTCCCAGTGTTGGGATTACAGGAGTGAGCCACTGCGCCCAGCTTCTGTGGCTTTTCTGACATACTCCATGCCTGACTTTCAGAAAGCCCTCAGGTGAAAGTCTTGGTTGTATGCAGTATCGAGCATGTACTAAAATGACAAAAACCAAGGGGCTTACCACAAGATCTCTCTCTCTATCTCTGTCTCTAGCTTTGTCTGCATACTGGCTTAATTTCTTCTTACTCAAGCCTTTTCTCCATAAGGTGAGAAACGTGTCCACAAAAGCTCCTGTATTTCTCACTACACACAATTCCTGTCATCACAGAGAATGATTAACTTGGTCTAGTTCCAGTTTGGAAAAATATTCAAGGGAAGAATTCTGATTGGCCAATTTAGGCCAGATGCTCATCCCTGGACCAATCAACTGAGGCCAGGGAGGTGGAGTCATTTGAGAACATGGCAGCCCTCATGAGATCCACATGACTGGAGTAGGAAGTGTGACTCTCTATAGAGGGGAGGGCTGCTAGGCTGAAAAGGCAATAGATGTCTGCAGTGAAAGGAATAGATCAGGAGATACATTCTGTTAAACCTGTTAATTATTTGAAAAAAAGAGAAACTTTCAATATACTGTCACAGTATACGTGAGCCGGTGGCTCACGCCTATAATCCCAGCACTTTGAGAGGCTGAGGTGGGCAGATCAGAGGTCAGGAGTTCGAGACCAACCTGACCAACATGGTGAAACCCCGTCTTGTGCACCTGTAATCCCAGCTACTCAGGAGGCTGAGGCAGGAGAATTGCTTGAACCAGGGAGGGGGAGGTTGCATGAGCTGAGATCATGCCACTGCCCTCCAGCCTGGGCAACAGAGTGAGACTCCTCAAAAAAAAAAAAAAAAGTTACATTGTCGTTCCCCCAGCGTGATTTATCAGAAAGGAAAAACTTACAATATGCATATTTCCTATGCATAGGCTACTGCTATGAATTGAAATTCTTAAATTCCAAAGATTAATTAAAATGTTTCTCAAGACACATAAACTGTTAGAATCTGCTTATAATGAGGCTGAAGTTGAGTAAGAAGAGAACTGGCATTTAGGACGCTACTTTTCTTCTGTCGAGTACTGTCAAGTTTTGGTTCTGCCTGGAAGTAGATGCACCTCAAGGGAGGGTTGCATGTAAAGGGGTGTGTGTGTGTGTGTGTGTGTGTGTGTGTGTGTGGTAGTTTCCAAAGATGGGTACAACTTTCTGCAAATGTTCGTGCAGTATAATTGAACCAATCTTTCCTTAAAGAGGGAAAATTTATACTCCTCTACATGAATCTGGGCTGCCTATGACTTGCTTTGGTCAGTGGAATGCTGTCAAATTGATGGTGACCAACTTCTAGCCGTAAAAGGAAAATAAACCTTGGGGCCCCAAGATCACTAAGCTAGGCTGGGCTCCGTGGCTCACGCCTGTAATCCCAGCACTTTGGGAAGCTGAGGCGGGCAGATCACCTGAGGTCAGGAGTTCAAGACCAGCCTGGCCAACATGACAAAACCCCATCTCTACTAAAATATATGAAAATTAGCCAGGCGTGGTGGCAGGCGCCTGTAATCCCAGCTACTTGGGATGCTGAGGCAGGGAAACTTCTTGAACCCTGGAGTTGGAGGTTGCAATAAGCCGAGATCGTACCACTGCACTCCAGCCTGCACAACAGAGCGAGACTCTGTCCGCCCACCCAAAAAAAAGTTACTAAGCTAAAGAGAAAAGTCAAGCTGGGAACTGCTTAAGGGAAACCTGCCTCCCATTCTATTCAGTTAACCCTTTGCTTACTGAGATGAATGTATATCTGATTGCCTCATTTGGAGAGGCTAATCAGGAACTCACAACAATGCAACCATTTGTCTCTTAACTACCAATGACCTGGAAGCCCCTTCCCCTTGTCTCACCTTCACTTTCACCTGGAGTTGTCCCGCCTTTCCAGACTGAAACAATGTACATCTTACACATATTGATTGATGTCTCATGTCTCTCTAAAATGTATCAAACCAAGCTGTGTCCCCACCACCTTAGGCCCATGTTGTCAGGACCTCCCGAGGCTGTGTCACAGGCGTGAGTCCTTAACCTTGGCAAAATAAACTTTCTGAATTAACTGAGACCTCATATTTTTGGGGTGCAAATAGTCTTAGGTCTTGAGAGCCCTCTCGTAGTTTCCATATTTTTGCCCTCTTGGATGCTGGCACCAAGCAAACCTTGGCTATCCTGCTTAAAGGGACATTTGGAGAGGGGTTCTGGAGGGCGAGGGGCCACATGGAGGAAAACAAGGCTCCCCGGCTGACAACCAGCACCAACTGCCAGGCACATGCATGAGGCCGTCCTGGATGCTCCGCCCAGCTGGCCCTCCAGCTGCAGGTAGCCACACAAATGAGCCCAGGTTAAACCAGCCAGGAAGTCCCCATGCAACTCACAGGGTCATGAGCAATAATGGCTTCTGGTGGTTTAAAGTTTCTAATTTTAGGTGCAATAGGTAACTGAAACAGCCCACAAGGGTGTGAGCCTGTGGAGGGTGCATTTCCCACCTGCTGAAGCTTCTCAATTCCCAGGATCCAATCCAGATAAGACTCTTGTTCTCAGTGTCCTTGATGGAAATGGCAATGAACTTTTTGCAGATTGGACCATCTCGGGAATCCCAAAGATCGGAAACTATTTTCTTTCTCAGAATCTTCCACAAAGCATTGAGCCTTAGGAATTTCTAAGAAGGATCTGGAATGAAAAAAAATCTTTTGAAAAGGTATTTGTATAGCTTCAGTTCAGCAAGATTCATGGTGGGTGTTAGAGTAAGTGCTGGTGTTAAGCCAAACCATGTTTTTCAAAGACTCATCTGGCCTCAACGTTGGCAGGATCAGAGTGGCCTCCCAGGATCTATCACATCCTCAGAAGAGTTGGTTCAACTGGCATGTACCCAGATCTCTTTGAGCTAGTATGATACTCCCTTAAGTCAAAGGCTGCCACATCACATCTCCTTTAAGTCCCCCTAAGTATGACCCCAGAAGTATTGACAAAATAGTGCAATTCCTGAAGATTTCAGGAGGACATAAATGAAGAGACTAAACTGCAAGGTACCAAAACTTCCATCTTTGCTAAAGACCCTCATCCAGACTGGGCACGGTGACTCACGCCTGTAATCCCAGCAATTTGGGAGGCCAAGGCGGGTGGATCACCTGAGGTCGGGAGTTCAAGACCAGCCTGACCAACATGGACAAACCCCATCTCTACAAAAAATACACAATTAGCCGGGAGTGGTGGTACATGCCTGTAATTCCAGCTACTAGGGAGGCTGAGGCAGGAGAATCGCTTGAACCTGGGAGGCGTAGGTTGCGGTGAGCTGAGATCGTGCTATTGCACTCCAGCCTGGGCAACAAGAGTAAAACTCCATCTCAAAAACCAACAAACAAAAAGCCCTTATCCAATGGTCATGCCACTCTATCTGGCCATGTAATTTCTCCTCCTGTCTTTCTGTAGCAACAGCCTTCTGAAGAACCTCACTCTGCCTTTCAAAACCCCTTCAACTTGTACCCTTCATCAGCAAAGTACTTAGCTCAACATGTATGCCTCTGGGGGTACTCATCCACATGCCATTTAAGGATATTTCCAGCATCATCATCTTCACTACCCCAGGATGGCATTTTAGAGTGGATTACGTGCCTGCTGGATGTGTTGTACTTGAACGAGCTAGAGAAAATGCCACACTTTAAGACGAATTAAGAGTCTGTTCATTTAGCCGGCGGCTAAGAAATGGCTAACGTTTAAAGTTCTCTCGGCCTCGAAGAAGGGGCTAGATTTTCTTTTATACTTTCGTTTAGAAAGGGGAGGGGGGTCTAGTTAAAACAATTTTACAGAAGTAGGCAAAAAAGTTAAAAGGATAAATTGTTGCAGGAAAGTAAACAGCTCTAGGTCTAGGGGCTTTAAGACTATTATGAGGTGATAGACGCGGGGCTTTGGGCGTTATCAATTGGACGAATTCCTGGGAACTGCGGATATTGCTCACCACAGTATCTTATCAGTTAATTGCATTCTTCGATGTGCTGGGCGTCAGCTTGCACAAGTTAAGTCCTTGAGGAAGGGGCTGTCAGTGAAAGAGCCAAGATGGAGTCTGTCTGCCTCTCTTAGCTAAGGGAGAGTCAATTCAGGTGGAAACAAGGCTAGGTGATTAAAAGAAAGGGAGAGTCTAAGAACAGGGTTAGTAAAAACAAGGTTGGGCATTACATTCCTCACTTGTATTTTTGGGGAATCAAATCGTTGATTCTTCAGTTATAACGAGGGGGTTATTTTGAGTCTTAAGATACATAAGTTTGACAGAAGGTATACGTTGTTTTACAAAATTAATAAACTAATTTAATATACAAGGTCCAAAAATTAAACTTAATAGTAGGATGGGGAGGGGGTCTGGCTAACTTAGTAATTAGAATAGTTAGCTCTGGGTTCTAGTTGAACATGCTTTGATACTAGGGGATGTTATTTTCTTGTTCTTGTTGGCGCTTATCTAGATTTTCTTGCACTTTCTGGAGTGTATCTTTTATGCCTAAGAATGGTGGAGGAACAGTTGAATCAACTTTCTCAGGGTGTTTCTGGAACATAGGGTTACTTAGATCAGTTAAAGGCCTGATTGGCTTGGGTGGGCTTTATGAGACTAGGTTTTTTTTGGATGGTGAACATAGACTTAACATTAAATCCTGGGATATAAAATCTTAATCTTCATGACATGCCATGATACTGTTGTGTTGAATTAAGGTCATGGACAGTTATAGTAAGAGGATTACAATTTCTTCTAGTATATAATTTAGGATGAGAAGCAGGATTTATGGAAAGAGTTGAAGATCTGGTTGATCTTTTAGAGCAGGTGGCTAAAGTTACACATGTCTAATCAAGACAGGAAAACTGATAAGTATCTTGACAGCTAGCATCAGGGTGATTTCTAGGACAGAGGTAAAAGTAAATATTTTGGAGTCTTTTTTCTGCACTTTTGGAGCTTCTACACTTAGTTTGGCTCTTGGAGTGTCTGAGTCTTGCTGCAAAGTCGACACTTCCTGCTCCTGGAACTGGCAGATTGTGTTGCTTTTCGTGGGTATGGGCTGGCTTTGGGAAGAGTACAAATAAGTCAACTGCAAAGGACACTTCCTTGGAGGTACTGGCCTTCTAAGTGGTGTTTGCAAGTACAAGTCCTGTTGTGAAAGAGGTGAGGAGAAAGGAGTAGGAAGGCACAGAGGATGTAATGGGCAAAAACAAGTGAGTGAGGTAGATAAAAAGAATGAATCTAATGGCTTCACCTGACTTAGGTGCAGTTTTAAGGGTCCTGACTTAGGCTTGGGGACTTATGTTTTTAGTTGGACTCTGTTGGCCTTTTTGATGCGGGAGTGATGAATGTAAGCAGGAATGCCATCTACTTTCAGAGCCATTGGAGTCGTGAAGATGACGTTGTGAGGTCTTTTCTAAGCAGGAGTGAGTCTTTCTTTTTGGAACTTTTTAAAAACACTAGGTCTCCTGGCTGGAGCGAATGGCAGGACTTTGGTCAGGAATTGGATTGGGATGGGCTCCTGGAACAAGTGGCAGGATAATATCTTGTACCTGTTGGAGAGACTATAGGTACTGTAATAAATTAGTTTGTGATATTTCTGCTAATTTGGCATCTCTTAGCTTAGGCAAGATAGGCGGTGCCTTATTATACATAATTTCAAAAGGTGAGAAATTAGCCTGGTAAGAGGTGCACCTTAATTTAAGTAGGGCTAAAGGAAGGAGACTTACTTAATTTACACTGTTTTTTTAAGATTAATTTTATAAGAGTGTTTTTTAGGGTGTGGTTCATGCGTTCTACTTGCCTGGAGCTCGGGTTGATAGGCACAATGGAGCTTCTGTTGAATGTTTAACGCCTTACTGACTGACTGAGCTATAGGCGAGGTGAAGGCTGCTCTATTATCAGACTTTATGGCAGCAGGCAGCCTATATTGAGGGATGATTTCATTGAGTAAAAACTTAACTACTATGTTGGTGGTTTCGTTTTCGGTAGCAAATGCCTTAGTCTATCTGGAGAAGGTGTCTACTAGTACTAGAAGGTATTTGTACTTAGCCTGGTGTGGTTTGACTTCTGTAAAGTCAATTTCTTACTTTTTTCTTGGCGACTTTTTCCAGAGACAGTGGCCTGGGCTGGGTTTAGGACTTTGTTTGGCATTTACTTGGGCTCAGGTTGTGCACTGGAGAGCTGCTTAATCTTTAGGCTTTGAAGACTGGGGATCTTAAAATGGCTCTGGAGGAGCTGAGGTAGCTTTGCTCTTCTTAAATGGGTGATAGACTGTACGTAACTGGTTAAAGTTTGTTTAAGAGTTCAGGGTATGAAGATTCTAGAGTCAGGAAGAATCTACTAACTTTCCTGATTTTTATTGGCTCTGAGATCCGAAGCCAGTTGTTGTTGTTGTTGAGTATACGGGATTGTCAGGCAGATCTGGCTGTGGAAAGGAGACTGTGGGCAGCAAGTTTAGAGGCGTGACTGAAAGTCTTGCTGCGACCTGAGCTGCTGAATCAGCTTTCTGGTTACTATGGGCCACGGCCGTGTTTTCTTTTTGATGTCCTTTGCGGTGGATCACAGCTACCTGCTGAGGTGAGTAGCCTGCTTTCCTGGTAGATGGCTTTATGTACATGCACAGCAGCAAAGGCGTACTTGCTGTCAGTGTAAATGTTAATAAGTTTATTCTTACTTTATTGGAGAGCCTGAGTGAGGGCGATCAATTCAGCCTTTTGTGCTGAGGTGTTCGCTGGTAAAGCTTGAGCTTACAACAAATGTGTCTCCGTGGTAACAGCTGCACTGGCTCTTCATATTTCCTGCTTGAGGAAGCTGCTACCGTCTGTGAACACGGCGGCATCTGCCTTTTCTAGGGGCACAGCTTGAAGATCAGATAGGCCAGTTTCGATAGTTTCTAACAGTTCTTGACAGTCATGAGCAGGAATAGTGGAGTCTGAGTCAGGAAGTAGTGTAGCTGGATTGTAACACTTTGTGGGAGAGAAAGTCAAACGAGGCTGATCTAACAGTAAACTTTGATACCGCAAGATGCGAGCATTTGACATCTATTTGCCAGAAGCATTTTGTAGTAAGGTCTTTACGGCGTGAGGAGCTGTAAGGGTTAAATTTTGGCTTAGAGTTAACTTATCAACTTCTTGGGCCAGGCTTGCTGTAGCCGCTAAGGCTCGAAGACAACTTGGCCATCTAGAGGCCACAGGATCTAGCCTCTTAGACAAATAGGCCACTGGGCGGCTTTAGGGTCTTAAAGTCTGAGTAAGCACGTCTTTAGCAACTCCTTGGCTTTTATGGAGATATTAGGGAGGGCTAAAGCAGGGGCTTCAGTTAATGCTAAATTAACGGGCTACTTCATTCTGTACTTCTTGGATAGCTGCCACTAAGATTTTTGTTTGTCTTCTGAATGCTTTATCAGCGGCCTTTCCAGTTGCCTGTGTTGCTTTTGTTTTTTAAGCTTTTGATTATCAAAAACTTTTTGGGCTATTTCTAAAAGCTGACTGATATTTATTCTAGAAAATCTTTTTAGTTTTTGGAGTTTCTTTTTAATATCCTGGGCTGCCTGAGCCACAAATTGTAAATTAAGAGCAAGGCTATTTTCGGGAGCTGCCGGGTCAAAAGGGTGTAAATCCGATAAGCCTCCTGGAGGCGCTCTAAAACGTTCTTGGTGACTTATCGGGCTTTTGGACAACGTCGGTCGTCTTAGACAAGTTGATGGGTTTCTGAGAGGCTCTTTTAATACTTGCGAGGAGATACCGGTGAAAATCGTCTAAAGCTCCCTTTCTACTTGAGGAATGTGGGTCCTGGTTAGGCTGGGTAGAGGGAAAGACATCCTCAAGGAGGTCTCTAGCTTCTTCTTCCGGTCCGTTGGCTGATGTGAGGAAGTACTTTTTGGCTTCTTTTTGGATACGTTCCTTCTTTTCAGAGGTGAAAAGGGTTAAAAGGAGCTGTTGGCAATCATCTTAGGTGGGCGGGCGGGTCCGGAGTACAGACTCTGTCAGAGAGGTCAAAGCCTGGGGCTTTTCAGAGAAGGGAGGATTATGGGTTTTCTAATTATATAAGTCAGAAGTAGAAAAAGGGACACAAACTAAGAAGGGTGCTGAGCGCTCGTCACCTGGAGGGACTTGTGCCTCTCTCAGTGGTAGTAGAGGGACTACTTCTTCCTGCCACGGTCATGACTGAGAGGCAATGGGTGGCGAGCCTACAGGGGACGTCGTCGAGGAGACATGGGATAACTTTAAGGGAGAAGGTTGGTTGTAAGGCGGTGGGATTGGGTGAGGGGGACTCTCCTCTTCTTCAGAGGGAGGCAGTACAGGGGAAGCTGAACCGACTGAGGGTTGAGGCGAAAACGCGGTCTGGCTTAGGAGGACCTTGGAGGTAGAATTATGAATGGCGCATGAACGGAGCCATGGAGAGTGGATCCTGACTAAACGTAGCTAATGTAGGGAAACTGATCAGGGTGACTAGGAGTTTCAGTAACAACCTGCCACACAGCTTGAACAATTGTGAGGTTCAATGACCCTTCAGGGGGCCACTTGACTTTAAACTTTGGCCATTTTATTTTGCAGAGTGTCTGGAACTTGCCTTTTTTAGGCGGACTTTATAATCCTCTGAACTGAGAGAAAAATTCTGCAGCATACATTGGAGAGGGCTTTAACTTTACAAGGCTGGGAGGAAGTGTTTCTTATTTTTATTTTTTTTGAAGGCAATTTAATAAGATTTGAGCATAGATATTAAACTTAGCATGGACAGAGAAACTTATTTCTTGGGGGACTGGCATAGTGAAAGAACAGAATCAGTATGACCAGAGAGAGCAGAAAAACTTACAACAGCTAATACTACTTGCTACATTGCTGTAGCTTTAAGATTGAGGGAGGAGGACTAGAGCCAGCCTGAGATCTTCTGGGTCAGTTTGATCTAGGCGTTCTTCTTCTTCTTCTAGATCTGCACTTTAAATATTTTTGGTGTCTTTATGACTTAAATGCAAATAGCTTAAACTTAGCTTTTTGTTTTAAGGGTTTAAGGAGTGAGAGCAGAGCCAAGTCCTGGAGATGGTAAACTTGCTGTCGCACCGTAAAACGAGATGTGCGGGATAGGGGGCAGGGACAAGGCAGAAAAGGACTACTCGGATCATTTTTAAGATGGGACAGTAGCCACAGAGGAACAGAGTAAGAATCTAAATGAAGTAAAGCAGTACGGGCGTACATTTCTTTACACAGTGTTCTACTTAAGGGCACAGGAAAAGTTACAGAATGACGAGAGAGGTGAGCAAGGAAATTTGCAGGGTGGCTGTTTTGAACTCACTACTGGTTTAGTTTAGAGGAGGTCTAATCACCTGGACGTGGAGTATGACGATCTAAATACTTACAACTTTCATAGTGCTAGAAATCTTAATCAGGCAAATGTTTTTCACACTTGTTCTTGTAACAACACTTGACTTGCTTCTGGCAGAAAAGACAGGACTGTGGTCGCCAGCCTAAAAGATTGATGAGAAATTTAACCTCCTGTGACAAAAAATCAGCACTAAGGGCTTTGAAGAAGTTTTTACTTAGACGTCTTGGCAATATCAACGTCTTGACATGCAAAACTCTGACAACTACTAACAAGACAATAGACACTGAGCAGAACAATCAATATAAAACAAACAATTGACTTTAGTGCATGTAAACAGTTACGACAGTTTCTTCCTTTTTTTTTTTTTTTTTTTTTTTTTTTAGACAGACAAGGGGAGGGTTTCCTGTGATAGGATCAGTCAGATAACTGCCTGGCCCCTCCCCCTGAGGGGACTTGGGCTCCTCTTAGCATTGGCAGGCCGGTATAAACTTCCGGCTCAGATCAAGCTATGCCTGATGCTGCCTTAAGCCTTATGGGGTCGCCACAGAACCGCAGGTGAGGTGAGGGCCTACTTGAACTCCGTAGCTTTCGCCGTGGAGCTACAAACTGGAGGACAAGCGCGAGCCCTTGTCCTCCCTCACTCATTCATTATTCACACAGAGTATATAACAGTTTTTTTTTTTTCTTTCTTGGAGATTCTTCAAGAAACTTGAACAAGAGAAAGATGAGAGATAGAAACAGAGAGAGAGAGAGTGACCGGTCTGCCGGAAACCAGGACTCAGTCCTCCAGCATCCTGGGATGTGGACTGAGTCAAGGGAGGGCCCCTGTCAGGGCCACTTCCCTCCTAGAAAGAGACACAGAGGTGCCTAACAGAAAACCAGGGCTCTACCTTCTAGCGTCCTAGAGAAACATGCAGAGTCGAAAGAGGGACACCCTCATCAGGGCCGCTTCCCTCTTCCTAGAACTGAAGTCAAATCTGACCTACGTGACCTCAGGGTCAGAAGTCGAGGACTCAGAGGTGGAATTTTTATGGGCACCCACCGGGTAGTCGATCCGCTCTCCTCTGGAAGACGGTCACTTTTCGAGGACCTGAAGGTTTTTTTTTAGGTGGCACCCCCCACAAGCCGGCCGTCCTTCCGGGGGAGCCCGGCTCTCTCCTCATGGCGTTTCTCGCTGGGGCCTCCAAATGTTGTACTTGAATGAGTTGGAGAAAATGCCACACTTTCACATGAATTAAGAGTCTCCTTATTTAGCTGGTGCCTAAGAAATGGCTAACTCTTAACGTTTTCTTGGCCCCGAAGAAGGGGCTAGATTTTCTTTTATACTTCAGTTTAGAAAGGGGAAACAGGTCTAGTTAAAAGAATTTTACAGAAGTAGGCAAAAAAGTTAAAAGGATAAATTGATACAGGAAAGTAAAGAGTTCTAGGTCTAAGGGCTTTAAGACTATTACAAAGTGATAGACGTGGGGCTTTAGGCATTATCAATTGGACAAATTCCTGGGAACTGTGGATATTGCTCGCCCCACAGTATCTTATCAGTTAATTGCATTCTTAGATCTGCTAAGAGTCAGCTTACACAAGTTAAGTCCTTGAGGAAGGGGCTGCCAGTGAAAAAGCCAAGATAAAAGCTGTCCCCAGTGTTAGAGGTGGGGCCTGGTGGGAAGAGATTGAATCATGGGGGTGGATTTCTCATGAATGATTTTGCATCATCCTTTTGGTCCTGTCCTTGCAATAGTGAGTGAGTTCTTGCAAGATCGGGTTGTTTACGAGTGTGTCGCACCTCCCTCCTTACTCTCTTGCTCCCGCTTCACTTTCTGCCATCATTGTAAGTTTCCTGAGGCCTCCACAGAAGCTCAGCAGATGTCAGTGTCATGCTCCCTGTATAGCCTACAAAACTGCGAGCCAATTAAACCTCTTTTCTTTATATATTACCCAGTCTCAGGTATTTCTTTATACCATGAGAACAGCCAAATCCAGCAGCCGTAGACAATATGTAGCAAATGTGCATGGCTGTGTTTCAATAAAACTTTATTGACAAACACATGTGCAAGCAGGTCAGATTTGGCCCATAGGCCATAGTGTCCCAATCTCTGCTCTGGAATATTCTGTCCAGCCTGGATGGACATCTCTAGGTTGTTTTTTTTTTTTTTTTTTTTTTTTTTTTTTTTGAGACGAAGTCTCACTGTTGCCCAGGCTGGAGTGCAGTGGTGCAATCTTTGCTCGCCAGAACCTCTGCCTCCTGGGTTCAAGCAATTCTCCTGCCTCAGCCTCCCAAGTAGCTGGGATTACAGGCACCTGCCACCACACCTGGCTAATTTTTGTATTTTTTAATAGAAATAGGGTTTCACCATGTTGGCCAGGCTGGTCTCAAACTCCTGACATCAGGTGATCCACCCACCTCAGCCTCCCAAAATGCTGGGATTACAGGTGCCCGCCACCACACCTGGCTAATTATTGTATTTTTAGTAGAGATGTGGTTTCACTATGTTGCCCTGGCTGGTCTCGAACTCCTGATCTCAAGTGATCCACCTGCCTCGGCCTCCCAAAGTGCTGAGATTACACGTGTGAGCCACTGCAGCTGCCCTCTAGATTTTTTTTTTTGTTGACCATTGCTTATTTGGTTTGACTTTCATTTTCTTCCCCATTGTGGTAGTCATTTTCTGAATGCCTGTTAGTTTGTCCATCTCTCTCCTCTGTAGTCCCTAGAGTCAGATGAACTCCTCTGCAGGTGCAATGGTGTAACACTCTCTAGTGCTGAATTCTGAGCAGGAGAAAGAGAGCAAGAGTGACCAGTACCTTTGGAAACTCTGGCCTCCTGAGAATTTGGTGTCTCCTCTGCAAAGGTTGCATACCTGTTAACCCACAGGCAGGAGAGAGAGACAAGCCAGAATCATGATCTGTTGAGCTTGAGTTTAATATCTGATGCACAGAGATCACTGAGTTTTTTGATAAGAATTAGAGGGGGAAGAAATGGTCACAGAGAACAATTTCTATCTCCAGGTGAGGATTCAGGAGATAATTCTGTGAACAGAACTTCCTGAGAACTGAGATGCGGGAAATAGCTGGTATTAGAAGAGTGAAAATGTCAGTAATTATGGCTACGACTGTGCTCTTAGAGGCAAAAGAAGAAAATGAGACTGCCAGGCATGAATAATGAGAAATCTTTGATGGAATTAGCCATGCAGAACAGATACTAAATGCATCCTCATTCTTCTCATAGTCAAAAGTTTGTGCTTAAGCTGGATGGGAAAAAGAGAATCCCATTTCACTAAGTATAAAAGAGGGGATTTTAGAGAAGGTCTCAGAAGAAAGAGATGTGGGGGTTTGGTGAAACTCACCAGAGGCTGAACCCTCTCCAGCATAACACAGGGATTGGGAGGAGCAGGGCGGCATTAGGCCAGATGTATAGCCCAGTGCTGCTCTCTCTGGACTGGTTTGCTAGCTGAGCTCATCCATTTACATAATTTTCAGTGCCATTTCTCAGCTAATGAGTCCTGAACTTTTGTCTTGAGGCTAGAATTCTCCTTCAAACAGCAGTTTTAACACTCAACTTCTTTCTTGTTTTTTCCACTTGTCAACTCATGAACACCTCAACCTTGTTACATCCAAAGCCAAACTCATGGCTTGGAGTGGTAGGTGATGGCTGTAATCCCAGTGCTATGGGAGGCAGAGGTGGGAGGATTACTTGAGGCCAGGAGTTGGAAGCCAGCCTGGAAAACACAGTGAGACTCCCTATCTACAAAAAAAAAAAAAAAAAAAAAAAAAAAAAAAAAAAAAAAAAAAAAAGCTAGGCATGGTGATGTGCATCTGTAGGATCTGTAGTCCTGCTACATGGCACGCTGAGGCAGGAGGATCACTTGAGCCCAGGAGTTTGAGGCTGCAAAGAGTTATGATTGCACCAATGCACTCCAGCCTGGGTGACACAGCCAGAGACCCTGTCTTAAAAAAAAAAAAAAACAAAGCCAAACTCTCTTTTTCCTCCTCCTTCTCCATGGGCTCTGTCCATGCCATCTCTGTTCTGTAAATGGCACCACCCCCTGCTGAGCTGCTCAAGGTGGTCATAACTCATGTGTTGTGCTAACTCTGCTTTTGCCCTCTTCTGCAGTCAGCAAGTCCTGTGATTCTAAACTTTATCCAACTTGTCCACTCTCTGTAGCTTCACTGTCATTATCTTTGCCTAGGACACCACTATCTCAGCTGGGCTACAGCAGCCTCCTAACTGGTCTTAACTGGTACTCTGCACCTGCTCTCCATGCTCAGCAATCCATTTCCTACCTGGCAGCTTCAGTGATCTTAAGGCTTCCATTGAGTCTCATCCCTGCCTTTCCTGCCCATGGTACATAGAATAAAATCGAGACCCCGAGTCTTCTGCCTGTTCCTGCCACCTCTCCAGCCCTCTACTATCTCCTGCCCTTGGCCTACTCTATTTCAGCCACTATGGCCTCCTTTTGTTTTCTTGGACTTTCAAACCTTTTTCCACAACACGGCCTTTGCACTTGCTGCTTCAGCCTGGAATGATTTTCCCTGCACCTCCCCAAATTAGACCATCCTTCAGGTGTCAGCTAAAATGGTGCTTCCACAGACAGCTCTTCCCTGACCCCTTTATAAAGTGGACTTGCCTGCTCTTCTCCACCTTAACCTCTTATTGTTTCTTGTTGTGGGAAGTCAGGGACCCCAAATGGAGAGGGACTGGCTGGAGCCATGGCAGAGGAACATAAATGGTGAAGATTTCATGGACATTTATCAGTTCCCAAATAATACTTTTATAATTTCTTATGCCTGTCTTTAATCTCTTAATTCTGTTATATTCATAAGCTAAGGATGTACATCACCTCAGGACCACTGTGATAATTGTGTTAACTGTACAAATTGATTGTAAAACATGTGTGTTTCAACAATATGAAATCAGTGCACCTTGAAAAAGAAGAGAATAACGACAATTTTTAGGGAACAAAGGAAGACAACCATAAGGTCTGCCTGCCTGCAGGGTTGGGCAAAAAGAGCCATATGTTTCTTCTTGCAGAGAGTCTATAAACGGATGTGCAAGTAGGAGAGAGATCGCTAAATTCTTTTCCTAGCAAGGAATATTAATAGTAATACCCTGGGAAAGGAATGCATTTTTTGAAGCCCTTAATAAAAACTTGCTCATCTGAGACTCAGGGGGCATCACGGTCCTACTGATGTGTAATGTCACCCGCAGCAGCCCAGCTGTAAAATTCCTCTTTGTAGTGTCTCTCTTTATTTCTCAGCTGGCTGACACTTATGGAAAACAGAAAGAACCTACATTGAAATATTGGGGGCAGTTTCCACCTATACTTCTTTCATAGATTTACTTATTTTTTGTTTGTCCCCCTCTGTATCCTAGAAACTCCTGGAGGGCAGAGGCATGCCTGCCATCTTCATCATTGCATTACCACCACCCAACACTATCGGGGGACCTGCCCTGATAATCAGGTAGGTTCTTTTCTATTTTCCTAAGCGTCGACTGGCTTGAGAAATAAAAGGACAGAGTACAAAAGAGAGAAATTTTGAAGTTGGGTATCCGGGGGAGACAACACACATTGGTAGGATCCGTGATGCCCCACAAGCCACAAAAACCAGCAAGTTTTCATTAGGGAGTTTCAAAAGGGGAGAGAGTATATGAATAGGAGTGGGTGACAGACATCAAGTACTTAACAGGGTAATAGAATATCACAAGGCAAGTGGAGACAGGGTGAGATCACAGGACCACAGGATGGAAGTGAAATTAAAATTGCTAATAAAGTTTTGGCACCATTGTCATTGATAACATCTTATGAGGAGACAGGGTTTTGAGATCAACCCGTCTGACCAAAGTTTATTAGGCGGGAATTTTCTCTTCCTAATAAGCCTGGGAGTGCTGTGGGAGACTGGAGTTTATTTCACCTCTGCAATCTCGACCATAAGTGACAGGTAAGCCCCGGGGGGCCAGTTCAGAGACCTACCCCTAGGTGCGCATTCTCTTTCTCAGGGACGTTCCATGCTGAGAAAAGGAATTCAGCGATATTTCTCCCATTTGCTTTTGAAAGAAGAGAAATATGGTTCTGTTCTGCCTGGCTCACCAGCGGTCAGAGTTTAAGGTTATCTCTCTAATTCCCTGAACAATTGCTGTTATCCTGTTCTTTTTTCAGGGTGCCCACATTTCATATTGCTCAAACACACATGATGTACAATTTATGTACTTAACGCAATTATTACAGGTCCTGAGACGATATACATCCTTCTCGACTGACAGGATTAAGAGATTAAAGTAATGACAGGCATAGGAAATCACAAGGGTATTGATTGGGGAAGTGATAAGTGTCCATGAAATCTTCACAATTTATGTTTAGAGATTGCAGTAAAGACAGGCATAAGAAATTAAAAAAGTATTAATTTGGGGAACTAATAAATGTCCATAAAATCTTCATAATCCACGTTCTTCTGTCATGGCTTCAGCCGGTCCCTCTGTTTGGGGTCCCGACTTCCCGCAACATCTCTCCCTTTCTTTTTATATAAATGTGCCATGGCGATGAAGGCTTGTTCATTCTCTCGATTTTGACACAGGATTATTTGACTGGTACGGCACACTAAAAGCAAGCCGATGAAGCAGAGAAACATAATTCCAGAATTTACTACAGTGGAGCCCCCAATAGACTTAATCCAAGTTCTGGGGTTTAATCCATAAAGATTTTCTGCCACCTGATCTAACGCCTGAGCTCCAGGCACGATGGATAAGTGAGCTTGGGAGGCTTCAAAAATTTGTTTTTTTTTTTAATTTAGTTGTTTTCAATGATAAATTATATTTTCTACCTAGAAGATGTCCTTTGACCATTTCCCATGAATGATCAGTCTCGTTGTAGGAATAGGGGTGATGCAGAAATCCAAAGTATTCCAATCGCACTGCATTTGCATGCGATGTTCTAGACTCACTACCCGATCTCCAAGCCAAATAACAGACTGTCTTAAATCATTAATTTGATTTGCCAATTTTTGATCGATGCCTTGTTGAGAATTCCACATTTGGGTGGAATTGGCTTGCCAATCATTAACAAAATGAGCCGTTTGAATAGACTGGTGTAATGCCATTCCAGCAGTGGTGGCCATTGCAGTGACTGTAATTAGGCCCATGATAACAGCGATTAAAGTGAAAACAAATATCTTAGGTTCTTTTAGAATTCGTTGTACCAATTCATTAATTAAATGTATTGAGGGGGAGGATTCCCAAGGTCTAGGTAAAGTTATCGGAATCCAGATTCCTTCTCGAGCTCAAACCAACATTACACTTTTCCTGGAGTCAAAGTGGGAGTTAATACAAGTGTATAGATGACAACTGATGCATTGGACAATTTGATTATTCATCCAAATTTTGATATTTCCTACCAATATCATGTAAGGAGGCTTAACACAACTCTGTATGGGAACAGTCAGGTTGGAGGTAAGTAAAGCAGAATATCTGGGTCTACGTTGATACTGAGAGAGTGGGACGGTAGTGGGAACAACAGTCAAAATAGTTTTTCCTTCCCATACTCGCAGTCCAGCCATGGCAATAGCCAATTTCCAAAGTTCTGGGTGTTCTGGGCTCAGAATAGGGAGTATCATAGGATGCCTGGTGGGGGCGGGGGTAATGCCTTTATCTTCCCATTTTAAGGGAAAGAATGAGCTGATCCTTGAATGATGATTCTCTTTCTCCTGATAAGAAATAAAATAAGTAGCCTCCAGGCATTCCCTTCCACAGAGGAGCAATTGTTTTTTAAATAGCCCTATGGTGCCCAGTCTATTACTAAACCATATGAGTCATTTTTTAATATTACTGCATGTGAGTTAACACAATCTTCCCAAATTAAAGTTTTAGATGGTCCCTCAAAATGTTTAGGGCATGGTTTTCCTGCAGGTTTATATTGAAAGTATGGGGTACCTCCCATTACTCCTCCTTTCATTTGTTGTAAAGGAGAAAGGGAGAGGCCAGAGGCCAAATGTCCCATTTTATCTGTAGCTGATGTTTCTGAAAGATAAGCAGCCCAGAACTGAGTTTCTAGATGGATGCAACCAGGTGCATGTCCGAGGCACAGAGGTGGGTATTTATAACCCATGGTAACATTAAATGCAGTGCCTTCTTCTCCTGGTTGTGCGAGGCAAGGGTCGTCTATGGCTCCAGGCATCCACACACTATCGTTAGTGTAGATTTCTGCGGGAGCATCTATCCGGGTGAGAGAGCGAATAAGTGGAGGAAAAGACACCTAAGCCCAAGAAGAATAATTATGTGTAGCAGGTAAATCAGTGTGAGAGGAAACTGGTGAGACAGAAAGTATAAGGAGGAGAATCATTAAATAAAACCTAGTGTAAGCGAGATGGAGTGCTGAAGGAGAAAGAGAAGAAGAGTGGGATGTTATTTTCAGGCTAATAGAAATGGTGAGATATTTAGGTTTGTAAGGAGAAAAAGAAAGGTAATCAGGATAAGTGTGATTAGTTAGATGGGTCTCCACTGTCATCAGGGAGGATTGATTTACACCCATTGTGATTTGGTGTGCCTGTTTCTGAGGAGTCGGCACAGATCTCACCACATCTGAAGGCAGTCTCTGACACAGACGTCTCTTCACTGTGGTTTTGATTGTCAGTATTCACAAGAAGCTTGAGTCTTCTGGTGGGCACCCAGACAGGGGATTGATGATCTCCTGGTGAAACACAAGCATATCCTCTTCCCCACGTTAAGTAGAATAAGAGACAATATTTAAAGGTTTGGGGAAATCCTGTAAGACAGTAATCACAGCAATTAACTCCGCATTTTGAAGAGAAGTATAAGAGGTAGAAAGAAGTTTGTCTGCAGGACCTGTATAGCCAGCATTGCCATTACCAGAGCCATCAGTGAATACTGTAACGGCCTCAGGAATGGGTTGATTTTTGGTTAATCGAGGAACCACCCAAGACGTTATTTTTATAAAATCAAACAATTTGTTTTTTTGGATAATGATCGTCAATAACACCAATAAAATCAGCCAAGTGAATTTGCCACAGTACAGAATGTTGAAAGGCAGCTTGAACTTCGAGCTGATTTAAAGGAACTACAATTACACTTGGATCAAATCCAGAAAATTGAAGTATTCTGCACCGAACCTGTCCAATTAATATGGCTATTTGGTCTAGATAAAGTTTTTGACACAGAATGAGGAAGAAAACACCATTCCACTAAATCATTATGTTGAACTATTAGTCCAGTAGGAGAGTGTAATGAAGCAAAAACCAGAAGCTGAAAAGGCTGAAATGTCTGTACTCTAGATAACTGGGCAGTCTGGATTTTTTCCTCTACAAATTCCAGATCCAGTAAAGCCTCAGGGGTCAAAGTCCTAGGGCTGCGGAGATCAGAATCTCCCCGCAGCATAGAGAACAAGTTAGACAGGGTATAGGTCGGAATGCCTAAAGTAGGTCTTAAATAATTAATGTTACCCAAAAGTTTTTGGAAGTCATTTAAAGTTTTTAAAGAATCTCTCCTAATTTGAACTTTTTGAGGTTGAATACATTGTTTATCGACCACCATTCCTAAATATTGAACAGGAGTGGTCTGTTGAATTTTATCCTGAGCAATGCGTAATCCAGCCTCTGTAACACAGCGGTTCAAAATTTGGTAACAGTCAATTAATTTTTTATCAGTGGGGGCAGAAATTAAAATATCATCAATATAATGAAGAATATAGGCCTCGGGAAATCGGGCTCAAACTGGTGAAAGCACTTGTCCAACATAAAGCTGGCAGATTGTAGGGCTATTTAGCATTCCCTGAGGAAGTACTTTCCATTGATAACGAGCTACAGGCTCCTGATTATTGATAGATGGTACAGTAAAAGCAAATTTTTCACAATCCGATTTATGTAAAGCGATATGAAAAAAAAAACTCTTTAAGATCAATAACTATGAGAGGCCAATCTTTAGGTATTAAAGCAGGGGCAGGCATGCCGGGTTGGACGGCCCCCATAGGTTTAATTACAGCATTAATGGCCCTTAAATCGGTTACTATCCGCCATTTGCCTGATTTCTTTTTTACTAGAAACAGGAGAATTCCAAGGGGAAAGAGAAGGTTCCACATTTCCAAGTTGTAACTGCTCAGAAACCAATTGATTTAAAGCCTCCAGTTTTTCTTTAGAAAGCGGCCCCTGCTGAATCCCAGGGCCACTTGTCTTATCTCCTTTGTTTAAAAGGATATTAGGTAGTAAAAGCAATTGAGCTTGTTGAAGAGTAGTAAAAGAAACAGGAGCTTGGGCTGGGGAGTGTAGTTTATCCCAAGCTCTCATACACACTTTTGTTACTTGTTCTGTGGTAAGAGTATCAAAGTTTAATTGGGCATAAGCATCAGAGAAACTATCGGAGCCTGTGAGCTGAGCCTGAGTAATTAGAATGCCATTACTCCGATTTAGCTGAGCCTGTAAACAGGCCTCCTCCTACCACCAGGCTGAGATGGACTTAGAACAGCTTTTTGCCAAAAGATCACAGTCTAAAGGAAGCAAAACGACCTCAGTATAAAAAGTTTGCAATACCATTTGAACATAAGGAAAAGTAGGACCATACTGAGTACAAGCATCCTTAAATTGTTTTTAAAAAGGTAAGATTGAGCGGCGCCTATCGATGCAGACTGGCTGAGGAACTGAAACGACAGGAGGGTGAGGGGCTGTAGTGGATGGGGGAGGGCCTGGAGAATGACAGGTAAATTGTAGTTTGGTCCCAGAGCCATTATTTGATGCTGGAGGTTTGAAGAGAGAAGAATTAGCATATTTATGGTACCGGGCTTTTTGAGTCACAGCCGCAGGAGTTTGAAGTACCGGCTTTTCGTGGGAAGAAGTAAGAAAAGTAGGGGGTAACTTTAAGCCAAAGTTACCAGAGTTAGAAATCGAATTTTCAGAATCGTTAGGGAGGGGAGGAGTAGCTGAAGGGAGAGTCTGAACGAAGGCCATGTGGGAGAGGAAGGTTGAGAAAAAGGCAGAGAAACTGAGGAAAAGGCAGAAAACTGCGGCAACTGCAGGGGGTCAGGAGATTGGCAAGCCACGAAGATGTCACGCACCAAGCACCCCAAACAGTGATGGGCACATAATACCCGGCCGAGATCAGTTTTCGGAATGCCTTACGGACACAATCACACAATTTTATATACACCGTTCCTTTTTCAGGAAACCAAGAACAGTATTTTTCTACTGCCCTGAATAGAGTGATCATATTTTTCATGGTTACCGGTTTTAACAGGAGTTTGTTAGATTACACATGACCCACAGTTAACCCAGACCTTACACAGATTACTCACCACTCATCGGGGAGTTGAACACGCTTATCTGTGGACCAAGCCGATTGACGTTTCACCGCACCTACCAAACGGAATCCGGTTCCCTCATGCACTTAGGAAAAAAGAAAGACCACGTGGGCGCCAGATATCGGGGGACCTCCCCCGATAATCACGTAGGTTCTTTTCTATTTTCCTAAGCGTCGACTGGCTTGAGAAATAAAAGGACAGAGTACAAAAGAGAGAAATTGTAAAGCTGGGCATCTGGGGGAGACATCACACATTGGTAGGATCCGTGATGTCCCACAAGCCACAAAAACCAGCAAGTTTTTATTAGGGAGTTTCAAAAGGGGAGGGAGTATATGAATAGGTGTGGGTGACAGACATCAAGTACTTAACAGGGTAATAGAATATCACAAGGCAAGTGGAGACAGGGCCAGACCACAGGACGGAAGTGAAATTAAAATTGCTAATGAAGTTTTGGCACCATTGTCATTGATAACATCTTATGAGGAGACAGGGTTTTGAGATCAACCCGTCTGACCAAAGTTTATTAGGCGGGAATTTTCTCTTCCTAATAAGCCTGGGAGTGCTATGGGAGACTGGAGTTTATTTCACCTCTGCAATCTCGACCATAAGAGACAGGTACGCCCCGGGGGGCCAGTTCAGAGACCTACCCCTAGGTGCGCATTCTCTTTCTCAGGGACGTTCCATGCTGAGAAAAGGAATTCAGCGATATTTCTCCCATTTGCTTTTGAAAGAAGAGAAATATGGTTCTGTTCTGCCTGGCTCACCAGCGGTCAGAGTTTAAGGTTATCTCTCTAATTCCCTGAACAATTGCTGTTATCCTGTTCTTTTTTCAGGGTGCCCACATTTCATATTGCTCAAACACACATGATGTACAATTTATGTACTTAACGCAATTATTACAGGTCCTGAGACGATATACATCCTTCTCGACTGACAGGATTAAGAGATTAAAGTAATGATAGGCATAGGAAATCACAAGGGTATTGATTGGGGAAGTGATAAGTGTCCATGAAATCTTCACAATTTATGTTTAGAGATTGCAGTAAAGACAGGCATAAGAAATTAAAAAAGTATTAATTTGGGGAACTAATAAATGTCCATAAAATCTTCATAATCCACGTTCTTCTGTCATGGCTTCAGCTGGTCCCTCCATTTGGGGTCCCTGACTTCCCGCAACACAGCACAGTGCCTGGCACAAAAGAGTTGCTCAATAAATAAATCAGGATGAATAGATAAATACACGGATAGGCACTTTGAGCTACAGATGAGCTTAAATACTTTGTTTTTCTTAGTCAAACATGTGCAATGAAGCATGTGATAAATGTTATGATGAGCATACCTGTGTCTTGCCTGATGTTCTTTGCAATCACTAAATGAAGTCAATTGTGCCTGTTTTGACAGTTCTATTTTCAACCTAATGATCTGTTTATTTTAACTTCTGGCTGTTGGCTTTGTTTGGGTTTTTTAGCCTGACAAAGTGGTAGATATTGGTATTTGCTCTTTTGTTTAAATGTCACGAACTTTAAAAATGCCTTTGCTTTTGGTAAGAAACCCTAGTTAGGACACCCTAGCGGTCAGGATGATTTGGGTTCTGGTGCAGTAACAACAAACCCCAAATCTCAGTGGCCTCATGCAGTGAGGTATTTGTTTGTTTGTTTTTGAGACAGGGTCTCACTCTGTCACCCAGACTAGAGTGCAGTGGTGCAATCTCAGCTCACTGCAACCTCTGCCTCCCAGACTCAAGTGATTCTCCTGCCTCCTGAGTAGCTGGGATTACAGGCCCATGCCACCACTGTCTGGCTAATCTTTGTACTTAGTAGAGACAGGATTTCACCCTGTTAGCCAGGTTGGTCTTGAACTCCTGACCTCAAATGATCCACCCACCTTGGCCTCCCAAAGTGCTGGGATGACAGGCATGAGCCACCATGCCTGGCCACAGTGAGGCTTATTCTTGGTCACGTTGCATGTCTGGGCTGTGTTAGGGCATTCTGGGGTGGTCTGTTCATTGTGTTCACTCAGGGATCCAGGCTGACAAAAGCCCCATCTCTGCATGTGTCCTTGATCTCCACTTCAGGGCAAAGGGAATGTGGTGGATCATAGAGCAACCTCTTAACACTTCCACCTGGAGGTGACTCAAGTTGCTGCTGCTCATGGTTCATTGGACAAAACGGATCACAGAGTCATGGGCAACTTCTCTGTGCCTGGAAGGGGAAACAAAATATGAATAGCCACATTGATTTTCCCTAGATATTACACAGAAGGCCTCATTTAAACACAGTTACTTATTTGTGTTTTGAAGCTAATTGTAGTCCATCAAACTTCACAGAAGATATGTGCACTTCCAAGCTATTATTAAGCACAATTCTTTTTTTTTTTTTTTTTTTTTTTTGAGACAGAGTCTCACTCTCTTGTCCAGGCTGGAGTGCAGTGGCATGATCATGGATCGCTGCAACTTCTGCCTCCTGAGTTCAAGTGATTTTCATGCGTCAGCCTCCCAAAATGCTGGGATTACAGACACCCACCACCACGCCTGGCTAAGTTTTGTATTTTTAGTAGAGATGGGGTTTCACCATGTTGGCCTGGCTGGTCTGGAACTCCTGACCTCAGGTGATCCACCTGCCTCGGCCTCCCAAAGTGCTGAGATGACAGGCGTGAGCCGCCGCACCCGGCCTTGAGTACGATTTTTGATTTGGAAGGTCAGAGTTAGGGTTTTAGTCTGAGGACTGTATGATGTGAAGGTGAAAAGCAGAGCTTGGCTGTGAGTTTGCTGGGATTCCTGTGCTGCTTCTACAGCTCTTTGGCTGTGTGACCATCACTTTTGGCAAGTTCCTTTACCTTTCTATGTGTTGGTTTCCTCATCAATAAAATGGAAAAACTAATCATAATCATAATAGCTATTGGTGTTGGGATAGCCCAGTGGTTGACACATAAGGACTCAAACATACATTTTTTTTTTTTTTTTTTTGAGACGGAGTCTTGCTCTGTTGCCAGGCTGTAGTGCAGTGGTGCAATCTCGGCTCACTGCAACCTCTGCCTCCTGGGTTCAAGCGATTCTCCTGCCTCAGCCTCCCGAGTAGCTGGGATTACAGGCGCCTGCTACCACTCCCAGTTAATTTTTGTATTTTTAGTAGAGACGGGGTTTCACTATGTTGTCCAGGATGCTCTCGATCTCTTGACCTCATGATCCGCCCACCTCAGCCTCCCAAAGTGCTGGGATTACAGGTATGAACCACCGTGCCCAGCTCAAAAATACTATTATTAATTTTGGGGGGCAGTTATTATATTTTGTGAAAATCAGAGTTCAGTACCTTGTAACACTGAGTTGGGATCTATCCCTGAAGGAACAGGCTTCTAAAGAGGAAGGCATCGAGAGAGGGGCAAAATTTTAGTGGACGCTGTAATGACTTTAGGTATATGGACCTGGGGCAGAGTTCTAGCTGGGGCCACCAGGTAGCAAGGTGGACTTTGCTAAATTCTATCACTTTCCTGGGCCTCAGACTCACTTGTTACAAATGGGATTAAAGCATCCCTCTTTCAGGGCTAAGATAAAGATGATTAAGTAAGAGGGAATGAAAGCAACTTCCATCAATGGTCAAAAGTATTCATTTAACTTTTTTTTTTTTTTTTTTTTTGAGATGGAGTCTCTCTCTGTTGCCCAGGTTGGAGTGCAGTGGCATGGTCCCGGGTCACTGCAACCTCCACCTCCTGGGTTCAAGTGATTCCCTTGCCTCAGCCTCCTGAGTAGCTGGGACTACAGGTGCATGCCACCACGCCTGGCTAATTTTTGTATTTTTAGTAGAGACGGGGTTTTACCATGTTGGCCAGGATGGTCTCGACCTCCTGACCTTGTGATCCACCCACCTTAGCCTCCCAAAGTGTTGGGATTGCAGGCATGAGCCACCATGCCTGGCCCATTTAACTTCTATATTATTTTCCTGTTGGTGGATTTACCAGTGCAAACTGAGCAGCTTAAAACACCATCCAGTTATTATCTGTTTCCATGAGCCAAGGCTCTGGGCAGGGTTTAACTGGATCTTCTATTCCGGGTCACAATACTGCAACCAGAGTGTCAGCTGGGGTCTCATCAGATGCTCAGTGTCCTCTTCCAAGCTTATTCAGTTTGTGGACTGAATTCAATTTCTTGCAATTGTAGAACGAAGGCCCTCAGCTCCTAGAGCTGCCACCTCCAAAGACAGTTCACAGCATGGCCATTTTTGTCTCCTTGGAGGCTAAGGGTTGAATCTCTGAAACTTCACCTTTAAAAGACTCACCTGATTAGGTCTGGCACACCTAAGATCATCCTGCTTTGGATGAACTCAAAGTCAGCTGAGCAAATGTGCTTAACAAAGCAAGTGTGACCATAATCACATTTGCAAAATTCCTTCCCCTTGGCCAAATCACAAGCTCTGCACACACTCAAGAAGAGATGATACAGGGAGCAGATATAAGGGAGTGGTTCTCTTGGGGGCTGTCCTAGAACTCTGCCCATTACAACTTCCTTCCTCGAGGAACAGCAGGCCTGGGGAGAGATGATCACGGATGAGAGCAGCCCACAGGTTGTGAGCGCCAGGTGCTGGAGTAGGATGCAGGAGGCTGACAAGCAAGTATGAAAAGCCTTCACTGGGCTGGGTGGAGTGGCTCACACCTGTAATCCCAACACTATGGGAGGTCGAGGTGGGCGGATCACGAGGTCAAGAGATCGAGACTATCCTGGCCAACCAACATGGGGAAACCCCGTCTCTACTAAAAACACAAAAAATAGCTGGGAGTGGTGGCACACGTCTCTAACAACCCAGCTCCCCAAGTAGCAATTCCTGTCCCTTTTAAGGGCTCACAACCCTAAGGGGGTCCGCGTAAGCGGGTCGTGATCATGAGAGTCGTGATCGATTGACCAAGAAGGGAGTACGTGACTGGGGGCTGCATTCAGCAAACCCCATCTCTACTAAAATAGCAAAATTCAGCAAAGTCTCAGGATAAAAATCAATGTGCAAACATCACAAGCATTCGTATACACCAATAACAAACAGAGAGCCAAATCATGAGTGAACTCCCATTCACAATTGCTTCAAAGAGAATAAAATACCTAGGAATCCAACTTACAAGGGATGTGAAGGACCTCTTCAAGGAGAACTACAAACCACTGCTCAAAGAAATAAAAGAGGATACAAACAAATGGAAGAACATTCCATGCTCATGGGTAGGAAGAATCAATATCATGAAAATGGCCATACTGTCCAAGGTAATTTATAGTTTCAGTGCCATCCCCATCAAGCTACCAATGACTTTCTTCACAGAATTGGAAAAAAACTACTTAAGTTCATATGGAACCAAAAAAGAGCTGGCATTACCAAGTCAATCCTAAGCCAAAAGAACAAAACCGGAGGCATCACGCTACCTGACTTCAAACTATACTACAAGGTACAGTAACCAAAACAGCATGGTACTGGTACCAAAACAGAGATATAGACCCATGGAACAGAACAGAGCCCTCAGAAATAATGCCGCTTTATCTACAACTATCTGATCTTTGACAAACCTGACAAAAACAAGAAATGGGGAAAGGATTCCCTATTTAATAAATGGTGCTGGAAAAACTGGCTAGCCATATGTAGAAAGCTGAATCTGGATCTCTTCCTTACACCTTATACAAAAATCAATTCAAGATGGATTAAAGACTTAAATGTTAGACCTAAAACCATAAAAATCCTAGAAGAAAACCTAGGCAATACCATTCAGGACATAGGCATGGGCAAGGACTTCATGTCTAAAACACCAAAAGCAATGGCAACAAAAGCCAAAATTGACAAATGGGACCTAATTAAACTCAAGAGCTTCTGCACGGCAAAAGAAACTACCATCAGAGTGAACAGGTAACCTACAGAATGGGAGAAAATTTTTGCAATCAACTCATCTGACAAAGGGACCAATGACTTTCTTATAACCAAGAGAATATGGCAGAGGTGATGGGATGTAGTGATTATGTTAGATAGGATGTTAAGTTGTCTTGCTAGGAGGTTATCTTGCTGGCTTTGAAGATGTGAGCTGCCATGTCATGAGTGGCCAGATGGAGAGGCCCATGTGGCAAGAAGCTGAGGACAGCAAGAACCTGGGGCCCTGAGTCCAGCAGCCTGCAAGGAACTGAATGCTGCCAACAACCAGATGAGCCTGGAAGCAGATCAATCACCAGTCAAGCCTCCAGATGAGAACTGAGCCCTGGCTGACATTATGGTTGTAGCCTTGCACTGAACCCAGCTGAGTCACGCCTGGATTCCTGACCCACAGAAACCACATAGTGATAACTGTGTGCTGTCTCAAGCCACAAAGTTTGCAGTAATATTGTTGCACAGCAATAGATAACTAATATGAAAACTGTCCTACATCATGTACATTACTGAGTGAAATGTAGAACCTGGATTTAAGCTCTGATTTCAGAGTTGTGGTTTCAGTCTCCCCAGGGAGACCTGTCCTGGGAGACAGTTATGCCAGGCTGTGATGCTGTGATGATTGTTCTCTTCCTACCCAGAAGCTTTCAATAGGCATGTCAAGCATGTGACCCCAGCTACATATACCAAATATATTTCTGACAAATGACAGGACATCATGAGCTTTCTTGTTTTACTGAGAGCTCCATAAAGGAAGGATCATCTCTGTCTCTTTGTTTTTTTTTTTTTGTTGTTGTTTGTTTTTTAAGAGTCTCACTCTCACCCAGGCTGGGGTGTAGTGGTGCGATCTCGGCTCACTGCAGTCTCTGCCTCCTGGGCTCAAGGGATTCTCCAGCCTCAGCCTCCTGAGTAGCTGGGATCAAAGGTGTGCATCACCGCACCCAGCTAATTTCATATTTTTGGTAGAGACGGGGTTTACTCATGTTGGCCAGGCAGATCTTGAACTCCTGGCCTCAAGCGATTCGCCTACCTCGGCCTTCCAAAGTGCTGGGATTACAGGCATGAGCCAATGCACCTGGCCTGTCTTTTTTATGTTATGTCCATGTGAAACAGCCCAGTGGTCAGCACACAAAGGGGTCCAAATGTGAAAGGAAAGGGCAAACACGGGAAACCTAGGGGTGTTCAGAAATAGTTCCCAGGTCATTGCCTGTTTCAATATGTACAGTCCTGGGCCACACGCACAAGATTCTGTCTTAGCAGGTCAGAGTTAGAGATGGGGAGCTACCTGGTTACGAGAGATCCCAGTGCATTTTGAGGCAGCTGGTTGTTAAGACTGCATTGTAAAAATTACAACCCAAAGATGTGAACGGAAACAGAAAGACATTGGCAGGCTAGAAAACAACACAAGTAAAACATGAACAAGTTCATTCCAGAAGGAGATTCTCAACCACAGCTGCACATCAGAATCACCTGGGGAGATTTTAAAACCCCCAATGCCCGGGCTCTGCAGCCCAGATCAATTATTAAAGAATCTCTTGGGGATGAAACATGGGCATCAGTATTTTTGGTTTGTGTGTGTGTGTGTGTGGTTTTTTTTTTTTTTTTTTTTTGAGATGGAATCTTGTTCTGTCACCCAGGCTGAAGTGCAGTGGTGCGATCTCAGCTCACTGCTACCTCTGCCTCCCGGGTTCAACCCATTTTCCTACCTCAGCCTCCCAAGTAGCTGGGATCACAGGTGTGCACCGCCACGCCTGGCTAATTTTTGTATTTTTAATAGAGATAGGGTTTCACCGTGCTGCCCAGGCAGGTCTCGAACTCCCAGCCTCAGGTGATCTGCCCACCTTGGCCTCACACAGTGCTGGGATTACAGGCATGAGCCATTGCTCCTAGCAGTATTTTTTTAATGAGGCAAAATTCACATAACATACAAGTCCCTGTATGAAACCATACACTTCAGTATCATTAAATACATTCAGAATATTAAGCAATCATCATCTCTGTCTAGTTCCAAAACATTTTCATTAACACCCCCGCCCCCCAAAAAAATAACCCTGTATCCATCAAGCATTCTCCATCCCCTCCCCTTTCCCCCAGCTCCTGGCAACCACTTACCTGCTTTCTGCCTCTATAGATTTGCCTATTCTGGGCCTTTCACATAAATGGAATCATGCAATATATATAATAACCAAAAGGTAGCAACAACCAAGATGGCCATTTGGTTGACGAATGAACAAACAATATGTGCGGTATCCATACAATGGAAATATTGGTGCCTACTACATGTGGATGGACCCTGGAAACATCATGCTAAGTGAGAGAGAGCCTTGGTATTGTCTCTTCTCCCCAGGAGATTCCAAGATGCAGCCAAGGTTGAGACCCACTGACAAGCAATGGATACGATCGGGTGCAGATGAAATAAGGCAGCCAGGGGCAGGAGGGACGTCTCATTGAAGACGACTATTTGTGGATGCCTAGCAGGGGTGGGGATGAGGGATGATAACAGCAACCCCAATCCCAACACTGCGTGACCGATTTTATCTTCAGCCAGCTGATACGCCTCATGGGGTTTGGACACAGGACAACTCTGCCTCCCAGGTTCAAGCAATAACACCTGCCTCAACCTCTTAAGTAGCTGGGATTACTGGCATGTACCACCACGCCTGGCTAATTTTTGTATTTTTAGTAGAAACGAAGTCTCGTCATGTTGCCCAGGTTGGTCTCGAACTTCTGGCCTTAAATGATCCACCCACTTCAGCCTCCCATAGTACTGGGATTACAGGCATGAGCCACAGTGGCAGCCTCCAAATTGTATTTGAAGTTTGACTTTCCACCTCCAGAAAATCCAACCTTTTCCCAAGTCACAGTGGGACACCCCGGAGATAATTTGAGAGAAATATGCTTTTAAAAACAACTCAAGGCCAGGCGCAGTGGCTCACGCCTGTAATCCTAGCACTTTGGGAAGCCGAGGCGGACAGATCACGAGGTCAGGAGATCAAGACCATCCTGGCCAACATGGTGAAACCCCGTGTCTACTAAAAATACAAAAAATTAGCCGGGCATGGTGGCACATGCCTGAAAGCCCAGCTACTAGGGAGGCTGAGGCAGGAGAATCGCTTGAACCAGGGAGTCAGAGGTTGCAGTGAGCCGAGATCGCACCACTGCACTCCAGCCTGGCGACAGAGAGAGATTCCGTCTCAAAATAGATAAATAAAACCCTCCGATATGAACACCAAACTAGAATCATTCCACTGATTTCCCTCCGCCAATCAGGGGGAGTTATGGTGATGGTGCATGAGTGTCTATTTGCATTGAGTCTTAATGGAAAAAAAGGTTGTGTCACTCAAAGGAAAAACAAATCACAGCCCAGACTGGAGCTGTGGATTAATAACATGGCTGAGTGTTGGTACAGGCTTTCCACAGCAATATTAAAACTGAAAAAATCAGCAATGAAGCTCCCAGCCACATTTCTGCCAAATGATTTGGGGGAAAACAACAGAGGCACTCCTCAACTTTTCCTTCGCTGCACAAAGTGGGTTTGGCTGGAAATGCCAAGTGTACTTGTTGCTAGGATCTTTCAAATGAAAGCAAGCTGGGAGTCAACCTCCTGCAGCCGCAGGCCAGAAATGGGTTTAGACCAAACTAGTATAGTAACACTGGTGCACATCGAAACAGATTTAACTCCCTCCCAGCAATCCAGATTAATTTAATATGCTTTCTTATTGGCATTCTGCATTTTTCATTAAAGCAAATAAACATCCATCCCTCTGTGATAAGTTAGGGCAAAAAAAAAAAAAAATTCATATGTTTAGGTCATAGGGAAGGAGGAGTTGTTGGCTGTTAAAAAAATACTGCAAATGGCCTTTGAAAGTCTAGACATCTTCATCATAAACACAAACATTCCTCTTCACAAAGGGACTTCAAGTAACCTTAGGCTGGAGGGCCCACTTGAGTATGTTTTTCTTCTCATTCTTTCTTACCTTCCCTCCAGCCAACCCAACCCACATTCAGTGACCAAGTCACGTGGGTTTTACCTCCTAAATCTTTTCAGATCCGTTCACTGCTCAGCCACTCTCCTGACACCACCATAAACCAAGCCACCATCACCTCCAGCTGTTTGACTGCAAAGGCCTCCTCATTGGCCTCTGTCTTCCCCTGGCCCTGTGACAATCTGCACTCCTCACAGGGACCAAAGCGATCACTTCAGAAGGTGCATCCAAACCGATCACTCGCTTTCAATGGCTCCCTCTGCTGTGTGGGTTGACAACGATAAAAGCTCGGCCGGGCGCGGTGGCTCACGCCTGTAATCCCAGCACTTTGGGAGGCCAAGGCGGTCGGATCATGACATGAGGAGATCCAGACCATTCTCCCTAACACGGTGAAACCCCGTATCTACTAAAAATACAAAAATTTTAGCTGGGCGTGGTGGCGGGCGCCTGTAGTCTCAGCTACTTGGGAGACTGAGGCAGGAGAATGGCGTGAACGCGGAAGGTGGAGCTTGCAGTGAGCCGAGATCGCGCCACTGCACTCCGGCCTGGGCGACAGAGTGAGACTCCATCTCAAAAAAAAAAAAAAAAAAAAAAGATAAAAGGTCACCTTTACTGAGCACACCCTATCTCAGTCCATCCCTACATCAGCCCTTTATTTCACCAGTGGGGAAGCTGGGACACAGAGTAGTTAGGTGGGATGCCCAAGGTGGGACCACTCGTGTGAAGTTTCCACACCCTAATGTGAGACCCTCCATGACCTAGCCCCTCTCTTTCTCCAGCCTCATTTCCTGATTCTCTCGCTTGGCCTGCAGGCTTCAGCCACACAAACTTCTTTAAAGTCCCTTAAATCTGGCTGAGCGCAGTGGCTCACACCTGTAATCTCAGCACTTTGGGAAGCTGAGGCGGCTGGATCACCTGAGATCAGGAGTTCGAGACCAGCCTGGTCAACATGGTGGAACCCCATCTCTACTAAATATCCCAAAATTAGACAGGTGTGGTGGATGGCACCTGTAATCCCAGCTACTCGGGAGACTGAGGCAGGAAAATCGCTTGGACTCGGGAGGCACAGGTTGCCATGAGCCAAGATCGCACCACTCCACCCAAGCCTGGGCGTCAAGAGTGAAAGTCCGTCTCAAAAAAAAAAGTCCCTTAAATCTGCTCTATGCCTATCAACCTCAGGGACTTCACTATGCTGTTTCTCACCCTGAAATGCTGTTCCTCATTTCTCTACATAGTGAACTCATCCCACCCTCTAGGCCTCTCCTTAAGTGTCATCACTTCAAGGAAGATTTTACTTTTTTAATATAACTATTAAAATATAATTCAGGTACCGTATGATTTGCCCATTTAAAGTGAACAAATCAATGGTTTCAGTGCATTCACAGAGCTCGGCAACCACCATCATGATCAATTTTCAAACATTTTCATCACCCCAAAAAGAAACCCTGTATCCATGAGCAGGTTCCTGCCATTTCCTCCTCCCACTAAGCCCTGACAATCTACTTTTTTTTGAGATAGAGTATCTGTCACAGGCTGGAGTGCAGTGGCACAATCTCGGCTCACTGCAACCTCCGCCTCCCGGGTTCAAGCAATTCTCCTGCCTCCAGAGTAGCTGGGATTACAGGGATGTGCCACCACGCCCATCTAATTTTGTATTTTTAGTAGAGGCAGGGTTTCTCTCTTCATAGATTTGCGTGTTCTGGACATTTCATATAAATGACATCTTAGAATATGTGACCTTTTGTGACTGGTTTCTTCCACTTAGCTTAATATTCTCATAGTTCATCCGTGTTGTAGCACGTGTTAGTACTTCATTCCTTTTGATGACTGAATAATATTCCATTGCATGATCAAACCATGTTCTATTTCTCCACTCATCAGTAGACAAGCATTTGTGTTGTTTTCACTTTGGCGCTATTATGAATAATGCTGCTATGAGCATTTGTGTACAAGTTTCTGGACGGACATATATTTTCATTTCTTTCATAAACTGGAGTGGAAGTGCTGGGTCATAGAACTCTGTGTTTAAGCTTTTGAAGAAGTGCCAGACTGTGTAAGAAAGAAAGCCTTTCCTCACCCTGTGAGACTGAGCTCCCTCTCTCCATTTATACATTCTCTTTAAGCCCTTTGCTTCTCTTTCAGAGCAATTCACGTTGACCTGGGTCACCCTCAACTTAAGGCTCATAACTCCCCTAGATCCTCAGGGTCCACACTAAATGTGATGAAATATGATGCAAGCCACATATTTACATTTGCATTTTGTAATAACCACATTTTAAAAAGTAAAACAAAAGAAGTGAAGGTAATTGGAATAATATCACAGATTTAAACAAATCTATCCAAAATACCAGGTCTACATGTATAAAATTTTTTAACAGTAACAAAATACTTTGCTTTCTTTTTATATTAAGTCTTCACAATCTAATGTGTATTTGACACTTCTCGCACATTTCAGAATGATGGCAGCAGCCCATATGGGTGGCCCGCCCATGATGCCAAAGATGGGCCCTCCTCCTCCTGGGATGATGCCAGTGGGACCTGCTCTTGGAATGAGGCCGCCCATGGGAGGCCACATGCCTGTGATGCCTGGGTGCCCAATGATAAGACCTCCTGCCCGTCTCATGATGGTGCCCAGTCAGCCCAGAATGACTTGACCAGACAGATAAGGATAGAGGGGAGGCCTCATTGCATCAGTGTTGTTTTGTTGTTGTTATTGTTGTGTTTTTTTTGTTTGTAATGTTTTGTTTTGTTTTTGAGACAGAGTCTTCCTCTGTCGCCTAGGCTGGAGGGCAGTGGCATGATCTCAGCTCACTGAAACCTCCACCTCCCGGGTTCAAGCGATTCCCCTGCCTCAGCCTCCTGAGTAGTGTGGGACTACAGGCGTATTCACCATGCCCGGCTAATTTTTTTTATTTTAGTAGAAACGGGGTTTCACCATGTTGGCCAGGATGGTCTCAATCTCCTGACCTCGTGACTCGCTCGCCTCAGCCTCTGAAAGTGCTGGGATTACAGGTGTGAGCCACTGCGCCTGGCCTATATGAATTTTATATTTACCTGCTCCCTTCACCAGGAGATCATGCTGCTGTGATGTCGAGTTTTCTTAACAGCATAAGGAAGACTTGCCCTCTTGCCCTATCAAAGAGAATAGTTTTGGAGGGGAGAAGTGGGACCAAAAAAGATGCAGTTTTCATTTGTATTGGGAAATGTGAAAATAAAATTGACAACTCTTTTAGTTAAAAACAAAAAAAAGAAAAGGAAACAAGATGTGGGGCTGCCATATGTAATACCGTGGATTCCACGGATCTTCTACTCTGGAGGCAAATATTATCTTTGCTGAAGCCAGACCAACCTGACACAAAGACCTTTTGTTTTTTTAATGTGACTGTGTTTTATTTTAGAATGTGTAATTCACTTTAGAAGGGCAAAGTACCTGTCTGGGGAAGACTATTTAATTTCCTGCATTTATTTAGAATGTTGGCTGATGTTATTATGAAGGGAAACAGCTCTAACAACTGAGTGCCCCCCACATAGCCACAGCTCATGAGTTCACGGGGCAAAGGAAATGAACAGCAGCCTCCTAATAGCCAGCCTTCTTTGTGATGTGGAAATAATTATCAGCATGTAAAAGACTATATATATATTCAACAATTCTGATCCCCTGAAAAATTCAAATCTACAACTGATTTGCTTCCTGGGCTCCTGAAAACAACTTTGTCAAAATTGTTCAGAAATATAATCAGCCAATCGTTGCCCCTTGGGGACGCAGGATAAAGCAAGTCAGCCATGACCAATGAGGAGTCGGCCGTGCACAATTACATGCAGACCTGCAGGACATCGAGTCCCTGCTATGGTCCCTCCCCAGTCAGACCCCCATTGCCTGGGCTGCAGCCAGAAGCATTCAGGCACAAGTGCATTCAACAAATACTTATTTAATTGTATTGGTGGTTAGAGGGTTGCGATTGATTAAGGCACATTAATGGATCCGTGTCCTCCCTGTATCCAAGATTCTGCCATTTGTCTCTGCAGTTCCTCCCACTGAAGAATCGGAGTATATTTCTCCAGTCCCTAATGTTGGGTTTAGTCATGTGTCTAGCTTTGGCCACTGGAATATTAATCTGTATGACCAAAAACTTGGAAAGTGTGAATTCATTTCTGCTCACTCACTCCTGCTATCACCATGAGAACAAGCCCAGGCCAGACTGCTGCTTCCAGCAGAAGAGACAGCAAGAGCAACGTCGAGCTTCCCAGACATGCTCATGCTAGATTGACCAATCCTCAGCTGACCCATAGATCCATGAAAATAAACGATTGTTGTATTAAGCCACTGAGATTTGGAGTGACTCGTTATGCAGCATTTTGTGACAACAACTAACTGACACAAGAGTCACCGTCCTTTATCTCTGTAGATTTTAACCAATTTTAATAGCTAGATGGAGATCTTCTAGTTGCCTTTATTTATAATGAATATGACTGTAGAGCTAGTTTGGCCTGACACTACCAGTAACCTACCCAGAAATTCAGAAATACTTTCTTCTCCAACCCGCCCAAACCAACTTTTTGTTTGTTTGTTTTTGGGTTCTCCCTCTTTGCCTAGGCTAGAGTACAAATGGTACAGTCAGAGCTCACTGTAGCCTCAAAATCCTGGGCTCAAGTGATCTTCCCCTTCAGCCTCCTATGTAGCTAAGACTACAGACATGTGCCACCATGCCTGGCTAATTTTTTTATTCTTTGCAGACAGAGGGTCTCACTATATTGCCCAAGTTGGTTTCAAACTCCTGGCTTCAAGCAGTCCTCCTGCCTCACCCTTCCAAAGTGCTAGGATTATAGGCATGAGCCACCACACCCAGCCTCTTCTTCTTTTTAAATAGAAACCTTATTTTATTCTGACAGTGGGTTGCTTTTTTTTTTTTTTTTTAAAGAAAAAGTTGGCCCAGCCCCAGGGAATAAATTTTGACTGCTCTAAACAACCATAGACCAAGGGCCAAATCTGGCCCTCTGACTGTATAAATTAAGTTTTACTGGAATAAAACCAGGTCCATTGATTTATCCATTGTCTACATACGCTTTTAGGCTACGATGGCACCACTGTGTCACTACAAAAGAGGTTATCTAGACAAAAAGCCTAAAATATTACCGTTTGCCTCTTTATGGAAAAAGTTTGCCATTCCCTAGTCTAAGGTTTAGATTCTGAGCTTATCATGTTATCCTACCCCCCCTCACCAGTGACTGGCTCAAAACAAGTCTGTGATTCCATTCTGACTGTTCTACTGAGGGAATTCCGCCTTCTTCTCATGCAGAGCTGATGAGGGTAAGTTGTATTAATAGGACATATGCTCAGGTTTTCTGAAAAATACTTTTATCTAGAAATGCATAGGAATATGCTGGTGCCTGAATGTACCATCCGGGGACCTGGAGATTGACTCACCTGCCTCCAGAGCTGGTGCTCACACTTACTACTGAGAGGCCTGAGGAAACGCCTGCCTACCCACCACCAGAACCTGTATAGGTCACCTGGAGAACTAGAGATCAGCCTGCCACACACACCACCCAGGAGCCCAGTGGTGCACCTGCCCATCTGGCCCACTGCCAGCAACCAAAGAAGCCACCTGGAGTCCCAGGGATTGGCCCACACAGACAGGCTATCATCAGTGCCCACAAACGCTGCCCATGGTCCCTAGTATTGACACACCTGGTCCACCGCCACTACCACTGATGCTGAAGGACAAGACTTCCTGGCATCCCCATCCTCAGCAAAGCCTCACCAAAGCCTCCAATAACAACTGCAGTCTGGCCAAGTGTGGTGGCTCACGCCTGTAATCCCAGCACTTTGAGATGCCGAGGCGTGTAGATCACGAGGTCAGGAGTTCGAGAGCAGCCTGGCCAACATGGTGAAACCCCGTCTCTACTAAAAATACAAAATTTAGCTGGGCATGGTTGCACGTGCCTATAGTCCCAGCTACTCAGGAGGCTGAGGCAGGAGAATTGGTTGAACACGGGAGGCAGAGGATACAGTGAGCTGAGATTGTGCCACTGCACTCCAGCCTGGTGACAGAGCTAGACTCCATCTCAACAACCACCAAAAAAAACCACTGCAGTCTAAGCCACTGAATGACTCACAGGCACCACCCATGCCAATTACAGCTGAAGGAATCATATGCAAACTATACTACTGTACCCACCCAGAATCAAAGCCAAAGTGTGATATCCAATGAACACTGTAGATACAGCTGTAAGAAAAGGTCTTTCCCATATAAAAGCCAATCCATAAAATTGGAAGAAATGACTGTTATGTCAGAGGCACAGATAGTCACATAAGGATGCAAGAAATATGAAAAAGGAAACATAACATCTCAAAGAAGCACAATAATTCTCCAGCAACAGATCCAATGAAAAGAAAATCTATGAAATACCTGAAAAAAATTCAGAATGATGTTATTAAAGAAACTCAGGGAGATACAAGAGAACACAGATAATGAATACAAAAAAAAAAAAAACAAAAACAGGAAAACTATTCATGATCTGAATGACAAATTCAACAGAGATAGACAGCATAACAAAGAACCAAACACAAATCCTGGAAGAGAATAAATCATTGAAATAAATACAAAAGATAATTGACAGCTTTAACAATAGACTAGATCAAGCAAAACAAAGAATTTCTGAACCTGAAGACTAGTCTTTTAAAATAATCCAGTCAGACAAAAAGAAAGAAAAAAGAATGAAGCAAGGCTACATGACATATGGGACACATATGTGACCAAAAACTGAAATTCTGGGAGTTCTGGATGGAGATGAGATGGGTAAAGGCATAGAAAACCTATTTAATGAACTAATAACTGAAAACTTCCTGAATGCTTCCAAATGCAGGAAGCTCAAAGATTACCAAGTAAATACAACTCAAAATGGTCTTCTCCAAGGCACAATATGGTAAAATTGTCAAAAGACAAAGAGAAAATGCTAAAAACAGCAAGAGAAAGGCATCAAGTCACTTATAAGAGAATCTCCATCAGGCTAACGGGGAATTTCTCAGCAGAAACCTTACTGGCTAGGAGAAAAGGGGATGTATATTACAAGTACAAAAAAAAAAAAATAATAAAAAAATGTAAGCCAAAAATACTCTACCCAGCAAAGCTATCCTTCACAAATGAAGGAGCCTGGCACAGTGGCTCACATCTGCAATTCCAGAGACTCAAGGCTGAGGCAGGAGGACCATTTGATCCCAGGAGTTCAAGGCTGCAGTGAGCTATGATCATGCCACTGTACTCCAGCCTGGGTGACAGAGTGAGACTCCATTGCTAAAAAAAAAAATAGTAATAATAAAAGGGAAAAAAGTATTTCCCAGATAAGCAAAAGACTGTTTGTTTGTGTCTTGTTTGTTGTGGTCCTATAAGAAATGTTTAAGGGAGTCCTACATTGGGAAGTGAAAGAACAATATCTACCATCATGAAAATACATGAAAGTATAAAACTCACTGGTAGTTCAGACACACAAAGAAGAAAGGATTCAAACATCACCACTAAAGAAAACCACCAAACTGCAACCATAAATAATGAGAGAAAAAAGGAACAAAGGTGTATTAGTCTGTTTTCACACTGCTGATAAAGACATACCTGACTGAGACTGAGCAATTTACAAAAGAAAGAGGTTTAATGGACTTACACTTCCACATAGCTGAGGAAGCCTAAGAATCACGTTGGAAGGCAAGAAGAAGCAAGTCATGTCTCACATGGATGGCAGCAATCAAAGATAGAGCTTCTGCAGAGAAACTACCCTTTTCAAAACCATCAGACCTTGTGAGACTTATTCACTATCATGAGAACAGCATGGGAAAGACCTGCCCCCATGACTCAATTACTTCCCACCAGGTCCCTCCCACAACATGTGGGAATTCAAGATGAGACTTGGGTGGGGACACAACCAAACCATATCATTCTGCCCCTGGCCCTTCCCAAATCTCATATCCTCACATTTTGAAACCAATCATGCCTTCCCAACAGTCCCCCAAAGTCTTAACTAAGTTCAGCATTAACTCAAAAGTCCACAGTCCAAAGTCTCATTTGAGACAAGGCAAATCCCTTCTGCCTATGAGCATGTAAAATCAAAAACTAGTTAGTTACTTCCTAGATACAATGTGGGTATAGGCATTGGGTAAATACAGTCATTCCAAATGGCAGAAAATTGCCAAACAAAGGGGCTACAGGACCCATGCAAGCCCAAAATCCAGTGGGGCAGTGAAATCTCAAAGCTCCAAAATGATCTCCTTTGACTCCATGTCTGACATGCAGGTCATACTGATGTATGACCATGGCCTTGGGAGAAAAAAGGCCACAGCTCCACTCCTGTGGCTTTGTATGGTTTAACCCCCCTCCTGGCTCCTTTCACGGGTTGGCATTGAGTGTCTGCAGCTTTTCCAGGCACACAGTGCAAGCTGTCAGTGAATCCACCATTCTGGGGTCTGGAGGATGGTGGCCCTCTTCTCAAAGCTCCACTAGGTGGCGCTGCAGTAGGGACTCTATGTGGGGGCTCCGACCCCACATTTCCCTTCTGCACTGCCCTAGTAGAGTTTCTCCATGAGTGCCCTGCCCCTGCAGCAAACTCCTGCCTGGGTATCTAGGAATTTCCATACACCTTCTGAAATCTAGGCAGCAGTTCCCAAACCTCAATTTTTGACTTCTGTGCACCCACAGGCTCAACACTATGTGGAAGCTGCTAAGGCTTGGGGCTTGCACCCTCTGAAGCCACAGCCCAAGTTGTACCTTGGCTCCTTTTAGCTGCAGCTGGAGTGGCTAGGACTCAGGCACCCTAGGCTGCTCACAACAGGGGTCCCTGGGTCTAGCCCACAAAACCATCTTTTCTTCCTAGGCCTCTGGACCTTTGATGGGAGGGGCTGCCATGAAGACCTGTGACATGCCCTGGAGACATTTTCCCCATTGTCTTGGGGATTCACATTTGACTCCTCGTTACTTAAACAAACTTCTGCAGCCAGATCGAATTTTTCTTGAGAAAATGGGATTTTCTTTTCTATTGCATTGTCAGGCTGCAGATTTTCCAAACTTTCATGCTCTGCTTCCCTCATAAAACTGAAGGCCTTTAACAGCACCCAAGTCATCTCTTGAATGCTTTGCTGCTTAGAAATTTCTTCTATCAGATACCCTAAATCTCAAGTTCAAATACCCTATCAGTTACCCTAAATCTCTCAAGTTCAAAATTCCACAAATCTCTACAGCAGGGGCAAAAAGCCACCAGTCTCTTTGCTAAAACATAACAGGAGTCACCATTGTGCCAGTTCCTAACAAGTTCCTCATTTCCATCTGAGACAACCTAAGCCTAGACTTTATTGTCCATATAACAATCAGCATTTTGGGCAAGTCTCTAGGAAATCTCTTCCAAATTTTCCCACATTTTCCTGTCTCCTTCTGAGCCCTCCAAACTGTTCCAACCTCTGCCTGTTTCCCAGTTCCAAAGTCACTTCCACATATTCAGGTATCTTTTAGCAACACCCCACTTCTGGTACTAATTTACTGTATTAGTCCATTTTCACACAGCTGATAAAGACACATTCAAGACTGGGAAATTTACAAAAGAAAGAGGCTTAATGGACTTACAGTTCTACATTGCTGGGGAGGCTTCAAAATCATTGCGGAAGTCAAGGAGAGGCAAGTCACATCTTACAGGGATGGCAGCAGGCAAAGAGAGAGCTTGAGCAGGGAAACTCCTCCTTTTAAAACCATCAGATCTCATGAGACTTATTCACTATTAAAAGAATAGCATGGGAAATACCTGCCTCCATGATTCAACTACTTCCCATTGGGTCCCTCCCACAACACATGGGAATTCAAGATGAGATCTGAGTGGGGACACAGCCAAACCATATCAAAAGGATATACAAAATAACCAGAAAACAATGAACAAAATGACAGGAATAAATCCTCGCCTATCAATAATAACTTCGAATATGGGTTAAATTACCTACCTAAAAGATACAGTCAGGCTTAATGGATAAAAAGTGACCCAACATCACTTCCCTTGTAAAGACACACACAGACTGAAAGTGAAGGGATGGAAAAAGATATACCACACAAACAGAAATCAAAAATAATCAGGAGTAGCTAAACTTACATCAGATAAAACAGACTTTAAGTCAAAAACTGTAAAAAGGACAAACAAGATCATTATATGGTAATAAAGGGATCAATTCAGCAACAAAGTATAACAATTCCAAATATGCATGCAACCAACACAAGCGCATCCAGAGACATATAGCAAATATTATTAAATCTACATGGAGAGATAGAGTCCAATAAAATGATAGTTGAGAACTTCAATATCCTACTCTCAGCATTGGACAGTTCATCTAGACATAAAATCAACAAAGAAACATTAGATTTAAGCTGCACTTTGGACCAAATGGACCTAACAGATATTTTCAGAATAGTTCATCCAGCAGCAGCAGAATATACAATCATCTCATCAACACATGGAATATTCTCCAGGATAGACCATATGTTAGGACACAGAACAAGGCTCAATAAAATTTTAAAAATTAAAATCATATCAAGTATCTTCTCAGACCACAAAGGAATAAAACTTGAAATCAATAAGAAGAAGAAATTTGGAAACTGTACAAATATATGGACATTAAACATGCTATTGAATAATCATTGGGTCAATGAAGAAATTAAGATGGACATCAAAAAAATTTTTTAAACAGAAAATGGAAACACATCATGCAAAACCTATGGGATACAGCAAAAGCAGTACTAGGAGGAAAGTTTATAGCAATAAATGCCTACACTAAAAAAGTAGAAAGATTTCAAATAAACAACCTAATGATGCACCTCAAGGAACTCAAAAAGCAAGAACAAATCAAACACACAATTAGTAGAAAGAAAAAATATAAATAACATAGCAGAACCAAATGCAACAGAGACAAAAAAAAATGCAAAGAATCAACAAGATAAAAGTTGGTTTTTTGAAAAGTTAAACAAAATTGATAAACCACTAGTGAGGCTAACCAAAAAAAAAAAAAAGAGACCAAAATAAATACAATCAGAAATGAAAAAGGAGACATTACAAGTGTTACCAAAGAAATAAAAAGGATAATTAGAGGCTATTATGAACAATCATATGCTAACAAATTGGAAAACCTAGAGGAAAGGGATAAATTCCCAGACATACACAGCCTACCAAGGTTGAACTAGGAAGAAACAGAAAACGTGAACTGACCCAAAATGAATAGCAGGTTTGAATCAGTAACAAAATGTCTCCCAAAGGAGAAAAGCCCTAGACTAGGCTTTTATGCTGATTTCTACCCAATTTATAAAGAAAAACAAACACCAATTCTTCTCAAACTATTCCCAAAAATTGAAGAGGAAGGAATTCTTCCTAACTCATTGTATAAGGCCAGCATTACCCTGATATCCAATCAAGACAAGGACACAACAAAAGGAGAAAACTACAGGCCAATATTCCTAATGAACACAGATGGTAAAATTCTCAGCATAATACTACCAAGCCAAATCTAATGATGAATGAAAAAGATAATATACCATGATCAAGTGGGATTTATCCCAGGAATGCAAAGGTGGCTCAACATACACAAATCAATACATGTGATACATCACATTGACAAGATGAAAGGCAAAAACTATCTGATCATCTCAGCAGATGCAGAAAAATCACTCAGTAAAACTTACCATTCCTTCATGATGAAAACTCTCAACAAATTAAGCATAGAAGGAACACTTCAACCTAAGAAAAGGCATATATGACAAATCTACAGCTAACATCCTACTCACTGGGAAAAATTGAAAAGCCTTTCCTCTAAGAACTGGAACAAGAGAAGGATGCCCACTTTCACCACTCTTATTCAACACAGTATGGGACATCCAAGCCAGAGTGATCAGACAAGATAAAGAAAAAAAAGGCATCCAAATGGACAAAAGGAAGTCCAATTGTCTCACTTTGCAAATGACATAATCGTATACCTGTAAACAGAAAAACCTAAAGACTCTACCAAAAAACTCTTAAAATAAATTAGGCTGGGCATGGTAGCTCATGCCTGTAATCCCAGCACTTTGGGAGACCAAGGTGGATGGATCACCTGAGGTTGGGGGTTTGAGACCAGCCTGGCCAACATGGTGAAACCCTGTCTCTACGAAAAATACAATTAGCCAGGCATGGTGGTAGGTGCCTGTAATCCCAGCTACTTGGGAGGCTGAAGCAGGAGAATCGCTTGAAACCGAGAAGTGGAGGTTGCAGTGAGCCAAGATTGCACCACTGCACTCCAGCCTGGAAAACAGAGTGAGACTCTCTCACAAAATAAAAAATAAAAAATAAAAAACATTTTTAAAAAAGGATGTATAATTCAGTAAAGCTTCAGGACACAAAATCAACATACAAAAATCAGTAATGTTTCTATATACCAGTAACAAACTAGCTAAAATAGAAATCAAGGAAGAAATTCTATTTACAATAGCTACAAAAATAAAATACCTAGGAATAAACTTAACCAAGGATGAGGAAAAAAAAAAACCCAAAAAACCTCTACAATGAAAACCACAAAACACTGATAAAATAAACTGAGAAGGACACAAACAAATGGAAAGGCATCTTATGCTCGTGGGTTGGAGTAACTAATACTGTTAAAATGACCATACTACCCGAAGCAATCTAGAGATTCAGTACAATCCCTATCAATTATATTCTTCACAGAAACAGGAAAAAAAAAAACCCTGAAATTCATATGGAACCACAGAAGACCCCAAATAGCCAGAGCAATACTGAGCAAAAAGAACAAAGCTAGAAGCCTCACACTACCTGATTTAAAAATATACTGCAAAGAGGCCGGGCGAGGTGGCTCAAGCCTATATCCCAGCACTTTGAGAGGCCAAGGCGGGTGGATCACAAGGTCAGGAGATCGAGACCATCCTGGCTAACATGGTGAAACCCCGTCTCTAATAATAATAAAAAAAAAATTAGCCAGGCGTGGTGGCGGGCATCTGTAGTCCCAGCAGCTACTCGGGAGGCTGAGGCAGGAGAATGGCATGAACCCGGGAGGAAGAGCTTGCAGTGAGCAGAGATCACACCACTGCACTCCAGCCTGGGCGACAGAGCAAGACTCCATCTCAAAAAGAAAAAAAAAAAAAAAATATATATATATATATATATATATATATGTGTGTGTGTGTGTATAAATATATTTGTATATATATGTATATATATACGTATATGTGTGTGTATATACGTATATATGTATGTACGTATATATGTATGTATATATGTATATATGTACGTATGTATGTATATATACGTATATACGCATATATATACGTATATATGTATATGTGTGTATATACGCATATATATACGTATATATGTATATGTGTGTATATACGTATATATGTATATATTTATATGTATATATACACGTATATGTGTATATATACACGTATACGTGTATATATACACGTATATGTGTATATATATACACGTATATGTGTACATATACACGTATATGTGTACATATATACACGTATGTGTACATATACACGTATATGTGTACATATATACACATATATATGTACATATATACACGTATATATATACACGTATATATACACGTATATATGTATATATATACACGTATATATGTATATATATACACGTATATATACACGTATATATGTATATATACACGTATATATGTATATATATACACGTATATATACACGTATATATGTATATATATACACGTATATATACACGTATATATGTATATATATACACGTATATATACACGTATATATGTATATATATACACGTATATATGTATATATATACACGTATATATATACACGTATATATGTATATATATACACGTATATATACACGTATATATGTGTATATATATACACGTATATATGTATATATATACACGTATATATACACGTATATATGTGTATATATATACACGTATATATATACACGTATATATGTATATATACGTATATATACACGTATATATGTATATATATACACGTATATATGTATATATACGTGTATATATATAAGTATATATGTGTGTGTGTATATAGATATACATATATATATGTATTACAAAGCTATAGTAACCAAAACAGCGTGTACTGGTATTAAAACAGACACAAAAACAAAGGAAACAGACTAAAGAATCCAGAAATGAATCCACATATTTACAGCTAACTGATTTTCAAGAAAGCTGTCAAGAACATGCATTGAATAAATGACACCCTCTTCATTAAATGGTGCCAGCAAAACTAGATATCCAAACACAGAAGAATAAAACTAGACCCTTATCTCTCATCACTTAGAAAAATAAACTCAAAATCAGTTAAAGACTTAAATGTAACAGCCACAACTATAAAACTACTAGAAATAAACACAGGAGAAACGCTTGAGAACAAAGATTGTATGGCTAACGCTTAAAAAGTACAAGCAACAAAAATAGACAAATGGGATTATATTAAATTAAATTCCTTCTGTATATCAATTAAAACAATCAACAGAGTGAAAAGACAACACCCCTCCCTTACACCACACACAAAAATTAACTCAAGATGGCCTGCAGACTTAAATGTAAAACTCATAACTATAAAAACGCTGAAGACAACCTAGGCAATACCATCTGGTACATAGTGATGGGCAAAGAGTTCATGGTGAAGATGCCAAACGCAATTGCCACAAAAGCAAAAATTGGCAAATGGGATCTAATTAAATGAAAGAGCTTCTACACAGCAAAAGAAACTATCAAAAAATAAACAGACATTTCTCAAAAGAAAATATACAAATCACCAAGTTTATGAAAAAATATTCAACATCACTAATCATCACGGAAATGCAAATCAAAACCACAATGAGATATCATCTCACACTTGTTAGAATGGGTATTAAAAAGACAAAGCACAACAAATGCTGGCAAGCATGTGAAGAAAAGGAAATTATTGTATATTGTTGGTGGGAATGTAAATTGGTACAGCCATTATGAAAAAAAGTACAGAGATTTCTCAAAAAACTAAGAACAAATCTACCATATGATCCAGCAATCCCACTCATGGGTATATATCCAAAAAAAGATATCAGTGTATCAACGGGATACCCATACCCCCATATTTACTGCAGCACTATTTGCAATAGCCAAGATATGGAATCAATCTAAATGTCAATCAATGGATGAATGGATAAAGAAAATGGGAATATACACACAATGGAATAGTATTTAGCCATAAAAAATGAAATCCTGTCATTTTCAGCTAATTGGGTGGAATTAAAGGTCATAACGTCAGGTGAACTAGGCCATGCACAGAAAGAAAACTATTGCATGTTCTCACTTATATGAGCAGCTTATGCTCCTGGAAATCAAAGCGGGGCCATATTTCAGGTCAGTAGGGTCACGGATAGAGACCACAGTTATGGACTTGTGTGCCCTGGAGCTATATAAAATTGATATCATGGAGATAAAGAGTAGAATGATAGTTACCAGAGGCTAGGAATAGGAGAGGTTTGAAAAGAGGTTGATTAATGGGTATAAAAATATATAATAGAAGGAATGAGATCTAGTGTTTATTATCACAGAAAGTGACTACAATAATTTATTGTATATTTCTTTTTTTTAATTTCAATAGTTTTTAGGGAACAGGTGGTATTTTGTTACATGGATACGTCCCTTAGGGGTGATCTCTGAAATTTTGGCATACCCATCAGCAAAGCAGTTTACCCAATGTATAGTCTTTTATCTCTCACCCCCTCCCACCTTCCCCCTGAGCCCCCAAAGTCCACTGTTTCATTCTTGTGCCTTCGCATCATCATAGCTTAGCTCCCATGTTCTCCCACGAGTGAGAACATGCAATGTTTGGTTTTCCATTCCTGAGTTACTTCATTTGAAATAATGGTCTCCAACTCCATCCAGGTTGTTATGAATGCCATTATTTTATTCCTTTTTAAGGTTAAGTAGTGTTCTATGGTATACATATATATATATAACACATTTTCTTTATCCACAAATTGATTGATGGGCATTTGGGCTGGTTCTGTAGTTTTGCAACTGTGAATTCTGCTGCTGTAAACATGTGTGCAAAAGTATCTTTTTCATATAATGACTTCTTTTCCTCTGGGTAGATACCTAACAGTGGGATTACTGGATCAAATGGTAGATGTACTTCTAGTTCTTTAAGGAATCTTCATACTGTTTTCCATAGTGCTGGTACTAGCTTACATTCCCACCATCAGTGTAAAAGCGTTGTCTTTCACCACATCCATGCCAACATCAATTTTTGTTTTTTTTGTTTTGTTTTGTCTTTTGTTTTTTGTTTTTTTGAGATGGAGTCTCGCTCTGTCGCCCAGGCTGGAGTACAATGGTGCCATATCAGCTCACTGCAACCTCTGCCTCCCGGGTTCAAGCAATTCTCCTGCCTCAGCCTCCTGAGTAGCTGGGATTACAGGCAACTGCCACCATGCCCGGCTAATTTTTATATTTTCAGTAGAGACTGGGTTTCACCATGTTGGTCAGGCTGGTCTCAAACTCCTGACCTCGTGATCCGCCCACCTTGGCCTCCCAAAGTGCTAGGATTACAGGCGTGAGCCACCGCGCCCGGCCCTCTTTTTGTTTATTTTACACGTGGTATTGCATTGTGGTTTTGATTTGCATTTCCCTGGTAATTAGTGATGTTGAGCATTTTTTCATATGTTTGTTGGCCATTTGTATATCTTCTTTTGAGAATTGTCTATTCATGTCCTTGGCACATTTTTTGATGAGATTATTTTTTTCTTGCTGATTAGAGTTCCCTGTAGATTCTGACATTAGTTCTTTGTCAAATGCAGTTTGTGAAAATTTTCTCCCACTCTGTGGGTGATCTGTTTACTCTGCTGATTATTTCCTATGCTGTGCAGGAGGCTTTTAGTTTAATTAAGTCCCATCTATTTATCTTTGTTTCTGTTGTATTTGCTTTTGGGTTCTTGGTCATAAACTCTTTGCCTAAGCCAATGTGTAGAAGCATTTTCCAATGTTATCTTCTAGAATTTTTATGGTTTCAGACCTTAGATTTAAGTCTTTGATCCATCTTGTGTTGATTTTTGTATAAGGTGAGAGATAAGGATCCAGTTTTATTCTTCTACATGTGGCTTGCCAATTATCCCAGCACTATTTGTTGTATAGGGTGTACTTTTCTTACTTTGTTTTTGTTTACTTTGTCAAAGATCAGTTGGCTGTTAAGCATTTGGCTTTATTTCTAGGTTCTCTACTCTGTCCCATTGGTCATGTGCCTATTTTTATACCAGCACTATGCTGTTTTGGTGACTATAGCTTTGTAATATAGTTTGAAGTTGGGTAATGTGATGCCTCTAGATTGGTTCTTTTTGCTTAGTTTTGCTTTGGCTTTGCAGACTCTTTTTTAGTTCCAAATGAATTTTGGCATTTTTTTTTTCTAGTTCTATAAAGAATGATGATGGTACATTGATAGGAACTCATTGAATTTGGAGACTGCTTTTGGCAGTATGGTCATTTTCACAATATTGAGTCTACCCATCCATGAGCATGGAATGTGTTTCCATTTGTTTGTGTCATCTATGATTTCTTTCAACATTGTTTTGTAGTTTTCCTTGTAGGGGTCTTTCACCTCCTTGGTTAGGTATATTCCTAAGTATTTTATTTTTACAGCTATTATAAAAGGGTTTGATTTGATTCTCAGCCTGGTAGATGTTGGTGTATAGCACTGCTACTGATATGTGTACATAGATTTTGTATCCTGATAAATAGATTTATTGTGTATTTCTAAATAGCAATAAGATTTGAAATATTCCCAACACAAAGAAATGATCAACGTTTGAGGTGATTAATATCCTAAAGACCCTGACTTGATCATTACACATTACATGCATGTACCAGAATCTCACATGGACCCCATAAATGTGTACAATTATTCTCTATCAAAAACATTTTTTTTTAAGAAACATGCAGGAATACACTCTACCTCTTCCTTGCTGTGTCTGGATATTGTCACATGAGGACTTGACATGCGGATTGTGGCAGCCTCTGTGACCAAGAGCGGAAGACAACAGCAGCATAGAAACCTCAAATGAAAAATCTAACATCTCAAGCTACTAATTTAGCCAACCTTGGCATCAGCTATCTCTGGTCTTAGTATATGAGGCGATAAGCCCCCACTGTTCAAGTTGGGTGTCTATCAATTGCTGCAGAATAGAAGTTAATGAGGCTTCCTCCTCCTGGATCCCCTACTAGACCCTGACATGCCCATTCAGTCACAGGCAGAAAGGGAAGCACAGGGTAAGGAGACCTGGCTGACTGTGCCAGACGCAGATCTTACCTGTCCTGCTTAGAACACTCAAAGCTCAATTGGTTAAACAAAAAAAGGAAAAATACAATAAGGAGTATAGCACTCCCCAGATGCAACTTAATCTAACACTCTATACTTTAGATTTTCTAGACATACATAGAAATCAGACCACTACTTCTGCAGAACATTTTACTAGTAAAAATAATAGGCCACGTGAGGGAAAACTGATTTGGTGGAAAGACAACAAAAACAAAATATGGGAAATAGGTAAGGTGATAATATGGGGGAGAGGTTGTGCTTGTGTTTCACCCGGAGAAAATCAGCTTCCTGTTTGGATACCCACTAGACATTTGAAGTTCTACAATGAACCTATCAAGATGCAAATGAAAGTGCCTCTGCAGAGACAGAAAACCCGCAGTTGAGCATCATCGACTCGCAGGGTGAACAAAATGGTGATATCAGAAGAACAGATGAAGTTACAATCCACCAAGGAAACGGCACATGTTGGGAGCCAGGGAGAGGAAGAGAAAGAAAAAGAGACAGAGATCAGAGAGAGACACAGAAAGTGAGACTGGGGAGAGAGACAGTGTAAAAGAGAGAGAGAGAGAGAGACCGTAAAAGAAGGGAGACAAAGAGATAAAAGGTGCGAGTGAGCAGGTGAGGAGAAAGACTGAAAACTATGAGAAACAGCAACTAAGACACAAAGGAGGTGGGAGACTGCCTTGGTGCCGCAGCACCCACACCGTCCTCTTGCCCCGTCACTTGGGTTCAAACCACCGGAAATTCCACTATTGCAAATTTTTTATTAATCCTTGTATGTCTGTCCTTTCTATTTTTAGTCTACAGGTGTATCCAGCAGCTCCAGAGAGACAGCGACCAGCGAGAAGGGGCCATGATGATGGAGGTGGTTTTGTCAAAACGAAAATGGGGATATGTAGGGAAAAGAAAGAGAGATCAGACTGTTACTGTGTCTACATAGAAAGGGAAGACATAAGAGACTCCATTTTGAAAAAGACCTGTACTTTAAACAATTGCTTTGCTGAGATGTTGTTAATCTGTAGCTTTGCCCCAGCCACTTTGCCCCAACCACTTTGACCCAATCTGGAGCTCATAAAAACATGTGTTGTATGAAATCAAAGTTTAAGGCATGTAGGGCTGTGCAGGACGTGCCTTGTTAACCAAATGTTTGCAAGCAGTATACTTGGTAAAAGTCATCACCATTCTCTCATCTCAATAAACCAGGGGCACAATGCACTGTGGAAAGCCGCAGGGACCTCTGCCCTTGAAAGCTGGGTATTGTCCAAAGTTCCTCCCCATGTGATAGTCTGAAATATGGCCTCGTGGGATGAGAAAGACCTGACGGTCCCCCAGCGCGACACCCATAAAAGATCTGTGCTGAGGTGGATTAGTCAAAGAGGAAAGACTTGCAGTTGACATAGAGGAAGGCCACTGTCTCCTGACTGCCCCTGGGAACTGAATGTCTCGGTATAAAACACGATTGTACATTTGTTCAGTTCTGAGATGGGAGAAAAACCGCCCTATGGTGGGAGGCGAGACATGTTTACAGCAATGCTGCCTTGTTATTCTTTACTCCACTGAGATGTCTGGGTGGAGAGAAACATAAATCTGGCTTACATGCACGTCCAGTCATAGTACCTTCCCTTGAACTTCATTATGACATAGATTCTATTGCTCACGTTTGTTGCTGACCTTCTCCTTATTATCACCCTGCCCTCCTACTACATTCCTTTTTGCTGAAATAATGAAGATAATAATCAATAAAAACTGAGGGAATTCAGAGACCTGTGCCAGTGCAGGTCCTTAGCATGCTAAGCGCAGGTCCCCTGGGCCCGCTGTTGTTTCTCTATACTTTGTCTCTGTGTCTGATTTCTTTTCTGTCTCTCATCCCACCCGACAAGAAATACCCACAGGTGTGGAGGGGCAGGCCACCCCTTCAGTATGAGATTACAGGCATGAATAACCCCACCTGGCCACCTAACTCACTCTTGAGAGGCCAGAAGTGATGCTGGAACTTTCTTCCTCTGTGGGTGAAAAAGGGAAAATTAGGGAGAACAGAAGGCATGAGAGATGCAGCGATGGATATGTCTATATGGAGCTTCTGTCTGCATCCAGTAGAAAATGCATCTGTAGGCACCAGGTTTAAGAGCAAAATCCTGGAGTCTTGTCTGTTAGCATTCTCCTTCCCCACAAACCAGAGAAGGAATATATTTGCTCCAGCACACCCGGATGTAGGAAATGTCACATTCCTATTTCTGTAACTTCACTTAAATCTGCTCTGAGTCTCTGGATGCCTGGCAGGTGGAGAATTCAATCTTGTCGTTACCAGTATTCCTTTCCCTTCTCCATGGGCTTATGTAAGAATTCTGGGCTTACACACTGTTGGAAAGCCAGGTAGGAACTCCATCCCCCGAACTCTCCATTCTTCCAGCTGCTCATGATCCATCAACCTTCTTTGGGCCACCTGCTATAGCAAGACCCTCCTCACAGCATCATTCCACTGACCCACAGGCTCAGCCTCAGGGACCCTCACTAGAACAGGTCTCCACTATGCATAGGAACTCACAAAAACCTTCTCTTCATCTTGGCTTCTGCTGATATCCAGCCACTCCCCCACTTCTCATCTTAAACACAGATGGCAGCTCCTTCCCATCATTCCAAAACTGGGGGATTGTCCAGCCAAATTCTCTGCAGACACCAAAGCTTCACCCGTCCTCTTCAGGGAGGTGATGCAAGGGCATCTGATTTCTTTGGAAGCCCAATTCTGGCCTCTCTTTGGGGTGGGCTGAGAGTGGGAACCAGACTCTCTTTTCCAAATGTCATGTTTATCTTGTTCATCATTATATTATCTCCAATGCCTGGCACATAGTAGGCACTACAGACTGACACATAGTAGGTGCTATTAGTGTCTGTATAATGGGACTCTTGAGGTTGAAGCTATTAGCAGAAACCTGCCAAGCAAAAGGATGGAAAACCAACCACTAAAAAAAAAAAAAAAAAAAAAGAAAAGAAAAAGAAAACAATCGTGGCTTTGAGCTCTAAACACACAAGGCACCAGCCCAAGTTTGGGCAATTTTACTACAACAGCCATTTTGCCTCCAAACAAACTGGCACTGGAAACCTCCCTCTGCCTCTTAAAGAGAACCAGTTTCCCTTTCTCTAAGTGGACAGCATTTCTCCCCGGTGGCAGTACCCAGCCCACTGCCACCAGCAAACGACTGCAGCCAGGAGCCAAGAGCTTGATAGTTTAAAGAATAGATCTTATAGGGAAAAACAAAGTAACATCCACATAAATCTGGAACTACCACCACTTTCCAGAGGCCGAATCCCATTTGTAAATTCTCTTGCGTGTCAAGCACCTTGCAGTCAGCTCAACTACACACTTTTGGGATTCGTTGCAGAGAAGAGCGAAGGTTATCTGCAAAATAAAGGAACCAGGGCTCAGAATTCCCAGAGCAATCCATGACAGAGGAGGTGAGTTGAAAAGGGAAGGGTGAAGTCAAAGGAGAGAAGTCAATGAGTTGGCCAACACCAAGCAAGGATCATGGGACCCTCTCCACGGCCCCACATCTCAAATGAAGTCAACAAAACCCATCAATGCTTGGTGTAAGTGTTGTATGCTCCTGGAAATGAAAGCAGGGGCCACATTTCAGGTCAGTAGGGTCAGGGGTAGAGGCAGCTGTCATGGACTTGTGGGCCCTGGAGGATGGGATGATTCTGAGACATTGAATCCCTACACTGATCTCAGTAGAAATCTCAGGTAGGGCTTCAACATTCGTCGACAAAGGACTCTGTGGGCATCAGAGCAACAGCCTTGGTGCATGTCCAAGCTCCATCAATCCCAACTGGGGCTTTGAACAAGTTACTTATTTTTTTTAACTAACGTTATTTTAATTGACAAATCATAATTGTA